>NC_000018.10:17527844-17853482 GCF_000001405.40 Homo sapiens
TTTGCATTCAAGTCACAGAGTAGAACATTCCCTTTGGTAGAGCAGGTTTGAAACACTCTTTTTTTAGTATATGGAAGTGGACATTTGGATCGCTTTCAGGCCTACGTTGGAAAAGGAAATATCTTCCCATAACAACTAGACAGAAGCATTCTCAGAAACTAGTTTCTGATGTGTGTCCTCAACTAACACAGTTGAACATTTCTTTAGACAGAACAGTTTTGAAACACTCTTTTTGTGGAATCTGCAAGTGGCTATTTGGCTAGATTTGAGGATTTCGTTAGAAACGGGATTACATATAAAAAGCAGTCAGCAGCATTCTCAGAAAGTTCTTTGTGATGATTGCATTCAAGTCACAGAATTGAACATTCCCTTTCACAGAGCAGGTTTGAAACACTCTTTTTGTAGTGTGTGTAAGTGGACATTTGGAGCACTTACCGGCCTAAGGTGAAAAAGGAAATATCTTCCCATAAAAACTAGACAGAAGCATTCTCAGAAACTTACTCGTGATGTGTGTCCTCAACTAAAGGAGTAGAACCTTTCTTTTCATAGAGAAGTTTTGAAACGCTCTTTTTGTGGAATCTGCAAGTGGATATTTGGCTAGTTTTGAGGATTTCGTTGGAAGCGGGAATTCATACAAATTGCAGACTGCAGCGTTCTGAGAAACATCTTTGTGATGTTTGTATTCAGGACACAGAGTTGAACATTCCCTATCATAGAGCAGGTTGGAATCACTCCTTTTGTAGTATCTGGAAGTGGACATTTGGAGCGCTTTCAGGCCTATGTTGTAAAAGGAAATATCTTCCCATAACAACTAGACAGAAGCATTCTCAGAAACTTATTTGAGATGTGTGTACTCAACTAAGAGAATTGAACCACCGTTTTGAAGGAGCAGTTTTGAAACACTCTTTTTCTGGAATCTGCAAGTGGATATTTGGCTAGCTTTGGGGATTTCGCTGGAAGCGGGAATACATATAAAAAGCACACAGCAGCGTTCTGAGAAACTGCTTTCTGATGTTTGCATTCAAGTCAAAAGTTGAACACTCCCTTTCATAGAGCAGTCCTGAAACACTCCTTTTGTAGTATCTGGAACTGGACTTTTGGAGCGCTTTCAGGGCTAAGGTGAAAAAGGAAATATCTTCCCATAAAAACTGGACAGAATCATTCTCAGAAACTTGTTTATGCTGTATCTACTCAACTAACAAAGTTGAACCTTTCTTTTGATAGAGCAGTTTTGAAATGCTCTTTTTGTGGAATCTGCAAGTGGATATTTGGCTAGTTTTGAGGATTTCGTTGGAAGCGGGAATTCATACAAATTGCAGACTGCAGCGTTCTGAGAAACATCTTTGTGATGTTTGTATTCAGGACAGAGAGTTGAACATTCCCTATCATAGAGCAGGTTGGAATCACTCCTTTTGTAGTATCTGGAAGTGGACATTTGGAGCACTTTCCGGCCTAAGGTGAAAAAGGAAATATCTTCCCATAAAAACTAGACAGAAGCATTCTCAGAAACTTACTCGTGATGTGTGTCCTCCACTAAATGAGTAGAACCTTTCTTTTCATAGAGAAGTTTTGAAACGCTCCTTTTGTAGAATCTGCAAGAGGATATTTGCATAGCTTTGAGGATTTCGTGGGAAACGGGATTGTCTTCAGGTAAAATCTAGACAGAAGCATTCTCAGAAACTTCTTTGGGATGTTTGCATTCAAGTCACAGAGTAGAACATTCCCTTTGGTAGAGCAGGTTTGAAACACTCTTTTTATAGTATCTGGAAGTGGACATTTGGAGCGCTTTCAGGCCTATGTTGGAAAGGGAAATATCTTCCCGTAACAACTAGGCAGAAGCATTCTCAGAAACTTATTGGAGATGTGTGTACTCAACTAAGAGAATTGAACCACCGTTTTGAAGGAGCAGTTTTGAAACACTCTTTTTCTGGAATCTGCAAGAGGATATTTGCCTAGCTTTGAGGATTTCGTTGGAAACGGGATTGTCTTCAGATCAAATCTAGACAGAAGCATTCTCAGAAACTTCTTTGGGATGTTTGCATTCAAGTCACAGAGTAGAACATTCCCTTTGGTAGAGCAGGTTTGAAACACTCTTTTTTTAGTATATGGAAGTGGACATTTGGAGCGCTTTCAGGCCTACGTTGGAAAAGGAAATATCTTCCCATAACAACTAGACAGAAGCATTCTCAGAAACTAGTTTCTGATGTGTGTCCTCAACTAACACAGTTGAACATTTCTTTAGACAGAACAGTTTTGAAACTCTCTTTTTGTGGAATCTGCAAGTGGCTATTTGGCTAGATTTGAGGATTTCGTTGGAAACGGGATTACATATAAAAAGCAGACAGCAGCATTCTCAGAAACTTCTTTGTGATGATTGCATTCAAGTCACAGAATTGAACATTCCCTTTCACAGAGCAGGTTTGAAACACTCTTTTTGTAGTGTGTGTAAGTGGACATTTGGAGCACTTTCCGGCCTAAGGTGAAAAAGGAAATATCTTCCCATAAAAACTAGACAGAAGCATTCTCAGAAACTTACTCGTGATGTGTGTCCTCAACTAAAGGAGTAGAACCTTTCTTTCATAGAGAAGTTTTGAAACGCTCTTTTTGTGGAATCTGCAAGTGGATATTTGGCTAGTTTGGAGGATTTCGTTGGAAGCGGGAATTCATACAAATTGCAGACTGCAGCGTTCTGAGAAACATCTTTGTGATGTTTGTATTCAGGACACAGAGTTGAACATTCCCTATCATAGAGCAGGTTGGAATCACTCCTTTTGTAGTATCTGGAAGTGGACATTTGGAGCGCTTTCAGGCCTACGTTGGAAAAGGAAATATCTTCCCATAACAACTAGACAGAAGCATTCTCAGAAACTAGTTTCTGATGTGTGTCCTCAACTAACACAGTTGAACATTTCTTTAGACAGAACAGTTTTGAAACACTCTTTTTGTGGAATCTGCAAGTGGCTATTTGGCTAGATTTGAGGATTTCGTTGGAAACGGGATTACATATAAAAAGCAGACAGCACCATTCTCAGAAAGTTCTTTGTGATGATTGCATTCAAGTCACAGAATTGAACATTCCCTTTCACAGAGCAGGTTTGAAACACTCTTTTTGTAGTGTGTGTAAGTGGACATTTGGAGCACTTTCCGGCCTAAGGTGAAAAAGGAAATATCTTCCCATAAAAACTAGACAGAAGCACTCTCAGAAACTTACTCGTGATGTGTGTCCTCAACTAAAGGAGTAGAACCTTCCTTTTCATAGAGAAGTTTTGAAACGCTCTTTTTGTGGAATCTGCAAGTGGATATTTGGCTAGTTTGGAGGATTTCGTTGGAAGCGGGAATTCATACAAATTGCAGACTGCAGCGTTCTGAGAAACTGCTTTCTGATGTTTGCATTCAAGTCAAAAGTTGAACACTCCCTTTCATAGAGCAGTCCTGAAACAAACCTTTTGTAGTATCTGGAACTGGACTTTTGGAGCGCTTTCAGGGCTAAGGTGAAAAAGGAAATATCTTCCCATAAAAACTGGACAGAAGCATTCTCAGAAACTTGTTTATGCTGTATCTACTCTACTAAAAAAGTTGAACCTTTCTTTTGATAGAGCAGTTTTGAAATGCTCTTTTTGTGGAATCTGCAATTGGATATTTGGCTAGATTTGAGGATTTCGTTGGAAGCTGGAATACATACAAATTGCAGACTGCAGCGTTCTGAGAAACATCTTTGTGATGTTTGTATTCAGGACACAGAGTTGAACATTCCCTATCATAGAGCAGGTTGGAATCACTCCTTTTGTAGTATCTGGAAGTGGACATTTGGAGCGCTTTCAGGCCTATGTTGAAAAAGGAAATATCTTCCCATAACAAGTAGACACAAGCATTCTCAGAAACTTGTTTGTGATGTGTGCCCTCTACTGACAGAGTTGAACCTTTCTTTTCATAGAGCAGTTTCGAAACACTCTTTTTGTAGAATCTGCAAGAGGATATTTGCATAGCTTTGAGGATTTCGTGGGAAACGGGATTGTCTTCAGGTAAAATCTAGACAGAAGCATTCTCAGAAAATTCTTCGGGATGTTTGCATTCAAGTCACAGAGTAGAACATTCCCTTTGGTAGAGCAGGTTTGAAACACTCTTTTTGTAGTATCTGGAAGTGGACATTTGGAGCGCTTTCAGGCCTATGTTGGAAAGGGAAATATCTTCCCGTAACAACTAGGCAGAAGCATTCTCAGAAACTTCTTTGGGATGTTTGCATTCAAGTCACAGAGTAGAACATTCCCTTTGGTAGAGCAGGTTTGAAACACTCTTTTTTTAGTATATGGAAGTGGACATTTGGAGCGCTTTCAGGCCTACGTTGGAAAAGGAAATATCTTCCCATAACAACTAGACAGAAGCATTCTCAGAAACTAGTTTCTGATGTGTGTCCTCAACTAACACAGTTGAACATTTCTTTAGACAGAGCAGATTTGAAACACTCTCTTTGTGGAATCTGCAAGTGGATATTTGGCTAGATTTGAGGATTTCGTTGGAAACGGGATTACATATAAAAAGCAGACAGCAGCATTCTCAGAAACTTCTTTGTGATGATTGCATTCAAGTCACAGAATTGAACATTCCCTTTCACAGAGCAGGTTTGAAACACTCTTTTTGTAGTGTGTGTAAGTGGACATTTGGAGCGCTTTCCGGCCTAAGGTGAACAAGGAAATATCTTCCCATAAAAACTAGACAGAAGTATTCTCAGAAACTTACTCGTGATGTGTGTCCTCAACTAAAGGAGTAGAACCTTTCTTTTCATAGAGAAGTTTTGAAACGCTCTTTTTGTGGAATCTGCAAGTGGATATTTGGCTAGTTTTGAGGATTTCGTTGGAAGCGGGAATTCATACAAATTGCAGACTGCAGCGTTCTGAGAAACATCTTTGTGATGTTTGTATTCAGGACACAGAGTTGAACGTTCCCTATCATAGAGCAGGTTTGAATCACTCCTTTTGTAGTATCTGGAAGTGGACATTTGGAGCGCTTTCCGGCCTCAGGTGAAAAAGGAAATATCTTCCCATAAAAACTAGACAGAAGCATTCTCAGAAACTTACTCGTGATGTGTGTCCTCAACTAAAGGGGTAGAACCTTTCTTTTGATAGAGCAGTTTTGAAACACTCTTTTTGTAGAATCTGCAAGTGGATATTTCGATAGCTTTGTGGATTTCGTTGGAAACGGGAATATCCTCATATAAAAATCTAGAGAGAAGCGTTCTGAGAAACATCTTTGTGATGTTTGTATTCAGGACACAGAGTTGAACATTCCCTATCATAGAGCAGGTTTGAATCACTCCTTTTGTAGTATCTGGAAGTGGACATTTGGAGCGCTTTCAGGCCTATGTTGGAAAAGGAAATATCTTCCCATAACAACTAGACAGAAGCATTCTCAGAAACTTATTTGAGATGTGTGTACTCAACTAAGAGAATTGAACCACCGTTTTGAAGGAGCAGTTTTGAAACACTCTTTTTCTGGAATCTGCAAGTGGATATTTGGCTAGCTTTGGGGATTTCGCTGGAAGCGGGAATACATATAAAAAGCACACAGCAGCGTTCTGAGAAACTGCTTTCTGATGTTTGCATTCAAGTCAAAAGTTGAACACTCCCTTTCATAGAGCAGTCCTGAAACACTCCTTTTGTAGTATCTGGAACTGGACTTTTGGAGCGCTTTCAGGGCTAAGGTGAAAAAGGAAATATCTTCCCATAAAAACTGGACAGAATCATTCTCAGAAACTTGTTTATGCTGTATCTACTCAACTAACATAGTTGAACCTTTCTTTTGATAGAGCAGTTTTGAAATTCTCTTTTTGTGGAATCTGCAAGTGGATATTTGGCTAGTTTGGAGGATTTCGTTGGAAGCGGGAATTCATACAAATTGCAGACTGCAGCGTTCTGAGAAACATCTTTGTGATGTTTGTATTCAGGACACAGAGTTGAACATTCCCTATCATAGAGCAGGTTGGAATCACTCCTTTTGTAGTATCTGGAAGTGGACATTTGGAGCGCTTTCAGGCCTATTTTGGAAAGGGAAATATCTTCCCGTAACAACTATGCAGAAGCATTCTCAGAAACTTGTTTGTGATGTGTGCCCTCTACTGACAGAGTTGAACCTTTCTTTTCATAGAGCAGTTTTGAAACACTCTTTTTGTAGAATCTGCAAGAGGATATTTGCATAGCTTTGAGGATTTCGTGGGAAACGGGATTGTCTTCAGGTAAAATCTAGACAGAAGCATTCTCAGAAACTTCTTTGGGATGTTTGCATTCAAGTCACAGAGTAGAACATTCCCTTTGGTAGAGCAGGTTTGAAACACTCTTTTTGTAGTATCTGGAAGTGGACATTTGGAGCGCTTTCAGGCCCATGTTGGAAAGGGAAATATCTTCCCGTAACAACTAGGCAGAAGCATTCTCAGAAACTTATTTGAGATGTGTGTACTCAACTAAGAGAATTGAACCACCGTTTTGAAGGAGCAGTTTTGAAACACTCTTTTTCTGGAATCTGCAAGAGTATATTTGCCTAGCCTTGAGGATTTCGTTGGAAACGGGATTGTCTTCAGAGAAAATCTAGACAGAAGCATTCTCAGAAACTTCTTTGGGATGTTTGCATTCAAGTCACAGAGTAGAACATTCCCTTTGGTAGAGCAGGTTTGAAACACTCTTTTTTTAGTATCTGGAAGTGGACATTTGGAGCGCTTTCAGGCCTACGTTGGAAAAGGAAATATCTTCCCATAACAACTAGACAGAAGCATTCTCAGAAACTAGTTTCTGATGTGTGTCCTCAACTAACACAGTTGAACATTTCTTTAGACAGAACAGTTTTGAAACACTCTTTTTGTGGAATCTGCAAGTGGCTATTTGGCTAGATTTGAGGATTTCGTTGGAAACGGGATTACATATAAAAAGCAGTCAGCAGCATTCTCAGAAAGTTCTTTGTGATGATTGCATTCAAGTCACAGAATTGAACATTCCCTTTCACAGAGCAGGTTTGAAAGACTCTTTTTGTAGTGTGTGTAAGTGGACATTTGGAGCACTTACCGGCCTAAGGTGAAAAAGGAAATATCTTCCCATAAAAACTAGACAGAAGCATTCTCAGAAACTTACTCGTGATGTGTGTCCTCAACTAAAGGAGTAGAACCTTTCTTTTCATAGAGAAGTTTTGAAACGCTCTTTTTGTGGAATCTGCAAGTGGATATTTGGCTAGTTTGGAGGATTTCGTTGGAAGCGGGAATTCATACAAATTGCAGACTGCAGCGTTCTGAGAAACATCTTTGTGATGTTTGTATTCAGGACACAGAGTTGAACATTCCCTATCATAGAGCAGGTTGGAATCAGTCCTTTTGTAGTATCTGGAAGTGGACATTTGGAGCGCTTTCAGGCATATGTTGAAAAAGGAAATATCTTCCCATAACAACTAGACAGAAGCATTCTCAGAAACTTATTTGAGATGTGTGTACTCAACTAAGAGAATTGAACCACCGTTTTGAAGGAGCAGTTTTGAAACTCTCTTTTTCTGGAATCTGCAAGTGGATATTTGGCTAGCTTTGGGGATTTCGCTGGAAGCGGGAATACTATATAAAAAGCACACAGCAGCGTTCTGAGAAACTGCTTTCTGATGTTTGCATTCAAGTCAAAAGTTGAACACTCCCTTTCATAGAGCAGTCTTGAAACACCCCTTTTGTAGTATCTGGAACTGGACTTTTGGAGCGATTTCAGGGCTAAGGTGAAAAAGGAAATATCTTCCCATAAAAACTGGACAGAAGCATTCTCAGAAACTTGTTTATGCTGTATCTACTCAACTAACAAAGTTGAACCTTTCTTTTGATAGAGCAGTTTTGAAATGGTCTTTTTGTGGAATCTGCAAGTGGATATTTGGCTAGTTTTGAGGATTTCGTTGGAAGCGGGAATTCATACAAATTGCAGACTGCAGCGTTCTGAGAAACATCTTTGTGATGTTTGTATTCAGGACACAGAGTTGAACATTCCCTATCATAGAGCAGGTTGGAATCACTCCTTTTGTAGTATCTGGAAGTGGACATTTGGAGCGCTTTCAGGCCTATTTTGGAAAGGGAAATATCTTCCCGTAACAACTATGCAGAAGCATTCTCAGAAACTTGTTTGTGATATGTGCCCTCTACTGACAGAGCTGAACCTTTCTTTTCATAGAGCAGTTTTGAAACACTCTTTTTGTAGAATCTGCAAGAGGATATTTGCATAGCTTTGAGGATTTCGTGGGAAACGGGATTGTCTTCAGGTAAAATCTAGACAGAAGCATTCTCAGAAACTTCTTTGGGATGTTTGCATTCAAGTCACAGAGTAGAACATTCCCTTTGGTAGAGCAGGTTTGAAACACTCTTTTTGTAGTATCTGGAAGTGGACATTTGGAGCGCTTTCAGGCCCATGTTGGAAAGGGAAATATCTTCCCGTAACAACTAGGCAGAAGCATTCTCAGAAACTTATTTGAGATGTGTGTACTCAACTAAGAGAATTGAACCACCGTTTTGAAGGAGCAGTTTTGAAACACTCTTTTTCTGGAATCTGCAAGAGTATATTTGCCTAGCCTTGAAGATTTCGTTGGAAACGGGATTGTCTTCAGATAAAATCTAGACAGAAACATTCTCAGAAACTTCTTTGGGAAGTTTGAATTCAAGTCACAGAGTAGAACATTCCCTTTGGTAGAGCAGGTTTGAAACACTCTTTTTGTAGTATCTGGAAGTGGACATTTGGAGCGCTTTCAGGCCTACGTTGGAAAAGGAAATATCTTCCCATAACAACTAGACAGAAGCATTCTCAGAAACTAGTTTCTGATGTGTGTCCTCAACTAACACAGTTGAACATTTCTTTAGACAGAACAGTTTTGAAACACTCTTTTTGTGGAATCTGCAAGTGGCTATTTGGCTAGATTTGAGGATTTCGTTAGAAACGGGATTACATATAAAAAGCAGTCAGCAGCATTCTCAGAAAGTTCTTTGTGATGATTGCATTCAAGTCACAGAATTGAACATTCCCTTTCACAGAGCAGGTTTGAAACACTCTTTTTGTAGTGTGTGTAAGTGGACATTTGGAGCACTTACCGGCCTAAGGTGAAAAAGGAAATATCTTCCCATAAAAACTAGACAGAAGCATTCTCAGAAACTTACTCGTGATGTGTGTCCTCAACTAAAGGAGTAGAACCTTTCTTTTCATAGAGAAGTTTTGAAACGCTCTTTTTGTGGAATCTGCAAGTGGATATTTGGCTAGTTTTGAGGATTTCGTTGGAAGCGGGAATTCATACAAATTGCAGACTGCAGCGTTCTGAGAAACATCTTTGTGATGTTTGTATTCAGGACACAGAGTTGAACATTCCCTATCATAGAGCAGGTTTGAATCACTCCTTTTGTAGTATCTGGAAGTGGACATTTGGAGCGCTTTCAGGCCTATGTTGGAAAAGGAAATATCTTCCCATAACAACTAGACAGAAGCATTCTCAGAAACTTATTTGAGATGTGTGTACTCAACTAAGAGAATTGAACCACCGTTTTGAAGGAGCAGTTTTGAAACACTCTTTTTCTGGAATCTGCAAGTGGATATTTGGCTAGCTTTGGGGATTTCGCTGGAAGCGGGAATACATATAAAAAGCACACAGCAGCGTTCTGAGAAACTGCTTTCTGATGTTTGCATTCAAGTCAAAAGTTGAACACTCCCTTTCATAGAGCAGTCCTGAAACACTCCTTTTGTAGTATCTGGAACTGGACTTTTGGAGCACTTTCAGGGCTAAGGTGAAAAAGGAAATATCTTCCCATAAAAACTGGACAGAAGCATTCTCAGAAACTTGTTTATGCTGTATCTACTCAACTAACAAAGTTGAACCTTTCTTTTGATAGAGCAGTTTTGAAATGCTCTTTTTGTGGAATCTGCAAGTGGATATTTGGCTAGTTTTGAGGATTTCGTTGGAAGCGGGAATTCATACAAATTGCAGACTGCAGCGTTCTGAGAAACATCTTTGTGATGTTTGTATTCAGGACAGAGAGTTGAACATTCCCTATCATAGAGCAGGTTGGAATCACTCCTTTTGTAGTATCTGGAAGTGGACATTTGGAGCGCTTTCAGGCCTATGTTGAAAAAGGAAATATCTTCCCATAACAACTAGACACAAGCATTCTCAGAAACTTGTTTGTGATGTGTGCCCTCTACTGACAGAGTTGAACCTTTCTTTTCATAGAGCAGTTTTGAAACACTCTTTTTGTAGAATCTGCAAGAGGATATTTGCATAGCTTTGAGGATTTCGTGGGAAACGGGATTGTCTTCAGGTAAAATCTAGACAGAAGCATTCTCAGAAACTTCTTTGGGATGTTTGCATTCAAGACACAGAGTAGAACATTCCCTTTGGTAGAGCAGGTTTGAAACACTCTTTTTGTAGTATCTGGAAGTGGACATTTGGAGCGCTTTCAGGCCCATGTTGGAAAGGGAAATATCTTCCCATAACAACTAGGCAGAAGCATTCTCAGAAACTTATTTGAGATGTGTGTACTCAACTAAGAGAATTGAACCACCGTTTTGAAGGAGCAGTTTTGAAACACTCTTTTTCTGGATTCTGCAAGAATATATTTGCCTAGCCTTGAGGATTTCGTTGGAAACGGGATTGTCTTCAGATAAAATCTAGACAGAAGCATTCTCAGAAACTTCTTTGGGATGTTTGCATTCAAGTCACAGAGTAGAACATTCTCTTTGGTAGAGCAGGTTTGAAACACTCTTTTTTTAGTATATGGAAGTGGACATTTGGAGCGCTTTCAGGCCTACTTTGGAAAAGGAAATATCTTCCCATAACAACTAGACAGAAGCATTCTCAGAAACTAGTTTCTGATGTGTGTCCTCAACTAACACAGTTGTACATTTCTTTAGACAGAACAGTTTTGAAACACTCTTTTTGTGGAATCTGCAAGTGGATATTTGGCTAGATTTGAGGATTTCGTTGGAAACGGGATTACATATAAAAAGCAGTCAGCAGCATTCTCAGAAAGTTCTTTGTGATGATTGTATTCAAGTCACAGAATTGAACATTCTCTTTCACAGAGCAGGTTTGAAACACACTTTTTGTAGTATGTGTAAGTGGACATTTGGAGCGCTTTCCGGCCTAAGGTGAAAAAGGAAATATCTTCCCATAAAAACTAGACAGAAGCATTCTCAGAAACTTATTGGAGATGTGTGTCTCCAACTAAGAGAATTGAACCACCGTTTTGAAGGAGCAGTTTTGAAACAGTCTTTTTCTGGAATCTGCAAGTGGATATTTGGCTAGCTTTGGGGATTTCGCTGGAAGCGGAAATACATATAAAAAGCACACAGCAGCGTTATGAGAAACGGCTTTCTGATGTTTGCATTCAAGTCAAAAGATGAACACTCCCTTTCATAGAGCAGGCTTGAAACACCCCTTTTGTAGTATCTGGAAGTGGACATTTGGGGGGCTTTCAGGCCTATGTTGAAAAAGGAAATATCTTCTATAACAACTGACAGAAGCATTCTCAGAAACTTATTTGAGATGTGTGTACTCAACTAAGAGAATTGAACCACCGTTTTGAAGGAGCAGTTTTGAAACACTCTTTTTCTGGAATCTGCAAGTGGATATTTGGCTAGCTTTGGGGATTTCGCTGGAAGCGGGAATACATATAAAAAGCACACAGCAGCGTTCTGAGAAACTGCTTTCTGATGTTTGCATTCAAGTCAAAAGTTGAACACTCCCTTTCATAGAGCAGTCCTGAAACACTCCTTTTGTAGTATCTGGAACTGGACTTTTGGAGCGCTTTCAGGGCTAAGGTGAAAAAGGAAATATCTTCCCATAAAAACTGGACAGAAGCATTCTCAGAAACTTGTTTATGCTGTATCTACTCAACTAACAAAGTTGAACCTTTCTTTTGATAGAGCAGTTTTGAAATGCTCTTTTTGTGGAATCTGCAAGTGGATATTTGGCTAGTTTTGAGGATTTCGCTGGAAGCGGGAATTCATACAAATTGCAGACTGCAGCGTTCTGAGAAACATCTTTGTGATGTTTGTATTCAGGACAGAGAGTTGAACATTCCCTATCATAGAGCAGGTTGGAATCACTCCTTTTGTAGTATCTGGAAGTGGACATTTGGAGCGCTTTCAGGCCTATGTTGAAAAAGGAAATATCTTCCCATAACAACTAGACACAAGCATTCTCAGAAACTTGTTTGTGATGTGTGCCCTCTAGTGACAGAGTTGAACCTTTCTTTTCATAGAGCAGTTTTGAAACACTCTTTTTGTAGAATCTGCAAGAGGATATTTGAATAGCTTTGAGGATTTCGTGGGAAACGGGATTGTCTTCAGGTAAAATCTAGACAGAAGCATTCTCAGAAACTTCTTTGAGATGTTTGCATTCAAGTCACAGAGTAGAACATTCCCTTTGGTAGAGCAGGTTTCAAACACTCTTTTTGTAGTATCTGGAAGTGGACATTTGGAGCGCTTTCAGGCCTATGTTGGAAAGGGAAATATCTTCCCGTAACAACTAGGCAGAAGCATTCTCAGAAACTTATTTGAGATGTGTGTACTCAACTAAGAGAATTGAACCACCGTTTTGAAGGAGCAGTTTTGAAACACTCTTTTTCTGGAATCTGCAAGAGTATATTTGCCTAGCCTTGAGGATTTCGTTGGAAACGGGATTGTCTTCAGAGAAAATCTAGACAGAAGCATTCTCAGAAACTTCTTTGGGATGTTTGCATTCAAGTCACAGAGTAGAACATTCCCTTTGGTAGAGCAGGTTTGAAACACTCTTTTTTTAGTATATGGAAGTGGACATTTGGATCGCTTTCAGGCCTACGTTGGAAAAGGAAATATCTTCCCATAACAACTAGACAGAAGCATTCTCAGAAACTAGTTTCTGATGTGTGTCCTCAACTAACACAGTTGAACATTTCTTTAGACAGAACAGTTTTGAAACACTCTTTTTGTGGAATCTGCAAGTGGCTATTTGGCTGGATTTGAGGATTTCGTTGGAAACGGGATTACATATAAAAAGCAGTCAGCAGCATTCTCAGAAAGTTCTTTGTGATGATTGCATTCAAGTCACAGAATTGAACATTCCCTTTCACAGAGCAGGTTTGAAACACTCTTTTTGTAGTGTGTGTAAGTGGACATTTGGAGCACTTACCGGCCTAAGGTGAAAAAGGAAATATCTTCCCATAAAAACTAGACAGAAAGCATTCTCAGAAACTTACTCGTGATGTGTGTCCTCAACTAAAGGAGTAGAACCTTTCTTTTCATAGAGAAGTTTTGAAACGCTCTTTTTGTGGAATCTGCAAGTGGATATTTGGCTAGTTTTGAGGATTTCGTTGGAAGCGGGAATTCATACAAGATGCAGACTGCAGTGTTCTGAGAAACATCTTTGTGATGTTTGTATTCAGGACACAGAGTTGAACATTCCCTATCATAGAGCAGGTTTGAATCACTCCTTTTGTAGTATCTGGAAGTGGACATGTGGAGCGCTTTCAGGCCTATGTTGGAAAAGGAAATATCTTCCCATAACAACTAGACAGAAGCATTCTCAGAAACTTATTTGAGATGTGTGTACTCAACTAAGAGAATTGAACCACCGTTTTGAAGGAGCAGTTTTGAAACTCTCTTTTTCTGGAATCTGCAAGTGGATATTTGGCTAGCTTTGGGGATTTCGCTGGAAGCGGGAATACATATAAAAAGCACACAGCAGCGTTCTGAGAAACTGCTTTCTGATGTTTGCATTCAAGTCAAAAGTTGAACACTCCCTTTCATAGAGCAGTCTTGAAACACCCCTTTTGTAGTATCTGGAACTGGACTTTTGGAGCGATTTCAGGGCTAAGGTGAAAAAGGAAATATCTTCCCATAAAAACTGGACAGAAGCATTCTCAGAAACTTGGTTATGCTGTATCTACTCAACTAACAAAGTTGAACCTTTCTTTTGATAGAGCAGTTTTGAAATGGTCTTTTTGTGGAATCTGCAAGTGGATATTTGGCTAGTTTTGAGGATTTCGTTGGAAGCGGGAATTCATACAAATTGCAGACTGCAGCGTTCTGAGAAACATCTTTGTGATGTTTGTATTCAGGACACAGAGTTGAACATTCCCTATCATAGAGCAGGTTGGAATCACTCCTTTTGTAGTATCTGGAAGTGGACATTTGGAGCGCTTTCAGGCCTATTTTGGAAAGGGAAATATCTTCCCGTAACAACTATGCAGAAGCATTCTCAGAAACTTGTTTGTGATGTGTGCCCTCTACTGACAGAGTTGAACCTTTCTTTTCATAGAGCAGTTTTGAAACACTCTTTTTGTAGAATCTGCAAGAGGATATTTGCATAGCTTTGAGGATTTCGTGGGAAACGGGATTGTCTTCAGGTAAAATCTAGACAGAAGCATTCTCAGAAACTTCTTTGGGATGTTTGCATTCAAGTCACAGAGTAGAACATTCCCTTTGGTAGAGCAGGTTTGAAACACTCTTTTTGTAGTATCTGGAAGTGGACATTTGGAGCGCTTTCAGGCCTATGTTGGAAAGGGAAATATCTTCCCGTAACAACTAGGCAGAAGCATTCTCAGAAACTTATTTGAGATGTGTGTACTCAACTAAGAGAATTGAACCACCGTTTTGAAGGAGCAGTTTTGAAACACTCTTTTTCTGGAATCTGCAAGAGGATATTTGCCTAGCCTTGAGGATTTCGTTGGAGACGGGATTGTCTTCAGATCAAATCTAGACAGAAGCATTCTCAGAAACTTCTTTGGGATGTTTGCATTCAAGTCACAGAGTAGAACATTCCCTTTGGTAGAGCAGGTTTGAAACACTCTTTTTTTAGTATATGGAAGTGGACATTTGGAGCGCTTTCAGGCCTACGTTGGAAAAGGAAATATCTTCCCATAACAACTAGACAGAAGCATTCTCAGAAACTAGTTTCTGATGTGTGTCCTCAACTAACACAGTTGAACATTTCTTTAGACAGAACAGTTTTGAAACACTCTTTTTGTGGAATCTGCAAGTGGCTATTTGGCTAGATTTGAGGATTTCGTTGGAAACGTGATTACATATAAAAAGCAGACAGCAGCATTCTCAGAAAGTTCTTTGTGATGATTGCATTCAAGTCACAGAATTGAACATTCCCTTTCACAGAGCAGGTTTGAAACCCTCTTTTTATAGTGTGTGTAAGTGGACATTTGGAGCACTTTCCGGCCTAAGGTGAAAAAGGAAATATCTTCCCATAAAAACTAGACAGAAGCATTCTCAGAAACTTACTCGTGATGTGTGTCCTCAACTAAAGGAGTAGAACCTTTCTTTTCATAGAGAAGTTTTGAAACGCTCTTTTTGTGGAATCTGCAAGTGGATATTTGGCTAGTTTGGAGGATTTCGTTGGAAGCGGGAATTCATACAAATTGCAGACTGCAGCGTTCTGAGAAACATCTTTGTGATGTTTGTATTCAGGACACAGAGTTGAACATTCCCTATCATAGAGCAGGTTTGAATCACTCCTTTTGTAGTATCTGGAAGTGGACATTTGGAGCGCTTTCAGGCCTATGTTGGAAAAGGAAATATCTTCCCATAACAACTAGACAGAAGCATTCTCAGAAACTTATTTGAGATGTGTGTACTCAACTAAGAGAATTGAACCACCGTTTTGAAGGAGCAGTTTTGAAACACTCTTTTTCTGGAATCTGCAAGTGGATATTTGGCTAGCTTTGGGGATTTCGCTGGAAGCGGGAATACATATAAAAAGCACACAGCAGCGTTCTGAGAAACTGCTTTCTGATGTTTGCATTCAAGTCAAAAGTTGAACACTCCCTTTCATAGAGCAGTCCTGAAACACTCCTTTTGTAGTATCTGGAACTGGACTTTTGGAGCGCTTTCAGGGTTAAGGTGAAAAAGGAAATATCTTCCCATAAAAACTGGACAGAAGCATTCTCAGAAACTTGTTTATGCTGTATCTACTCAACTAACAAAGTTGAACCTTTCTTTTGATAGAGCAGTTTTGAAATGCTCTTTTTGTGGAATCTGCAAGTGGATATTTGGCTAGTTTTGAGGATTTCGCTGGAAGCGGGAATTCATACAAATTGCAGACTGCAGCGTTCTGAGAAACATCTTTGTGATGTTTGTATTCAGGACAGAGAGTTGAACATTCCCTATCATAGAGCAGGTTGGAATCACTCCTTTTGTAGTATCTGGAAGTGGACATTTGGAGCGCTTTCAGCCTATGTTGAAAAAGGAAATATCTTCCCATAACAACTAGACACAAGCATTCTCAGAAACTTATTTGAGATGTGTGTACTCAACTAAGAGAATTGAACCACCGTTTTGAAGGAGCAGTTTTGAAACACTCTTTTTCTGGAATCTGCAAGTGGATATTTGGCTAGCTTTGGGGATTTCGCTGGAAGCGGGAATACATATAAAAAGCACACAGCAGCGTTCTGAGAAACTGCTTTCTGATGTTTGCATTCAAGTCAAAAGTTGAACACTCCCTTTCATAGAGCAGTCCTGAAACACTCCTTTTATAGTATCTGGAACTGGACTTTTGGAGCGCTTTCAGGGCTAAGGTGAAAAAGGAAATATCTTCCCATAAAAACTGGACAGAAGCATTCTCAGAAACTTGTTTATGCTGTATCTACTCAACTAACAAAGTTGAACCTTTCTTTTGATAGAGCAGTTTTGAAATGCTCTTTTTGTGGAATCTGCAAGTGGATATTTGGCTAGTTTTGAGGATTTTCGTTGGAAGCCGGAATTCATACAAATTGCAGACTGCAGCGTTCTGAGAAACATCTTTGTGATGTTTGTATTCAGGACACAGAGTTGAACATTCCCTATCATAGAGCAGGTTGGAATCACTCCTTTTGTAGTATCTGGAAGTGGACATTTGGAGCGCTTTCAGGCCTATGTTGAAAAAGGAAATATCTTCCCATAACAACTAGGCAGAGGCATTCTCAGAAACTTGTTTGTGATGTGTGCCCTCTACTGACACAGTTGAAACTTTCTTTTCATAGAGCAGTTTCGAAACACTCTTTTTGTAGAATCTGCAAGAGGATATTTGCATAGCTTTGAGGATTTCGTGGGAAACGGGACTGTCTTCAGGTAAAATCTAGACAGAAGCATTCTCAGAAACTTCTTTGGGATGTTTGCATTCAAGTCACAGAGTAGAACATTCCCTTTGGTAGAGCAGGTTTGAAACACTCTTTTTGTAGTATCTGGAAGTGGACATTTGGAGCGCTTTCAGGCCTATGTTGGAAAGGGAAATATCTTCCCGTAACAACTAGGCAGAAGCATTCTCAGAAACTTATTTGAGATGTGTGTACTCAACTAAGAGAATTGAACCACCGTTTTGAAGGAGCAGTTTTGAAACACTCTTTTTCTGGAATCTGCAAGAGGATATTTGCCTAGCTTTGAGGATTTCGTTGGAAACGGGATTGTGTTCAGATCAAATCTAGACAGAAGCATTCTCAGAAACTTCTTTGGGATGTTTGCATTCAAGTCACAGAGTAGAACATTCCCTTTGGTAGAGCAGGTGTGAAACACTCTTTTTTTAGTATATGGAAGTGGACATTTGGAGCGCTTTCAGGCCTACGTTGGAAAAGGAAATATCTTCCCATAACAACTAGACAGAAGCATTCTCAGAAACTAGTTTCTGATGTGTGTCCTCAACTAACACAGTTGAACATTTCTTTAGACAGAACAGTTTTGAAACTCACTTTTTGTGGAATCTGCAAGTGGCTATTTGGCTAGATTTGAGGATTTCGTTGGAAACGGGATTTCATATAAAAAGCAGACAGCAGCATTCTCAGAAAGTTCTTTGTGATGATTGCATTCAAGTCACAGAATTGAACATTCCCTTTCACAGAGCAGGTTTGAAACACTCTTTTTGTAGTGTGTGTAAGTGGACATTTGGAGCACTTTCCGGCCTAAGGTGAGAAAGGAAATATCTTCCCATAAAAACTAGACAGAAGCATTCTCAGAAACTTACTCGTGATGTGTGTCCTCAACTAAAGGAGTAGAACCTTTCTTTCATAGAGAAGTTTTGAAACGCTCTTTTTGTGGAATCTGCAAGTGGATATTTGGCTAGTTTGGAGGATTTCGTTGGAAGCGGGAATTCATACAAATTGCAGACTGCAGCGTTCTGAGAAACATCTTTGTGATGTTTGTATTCAGGACACAGAGTTGAACATTCCCTATCATAGAGCAGGTTGGAATCACTCCTTTTGTAGTATCTGGAAGTGGACATTTGGAGCGCTTTCAGGCCTACGTTGGAAAAGGAAATATCTTCCCATAACAACTAGACAGAAGCATTCTCAGAAACTAGTTTCTGATGTGTGTCCTCAACTAACACAGTTGAACATTTCTTTAGACAGAACAGTTTTGAAACACTCTTTTTGTGGAATCTGCAAGTGGCTATTTGGCTAGATTTGAGGATTTCGTTGGAAACGGGATTACATATAAAAAGCAGACAGCAGCATTCTCAGAAAGTTCTTTGTGATGATTGCATTCAAGTCACAGAATTGAACATTCCCTTTCACAGAGCAGGTTTGAAACACTCTTTTTGTAGTGTGTGTAAGTGGACATTTGGAGCACTTTCCGGCCTAAGGTGAAAAAGGAAATATCTTCCCATAAAAACTAGACAGAAGCATTCTCAGAAACTTACTCGTGATGTGTGTCCTCAACTAAAGGAGTAGAACCTTTCTTTTCATAGAGAAGTTTTGAAACGCTCTTTTTGTGGAATCTGCAAGTGGATATTTGGCTAGTTTTGAGGATTTCGTTGGAAGCGGGAATTCATACAAATTGCAGACTGCAGCGTTCTGAGAAACATCTTTGTGATGTTTGTATTCAGGACACAGAGTTGAACATTCCCTATCATAGAGCAGGTTTGAATCACTCCTTTTGTAGTATCTGGAAGTGGACATTTGGAGCGCTTTCACGCCTATGTTGGAAAAGGAAATATCTTCCCATAACAACTAGACAGAAGCATTCTCAGAAACTTATTTGAGATGTGTGTACTCAACTAAGAGAATTGAACCACCGTTTTGAAGGAGCAGTTTTGAAACTCTCTTTTTCTGGAATCTGCAAGTGGATATTTGGCTAGCTTTGGGGATTTCGCTGGAAGCGGGAATACATATAAAAAGCACACAGCAGCGTTCTGAGAAACTGCTTTCTGATGTTTGCATTCAAGTCAAAAGTTGAACACTCCCTTTCATAGAGCAGTCTTGAAACACCCCTTTTGTAGTATCTGGAACTGGACTTTTGGAGCGATTTCAGGGCTAAGGTGAAAAAGGAAATATCTTCCCATAAAAACTGGACAGAAGCATTCTCAGAAACTTGTTTATGCTGTATCTACTCAACTAACAAAGTTGAACCTTTCTTTTGATAGAGCAGTTTTGAAATGGTCTTTTTGTGGAATCTGCAAGTGGATATTTGGCTAGTTTTGAGGATTTCGTTGGAAGCGGGAATTCATACAAATTGCAGACTGCAGCGTTCTGAGAAACATCTTTGTGATGTTTGTATTCAGGACACAGAGTTGAACATTCCCTATCATAGAGCAGGTTGGAATCACTCCTTTTGTAGTATCTGGAAGTGGACATTTGGAGCGCTTTCAGGCCTATTTTGGAAAGGGAAATATCTTCCCGTAACAACTATGCAGAAGCATTCTCAGAAACTTGTTTGTGATGTGTGCCCTCTACTGACAGAGTTGAACCTTTCTTTTCATAGAGCAGTTTTGAAACACTCTTTTTGTAGAATCTGCAAGAGGATATTTGCATAGCTTTGAGGATTTCGTGGGAAACGGGATTGTCTTCAGGTAAAAATCTAGACAGAAGCATTCTCAGAAACTTCTTTGGGATGTTTGCATTCAAGTCACAGAGTAGAACATTCCCTTTGGTAGAGCAGGTTTGAAACACTCTTTTTATAGTATCTGGAAGTGGACATTTGGAGCGCTTTCAGGCCTATGTTGGAAAGGGAAATATACTTCCCGTAACAACTAGGCAGAAGCATTCTCAGAAACTTATTTGAGATGTGTGTACTCAACTGAGAGAATTGAACCACCGTTTTGAAGGAGCAGTTTTGAAACACTCTTTTTCTGGAATCTGCAAGAGTATATTTGCCTAGCCTTGAAGATTTCGTTGGAAACGGGATTGTCTTCAGATAAAATCTAGACAGAAGCATTCTCAGAAACTTCTTTGGGATGTTTGCATTCAAGTCACAGAGTAGAACATTCCCTTTGGTAGAGCAGGTTTGAAACACTCTTTTTTTAGTATATGGAAGTGGACATTTGGAGCGCTTTCAGGCCTACGTTGGAAAAGGAAATATCTTCCCATAACAACTAGACAGAAGCATTCTCAGAAACTAGTTTCTGATGTGTGTCCTCAACTAACACAGTTGAACTTTTCTTTAGACAGAACAGTTTTGAAACACTCTTTTTGTGGAATCTGCAAGTGGATATTTGGCTAGATTTGAGGATTTCGTTGGAAACGGGATTACATATAAAAAGCAGACAGCAGCATTCTCAGAAAGTTCTTTGTGATGATTGCATTCAAGTCACAGAATTGAACATTCCCTTTCACAGAGCAGGTTTGAAACACTCTTTTTGTAGTGTGTGTAAGTGGACATTTGGAGCGCTTTCCGGCCTAAGGTGAAAAAGGACATATCTTCCCATAAAAACTAGACAGAAGCATTCTCAGAAACTTACTCGTGATGTGTGTCCTCAACTAAAGGAGTAGAACATTTCTATTCATAGAGAAGTTTTGAAACGCTCTTTTTGTGGAATCTCCAAGTGGATATTTGGCTAGTTTTGAGGATTTCGTTGGAAGCGGGAATTCATACAAATTGCAGACTGCAGCGTTCTGAGAAACATCTTTGAAATGTTTGTATTCAAGACACAGAGATGAACATTCCCTATCATAGAGCATGTTGGAATCACTCCTTTTGTAGTATCTGGAAGTGGACATTTGGAGCGCTTTCAGGCCTATGTTGAAAAAGGAAATATCTTCCCATAACAACTAGACACAAGCATTCTCAGAAACTTGTTTGTGATGTGTGCCCTCTACTGACAGAGTTGAACCTTTCTTTTCATAGAGCAGTTTTGAAACACTCTTTTATAGAATCCGCAAGAGGATATTTGCACAGCTTTGAGGATTTCGTGGGAAACGGGATTGTCTTCAGGTAAAATCTAGACAGAAGCATTCTCAGAAACTTCTTTGGGATGTTTGCATTCAAGTCACAGAGTAGAACATTCCCTTTGGTAGAGCAGGTTTGAAACACTCTTTTTGTAGTATCTGGAAGTGGACATTTGGAGCGCTTTCAGACCCATGTTGGAAAGGGAAATATCTTCCCGTAACAACTAGGCAGAAGCATTCTCAGAAACTTATTTGAGATGTGTGTACTCAACTAAGAGAATTGAACCACCGTTTTGAAGGAGCAGTTTTGAAACCCTCTTTTTCTGGAATCTGCAAGAGTATATTTGCCTAGCCTTGAGGATTTCGTTGGAAACGGGATTGTCTTCAGATAAAATCTAGACAGAAGCATTCTCAGAAACTTCTTTGGGATGTTTGCATTCAAGTCACAGAGTAGAACATTCCCTTTGGTAGAGCAGGTTTGAAACACTCTTTTTTTAGTATATGGAAGTGGACATTTGGAGCGCTTTCAGGCCTACGTTGGAAAAGGAAATATCTTCCCATAACAACTAGACAGAAGCATTCTCAGAAACTAGTTTCTGATGTGTGTCCTCAACTAACACAGTTGTACATTTCTTTAGACAGAACAGTTTTGAAACACTCTTTTTGTGGAATCTGCAAGTGGATATTGGGCTAGATTTGAGGATTTCGTTGGAAACGGGATTACATATAAAAAGCAGACAGCAGCATTCTCAGAAAGTTCTTTGTGATGATTGCATTCAAGTCACAGAATTGAACATTCCCTTTCACAGAGCAGGTTTGAAACACTCTTTTTGTAGTGTGTGTAAGTGGACATTTGGAGCGCTTTCCGGCCTAAGGTGAAAAAGGAAATATCTTCCCATAAAAACTAGACAGAAGCATTCTCAGAAACTTACTCGTGATGTGTGTCCTCAACTAAAGGAGTAGAACCTTTCTATTCATAGAGAAGTTTTGAAACGCTCTTTTTGTGGAATCTCCAAGTGGATATTTGGCTAGTTTTGAGGATTTCGTTGGAAGCGGGAATTCATCCAAATTGCAGACTGCAGCGTTCTGAGAAACATCTTTGTGATGTTTGTATTCAGGACACAGAGATGAACATTCCCTATCATAGAGCAGGTTGGAATCACTCCTTTTGTAGTATCTGGAAGTGGACATTTGGAGCGCTTTCAGGCCTATGTTGAAAAAGGAAATATCTTCCCATAACAACTAGACACAAGCATTCTCAGAAACTTGTTTGTGATGTGTGCCCTCTACTGACAGAGTTGAACCTTTCTTTTCATAGAGCAGTTTTGAAACACTCTTTTTGTAGAATCCGCAAGAGGATATTTGCATAGCTTTGAGGATTTCGTGGGAAACGGGATTGTCTTCAGGTAAAATCTAGACAGAAGCATTCTCAGAAACTTCTTTGGGATGTTTGCATTCAAGTCACAGAGTAGAACATTCCCTTTGGTAGAGCAGGTTTGAAACACTCTTTTTGTACTATCTGGAAGTGGACATTTGGAGCGCTTTCAGGCCCATGTTGGAAAGGGAAATATCTTGCCGTAACAACTAGGCAGAAGCATTCTCAGAAACTTATTTGAGATGTGTGGACTCAACGAAGAGAATTGAACCACCGTTTTGAAGGAGCAGTTTTGAAACACTCTTTTTCTGGAATCTGCAAGAGTATATTTGCCTAGCCTTGAGGATTTCGTTGGAAACGGGATTGTCTTCAGATAAAATCTAGACAGAAGCATTCTCAGAAACTTCTTTGGGATGTTTGCATTCAAGTCACAGAGTAGAACATTCCCTTTGGTAGAGCAGGTTTGAAACACTCTTTTTTTAGTATATGGAAGTGGACATTTGGAGCGCTTTCAGGCCTACGTTGGAAAAGGAAATATCTTCCCATAACAACTAGACAGAAGCATTCTCAGAAACTAGTTTCTGATGTGTGTCCTCAACTAACACAGTTGAACTTTTCTTTAGACAGAACAGTTTTGAAACACTCTTTTTGTGGAATCTGCAAGTGGATATTGGGCTAGATTTGAGGATTTCGTTGGAAAAGGGATAACATATAAAAAGCAGACAGCAGCATTCTCAGAAAGTTCTTTGTGATGATTGCATTCAAGTCACAGAATTGAACATTCCCTTTCACAGAGCAGGTTTGAAACACTCTTTTTGTAGTGTGTGTAAGTGGACATTTGGAGCGCTTTCCGGCCTAAGGTGAAAAAAGAGATATCTTCCCATAAAAACTAGACAGAAGCATTCTCAGAAACTTACTCGTGATGTGTTTCCTCAACTAAAGGAGTAGAACCTTTCTATTCATGGAGAAGTTTTGAAACGCTCTTTTTGTGGAATCTCCAAGTGGATATTTGGCTAGTTTTGAGGATTTCGTTGGAAGCGGGAATTCATACAAATTGCAGACTGCAGCGTTCTGAGAAACATCTTTGTGATGTTTGTATTCAGGACACAGAGATGAACATTCCCTATCATAGAGCAGGTTGGAATCACTCCTTTTGTAGTATGTGGAAGTGGACATTTGGAGCGCTTTCAGGCCTATGTTGAAAAAGGAAATATCTTCCCATAACAACTAGACACAAGCATTCTCAGAAACTTGTTTGTGATGTGTGCCCTCTACTGACAGAGTTGAACCTTTCTTTTCATAGAGCAGTTTTGAAACACTCTTTTTGTAGAATCTGCAAGAGGATATTTGCATAGCTTTGAGGATTTCGTGGGAAACGGGATTGTCTTCAGGTAAAATCTAGACAGAAGCATTCTCAGAAACTTCTTTGGGATGTTTGCATTCAAGTCACAGAGTAGAACATTCCCTTTGGTAGAGCAGGTTTGAAACACTCTTTTTGTAGTATCTGGAAGTGGACATTTGGAGCGCTTTCAGGCCCATGTTGGAAAGGGAAATATCTTCCCGTAACAACTAGGCAGAAGCATTCTCAGAAACTTATTTGAGATGTGTGTACTCAACTAAGAGAATTGAACCACCGTTTTGAAGGAGCAGTTTTGAAACACTCTTTTTCTGGAATCTGCAAGAGTATATTTGCCTAGCCTTGAGGATTTCGTTGGAAACGGGATTGTCTTCAGAGAAAATCTAGACAGAAGCATTCTCAGAAACTTCTTTGGGATGCTTGCATTCCAGTCACAGAGTAGAACATTCCCTTTGGTAGAGCAGGTTTGAAACACTCTTTTTGTAGTATCTGGAAGTGGATATTTGGAGCACTTTCAGGCCTACGTTGGAAAAGGAAATATCTTCCCATAACAACTAGACAGAAGCATTCTCAGAAACTAGTTTCTGATGTGTGTCCTCAACTAACACAGTTGAACATTTCTTTAGACAGAACAGTTTTGAAACACTCTTTTTGTGGAATCTGCAAGTGGCTATTTGGCTAGATTTGAGGATTTCGTTGGAAACGGGATTACATATAAAAAGCAGTCAGCAGCATTCTCAGAAAGTTCTTTGTGATGATTGCATTCAAGTCACAGAATTGAACATTCCCTTTCACAGAGCAGGTTTGAAACACTCTTTTTGTAGTGTGTGTAAGTGGACATTTGGAGCACTTACCGGCCTAAGGTGAAAAAGGAAATATCTTCCCATAAAAACTAGACAGAAGCATTCTCAGAAACTTACTCGTGATGTGTGTCCTCAACTAAAGGAGTAGAACCTTTCTTTTCATAGAGAAGTTTTGAAACGCTCTTTTTGTGGAATCTGCAAGTGGATATTTGGCTAGTTTTGAGGATTTCGTTGGAAGCGGGAATTCATACAAATTGCAGACTGCAGCGTTCTGAGAAACATCTTTGTGATGTTTGTATTCAGGACACAGAGTTGAACATTCCCTATCATAGAGCAGGTTTGAATCACTCCTTTTCTAGTATCTGGAAGTGGACATTTGGAGCGCTTTCAGGCCTATGTTGGAAAAGGAAATATCTTCCCATAACAAATAGACAGAAGCATTCTCAGAAACTTATTTGAGATGTGTGTACTCAACTAAGAGAATTGAACCACCGTTTTGAAGGAGCAGTTTTGAAACACTCTTTTTCTGGAATCTGCAAGTGGATATTTGGCTAGCTTTGGGGATTTCGCTGGAAGCGGGAATACATATAAAAAGCACACAGCAGCGTTCTGAGAAACTGCTTTCTGATGTTTGCATTCAAGTCAAAAGTTGAACACTCCCTTTCATAGAGCAGTCTTGAAACACCCCTTTTGTAGTATCTGGAACTGGACATTTGGAGCGCTTTCAGGGCTAAGGTGAAAAAGGAAATATCTTCCCATAAAAACTGGACAGAAGCATTCTCAGAAACTTGTTTATGCTGTATCTACTCTACTAACAAAGTTGAACCTTTCTTTTGATAGAGCAGTTTTGAAATGCTCTCTTTGTGGAATCTGCAAGTGGATATTTGGCTAGTTTTGAGGATTTCATTGGAAGCTGGAATTCATGCAAATTGCAGACTGCAGCGTTCTGAGAAACATCTTTGTGATGTTTGTATTCAGGACACAGAGTTGAACATTCCCTATCATAGAGCAGGTTGGAATCACTCCTTTTGTAGTATCTGGAAGTGGACATTTGGAGCGCTTTCAGGCCTATGTTGGAAAAGGAAATATCTTCCCATAACAACTAGACAGAAGCATTCTCAGAAACTTATTTGAGATGTGTGTACTCAACTAAGAGAATTGAACCACCGTTTTGAAGGAGCAGTTTTGAAACACTCTTTTTCTGGAATCTGCAAGTGGATATTTGGCTAGCTTTGGGGATTTCGCTGGAGGCGGGAATACATATAAAAAGCACACAGCAGCGTTCTGAGAAACTGCTTTCTGATGTTTGCATTCAAGTCAAAAGTTGAACACTCCCTTTCATAGAGCAGTCCTGAAACACTCCTTTTGTAGTATCTGGAACTGGACTTTTGGAGCGCTTTCAGGGCTAAGGTGAAAAAGGAAATATATTCCCATAAAAACTGGACAGAAGCATTCTCAGAAACTTGTTTATGCTGTATCTACTCTACTAACAAAGTTGAACCTTTCTTTTGATAGAGCAGTTTTGAAATGCTCTTTTTGTGGAATCTGCAAGTGGATATTTGGCTAGTTTTGAGGATTTCGTTGGAAGCGGGAATTCATACAAATTGCAGACTGCAGCGTTCTGAGAAACATCTTTGTGATGTTTGTATTCAGGACAGAGAGTTGAACATTCCCTATCATAGAGCAGGTTGGAATCACTCCTTTTGTAGTATCTGGAAGTGGACATTTGGAGCGCTTTCAGGCCTATGTTGAAAAAGGAAATATCTTCCCATAACAACTAGACACAAGCATTCTCAGAAACTTGTTTGTGATGTGTGCCCTCTAGTGACAGAGTTGAACATTTCTTTTCATAGAGCAGTTTTGAAACACTCTTTTTGTAGAATCTGCAAGAGGATATTTGCATAGCTTTGAGGATTTCGTGGGAAACGGGATTGTCTTCAGGTAAAATCTAGACAGAAGCATTCTCAGAAACTTCTTTGGGATGTTTGCATTCAAGTCACAGAGTAGAACATTCCCTTTGGTAGAGCAGGTTTGAAACACTCTTTTTGTAGTATCTGGAAGTGGACATTTGGAGCGCTTTCAGGCCTATGTTGGAAAGGGAAATATCTTCCCGTAACAACTAGGCAGAAGCATTCTCAGAAACTTATTTGAGATGTGTGTACTCAACTAAGAGAATTGAACCACCGTTTTGAAGGAGGAGTTTTGAAACACTCTTTTTCTGGAATCTGCAAGAGGATATTTGCCTAGCCTTGAGGATTTCGTTGGAAACGGGATTGTCTTCAGATCAAATCTAGACAGAAGCATTCTCAGAAACTTCTTTGGGATGTTTGCATTCAAGTCACAGAGTAGAACATTCCCTTTGGTAGAGCAGGTTTGAAACACTCTTTTTTTAGTATATGGAAGTGGACATTTGGAGCGCTTTCAGGCCTACGTTGGAAAAGGAAATATCTTCCCATAACAACTAGACAGAAGCATTCTCAGAAACTAGTTTCTGATGTGTGTCCTCAACTAACACAGTTGTACATTTCTTTAGACAGAACAGTTTTGAAACACTCTTTTTGTGGAATCTGCAAGTGGCTATTTGGCTAGATTTGAGGATTTCGTTGGAAACGGGATTACATATAAAAAGCAGACAGCAGCATTCTCAGAAAGTTCTTTGTGATGATTGCATTCAAGTCACAGAATTGAACATTGCCTTTCACAGAGCAGGTTTGAAACACTCTTTTTGTAGTGTGTGTAAGTGGACATTTGGAGCGCTTTCCGGCCTAAGGTGAAAAAGGAAATATCTTCCCATAAAAACTAGACAGAAGCATTCTCAGAAACTTACTCGTGATGTGTGTCCTCAACTAAAGGAGTAGAACCTTTCTTTTCATAGAGAAGTTTTGAAACGCTCTTTTTGTGGAATCTGCAAGTGGATATTTGGCTAGTTTTGAGGATTTCGTTGGAAGCGGGAATTCATACAAATTGCAGACTGCAGCGTTCTGAGAAACATCTTTGTGATGTTTGTATTCAGGACACAGAGTTGAACATTCCCTATCATAGAGCAGGTTTGAATCACTCCTTTTGTAGTATCTGGAAGTGGAAATTTGGAGCGCTTTCAGGCCTATGTTGGAAAAGGAAATATCTTCCCATAACAACTAGACAGAAGCATTCTCAGAAACTTATTTGAGATGTGTGTACTCAACTAAGAGAATTGAACCACCGTTTTGAAGGAGTAGTTTTGAAACACTCTTTTTCTGGAATCTGCAAGTGGATATTTGGCTAGCTTTGGGGATTTCGCTGGAAGCGGGAGTACATATAAAAAGCACACAGCAGCGTTCTGAGAAACTGCTTTCTGATGTTTGCATTCAAGTCAAAACTTGAACACTCCCTTTCATAGAGCAGTCTTGAAACACCCCTTTTGTAGTATCTGGAACTGGAAATTTGGAGCGCTTTCAGGGCTAAGGTGAAAAAGGAAATATCTTCCCATAAAAACTGGACAGAAGCATTCTCAGAAACTTGTTTATGCTGTATCTACTCAACTAACAAAGTTAAACCTTTCTTTTGATAGAGCAGTTTTGAAATGCTCTTTTTGTGGAATCTGCAAGTGGATATTTGGCTAGTTTTGAGGATTTCGTTGGAAGCGGGAATTCATACAAATTGCAGACTGCAGCGTTCTGAGAAACATCTTTGTGATGTTTGTATTCAGGACACAGAGTTGAACATTCCCTATCATAGAGCAGGTTGGGATCACTCCTTTTGTAGTATCTGGAAGTGGACATTTGGAGCGCTTTCAGGCCTATGTTGAAAAAGGAAAAATCTTCCCATAACAACTAGACAGAAGCATTCTCAGAAACTTGTTGGTGATGTGTTTCCTCTACTGACAGAGTTGAACCTTTCTTTTCATAGAGCAGTTTCGAAACACTCTTTTTGTAGAATCTGCAAGAGGATATTTGCATAGCTCTGAGGATTTCGTGGGAAACGGGATTGTCTTCAGGTAAAATCTAGACAGAAGCATTCTCAGAAACTTCTTCGGGATGTTTGCATTCAAGTCACAGAGTAGAACATTCCCTTCGGTAGAGCAGGTTTGAAACACTCTTTTTGTCGTATCTGGAAGTGGACATTTGTTGCGCTTTCAGGCCTATGTTGGAAAGGGAAATATCTTCCCGTAACAACTAGGCAGAAGCATTCTCAGAAACTTATTGGAGATGTGTGTACTCAACTAAGAGAATTGAACCACCGTTTTGAAGGAGCAGTTTTGAAACACTCTTTTTCTGGAATCTGCAAGAGGATATTTGCCTAGCTTTGAGGATTTCGTTGGAAACGGGATTGTCTTCAGATCAAATCTAGACAGAAGCATTCTCAGAAACTTCTTTGGGATGTTTGCATTCAAGTCACAGAGTAGAACATTCCCTTTGGTAGAGCAGGTTTGAAACACTCTTTTTTTAGTATATGGAAGTGGACATTTGGAGCGCTTTCAGGCCTACGTTGGAAAAGGAAATATCTTCCCATAACAATTAGACAGAAGCATTCTCAGAAACTAGTTTCTGATGTGTGTCCTCAACTAACACAGTTGAACATTTCTTTAGACAGAACAGTTTTGAAACTCTCTTTTTGTGGAATCTGCAAGTGGCTATTTGGCTAGATTTGAGGATTTCGTTGGAAACGGGATTACATATAAAAAGCAGACAGCAGCATTCTCAGAAACTTCTTTGTGATGATTGCATTCAAGTCACAGAATTGAACATTCCCTTTCACAGAGCAGGTTTGAAACACTCTTTTTGTAGTGTGTGTAAGTGGACATTTGGAGCACTTTCCGGCCTAAGGTGAAAAAGGAAATATCTTCCCATAAAAACTAGACAGAAGCATTCTCAGAAACTTACTCGTGATGTGTGTCCTCAACTAAAGGAGTAGAACCTTTCTTTTCATAGAGAAGTTTTGAAACGCTCTTTTTGTGGAATCTGCAAGTGGATATTTGGCTAGTTTGGAGGATTTCGTTGGAAGCGGGAATTCATACAAATTGCAGACTGCAGCGTTCTGAGAAACATCTTTGTGATGTTTGTATTCAGGACACAGAGTTGAACATTCCCTATCATAGAGCAGGTTTGAATCACTCCTTTTGTAGTATCTGGAAGTGGACATTTGGAGCGCTTTCAGGCCTATGTTGGAAAAGGAAATATCTTCCCATAACAACTAGACAGAAGCATTCTCAGAAACTTATTTGAGATGTGTGTACTCAACTAAGAGAATTGAACGACCGTTTTGAAGGAGCAGTTTTGAAACACTCTTTTTCTGGAATCTGCAAGTGGATATTTGGCTAGCTTTGGGGATTTCGCTGGAAGCGGGAATACATATAAAAAGCACACAGCAGCGTTCTGAGAAACTGCTTTCTGATGTTTGCATTCAAGTCAAAAGTTGAACACTCCCTTTCATAGAGCAGTCTTGAAACACCCCTTTTGTAGTATCTGGAACTGGACTTTTGGAGCGATTTCAGGGCTAAGGTGAAAAAGGAAATATCTTCCCATAAAAACTGGACAGAAGCATTCTCAGAAACTTGTTTATGCTGTATCTACTCAACTAACAAAGTTGAACCTTTCTTTTGATAGAGCAGTTTTGAAATGGTCTTTTTGTGGAATCTGCAAGTGGATATTTGGCTAGTTTTGAGGATTTCGTTGGAAGCGGGAATTCATACAAATTGCAGACTGCAGCGTTCTGAGAAACATCTTTGTGATGTTTGTATTCAGGACACAGAGATGAACATTCCCTATCATAGAGCACGTTGGAATCACTCCTTTTGTAGTATCTGGAAGTGGACATTTGGAGCGCTTTCAGGCCTATGTTGAAAAAGGAAATATCTTCCCATAACAACTAGACACAAGCATTCTCAGAAACTTGTTTGTGATGTGTGCCCTCTACTGACAGAGTTGAACCTTTCTTTTCATAGAGCAGTTTTGAAACACTCTTTTTGTAGAATCTGCAAGAGGATATTTGCATAGCTTTGAGGATTTCGTGGGAAACGGGATTGTCTTCAGGTAAAATCTAGACAGAAGCATTCTCAGAAACTTCTTTGGGATGTTTGCATTCAAGTCACAGAGTAGAACATTCCCTTTGGTAGAGCAGGTTTGAAACACTCTTTTTGTAGTATCTGGAAGTGGACATTTGGAGCGCTTTCAGGCCCATGTTGGAAAGGGAAATATCTTCCCGTAACAACTAGGCAGAAGCATTCTCAGAAACTTATTTGAGATGTGTGTACTCAACTAAGAGAATTGAACCACCGTTTTGAAGGAGCAGTTTTGAAACACTCTTTTTCTGGAATCTGCAAGAGTATATTTGCCTAGCCTTGAGGATTTCGTTGGAAACGGGATTGTCTTCAGAGAAAATCTAGACAGAAGCATTCTCAGAAACTTCTTTGGGATGTTTGCATTCAAGTCACAGAGTAGAACATTCCCTTTGGTAGAGCAGGTTTGAAACACTCTTTTTTTAGTATATGGAAGTGGACATTTGGAGCGCTTTCAGGCCTACGTTGGAAAAGGAAATATCTTCCCATAACAACTAGACAGAAGCATTCTCAGAAACTAGTTTCTGATGTGTGTCCTCAACTAACACAGTTGAACATTTCTATAGACAGAACAGTTTTGAAACACTCTTTTTGTGGAATCTGCAAGTGGCTATTTGGCTAGATTTGAGGATTTCGTTGGAAACGGGATTACATATAAAAAGCAGTCAGCAGCATTCTCAGAAAGTTCTTTGTGATGATTGCATTCAAGTCACAGAATTGAACATTCCCTTTCACAGAGCAGGTTTGAAACACTCTTTTTGTAGTGTGTGTAAGTGGACATTTGGAACCCTTACCGGCCTAAGGTGAAAAAGGAAATATCTTCCCATAAAAACTAGACAGAAGCATTCTCAGAAACTTACTCGTGATGTGTGTCCTCAACTAAAGGAGTAGAACCTTTCTTTTCATAGAGAAGTTTTGAAACGCTCTTTTTGTGGAATCTGCAAGTGGATATTTGGCTAGTTTTGAGGATTTCGTTGGAAGCGGGAATTCATACAAATTGCAGACTGCAGCGTTCTGAGAAACATCTTTGTGATGTTTGTATTCAAGACACAGAGGTGAACATTCCCTATCATAGAGCATGTTGGAGTCACTCCTTTTGTAGTATCTGGAAGTGGACATTTGGAGCGCTTTCAGGCCTATGTTGAAAAAGGAAATATCTTCCCATAACAACTAGACACAAGCATTCTCAGAAACTTATTTGAGATGTGTGTACTCAACTAAGAGAATTGAACCACCGTTTTGAAGGAGCAGTTTTGAAACTCTCTTTTTCTGGAATCTGCAAGTGGATATTTGGCTAGCTTTGGGGATTTCGCTGGAAGCGGGAATACATATAAAAAGCACACAGCAGCGTTCTGAGAAACTGCTTTCTGATGTTTGCATTCAAGTCAAAAGTTGAACACTCCCTTTCATAGAGCAGTCTTGAAACACCCCTTTTGTAGTATCTGGAACTGGACTTTTGGAGCGATTTCAGGGCTAAGGTGAAAAAGGAAATATCTTCCCATAAAAACTGGACAGAAGCATTCTCAGAAACTTGGTTATGCTGTATCTACTCAACTAACAAAGTTGAACCTTTCTTTTGATAGAGCAGTTTTGAAATGGTCTTTTTGTGGAATCTGCAAGTGGATATTTGGCTAGTTTTGAGGATTTCGTTGGAAGCGGGAATTCATACAAATTGCAGACTGCAGCGTTCTGAGAAACATCTTTGTGATGTTTGTATTCAGGACACAGAGTTGAACATTCCCTATCATAGAGCAGGTTGGAATCACTCCTTTTGTAGTATCTGGAAGTGGACATTTGGAGCGTTTTCAGGCCTATGTTGAAAAAGGAAATATCTTTCCATAACAACTAGACAGAAGCATTCTCAGAAACTTGTTTGTGATGTGTGCCCTCTACTGACAGAGTTGAACCTTTCTTTTCATAGAGCAGTTTTGAAACACTCTTTTTGTAGAATCTGCAAGAGGATATTTGCATAGCTTTGAGGATTTCGTGGGAAACGGGATTGTCTTCAGGTAAAATCTAGACAGAAGCATTCTCAGAAACTTCTTTGGGATGTTTGCATTCAAGTCACAGAGTAGAACATTCCCTTTGGTAGAGCAGGTTTGAAACACTCTTTTTGTAGTATCTGGAAGTGGACATTTGGAGCGCTTTCAGGCCCATGTTGGAAAGGGAAATATCTTCCCGTAACAACTAGGCAGAAGCATTCTCAGAAACTTATTTGAGATGTGTGTACTCAACTAAGAGAATTGAACCACCGTTTTGAAGGAGCAGTTTTGAAACACTCTTTTTCTGGAATCTGCAAGAGTATATTTGCCTAGCCTTGAGGATTTCGTTGGAAACGGGATTGTCTTCAGAGAAAATCTAGACAGAAGCATTCTCAGAAACTTCTTTGGGATGTTTGCATTCAAGTCACAGAGTAGAACATTCCCTTTGGTAGAGCAGGTTTGAAACACTCTTTTTTTAGTATATGGAAGTGGACATTTGGAGCGCTTTCAGGCCTACGTTGGAAAAGGAAATATCTTCCCATAACAACTAGACAGAAGCATTCTCAGAAACTAGTTTCTGATGTGTGTCCTCAACTAACACAGTTGAACATTTCTTTAGACAGAACAGTTTTGAAACACTCTTTTTGTGGAATCTGCAAGTGGCTATTTGGCTAGATTTGAGGATTTCGTTGGAAACGGGATTACATATAAAAAGCAGTCAGCAGCATTCTCAGAAAGTTCTTTGTGATGATTGCATTCAAGTCACAGAATTGAACATTCCCTTTCACAGAGCAGGTTTGAAACACTCTTTTTGTAGTGTGTGTAAGTGGACATTTGGAGCACTTACCGGCCTAAGGTGAAAAAGGAAATATCTTCCCATAAAAACTAGACAGAAGCATTCTCAGAAACTTACTCGTGATGTGTGTCCTCAACTAAAGGAGTAGAACCTTTCTTTTCATAGAGAAGTTTTGAAACGCTCTTTTTGTGGAATCTGCAAGTGGATATTTGGCTAGTTTTGAGGATTTCGTTGGAAGCGGGAATTCATACAAATTGCAGACTGCAGCGTTCTGAGAAACATCTTTGTGATGTTTGTATTCAGGACACAGAGTTGAACATTCCCTATCATAGAGCAGGTTTGAATCACTCCTTTTGTAGTATCTGGAAGTGGACATTTGGAGCGCTTTCAGGCCTATGTTGGAAAAGGAAATATCTTCCCATAACAACTAGACAGAAGCATTCTCAGAAACTTATTTGAGATGTGTGTACTCAACTAAGAGAATTGAACCACCGTTTTGAAGGAGCAGTTTTGAAACTCTCTTTTTCTGGAATCTGCAAGTGGATATTTGGCTAGCTTTGGGGATTTCGCTGGAAGCGGGAATACATATAAAAAGCACACAGCAGCGTTCTGAGAAACTGCTTTCTGATGTTTGCATTCAAGTCAAAAGTTGAACACTCCCTTTCATAGAGCAGTCCTGAAACACCCCTTTTGTAGTATCTGGAACTGGACTTTTGGAGCGATTTCAGGGCTAAGGTGAAAAAGGAAATATCTTCCCATAAAAACTGGACAGAAGCATTCTCAGAAACTTGTTTATGCTGTATCTACTCAACTAACAAAGTTGAACCTTTCTTTTGATAGAGCAGTTTTGAAATGGTCTTTTTGTGGAATCTGCAAGTGGATATTTGGCTAGTTTTGAGGATTTCGTTGGAAGCGGGAATTCATACAAATTGCAGACTGCAGCGTTCTGAGAAACATCTTTGTGATGTTTGTATTCAGGACACAGAGTTGAACATTCCCTATCATAGAGCAGGTTGGAATCACTCCTTTTGTAGTATCTGGAAGTGGACATTTGGAGCGCTTTCAGGCCTATTTTGGAAAGGGAAATATCTTCCCGTAACAACTATGCAGAAGCATTCTCAGAAACTTGTTTGTGATGTGTGCCCTCTACTGACAGAGTTGAACCTTTCTTTTCATAGAGCAGTTTTGAAACACTCTTTTTGTAGAATCTGCAAGAGGATATTTGCATAGCTTTGAGGATTTCGTGGGAAACGGGATTGTCTTCAGGTAAAATCTAGACAGAAGCATTCTCAGAAACTTCTTTGGGATGTTTGCATTCAAGTCACAGAGTAGAACATTCCCTTTGGTAGAGCAGGTTTGAAACACTCTTTTTGTAGTATCTGGAAGTGGACATTTGGAGCGCTTTCAGGCCCATGTTGGAAAGGGAAATATCTTCCCGTAACAACTAGGCAGAAGCATTCTCAGAAACTTATTTGAGATGTGTGTACTCAACTAAGAGAATTGAACCACCGTTTTGAAGGAGCAGTTTTGAAACACTCTTTTTCTGGAATCTGCAAGAGGATATTTGCCTAGCCTTGAGGATTTCGTTGGAAACGGGATTGTCTTCAGAGAAAATCTAGACAGAAGCATTCTCAGAAACTTCTTTGGGATGCTTGCATTCAAGTCACAGAGTAGAACATTCCCTTTGGTAGAGCAGGTTTGAAACACTCTTTTTGTAGTATCTGGAAGTGGACATTTGGAGCGCTTTCAGGCCTACGTTGGAAAAGGAAATATCTTCCCATAACAACTAGACAGAAGCATTCTCAGAAACTAGTTTCTGATGTGTGTCCTCAACTAACAGAGTTGAACATTTCTTTAGACAGAACAGTTTTGAAACACTCTTTTTGTGGAATCTGCAAGTGGCTATTTGGCTAGATTTGAGGATTTCGTTGGAAACGGGATTACATATAAAAAGCAGCCAGCGGCATTCTCAGAAAGTTCTTTGTGATGATTGCATTCAAGTCACAGAATTGAACATTCCCTTTCACAGAGCAGGTTTGAAACACTCTTTTTGTAGTGTGTGTAAGTGGACATTTGGAGCACTTACCGGCCTAAGGTGAAAAAGGAAATAATCTTCCCATAAAAACTAGACAGAAGCATTCTCAGAAACTTACTCGTGATGTGTGTCCTCAACTAAAGGAGTAGAACCTTTCTTTTCATAGAGAAGTTTTGAAACGCTCTTTTTGTGGAATCTGCAAGTGGATATTTGGCTAGTTTTGAGGATTTCGTTGGAAGCGGGAATTCATACAAATTGCAGACTGCAGCGTTCTGAGAAACATCTTTGTGATGTTTGTATTCAGGACACAGAGTTGAACATTCCCTATCATAGAGCAGGTTTGAATCACTCCTTTTGTAGTATCTGGAAGTGGACATTTGGAGCGCTTTCAGGCCTATGTTGGAAAAGGAAATATCTTCCCATAACAACTAGACAGATAAGCATTCTCAGAAAACTTATTTGAGATGTGTGTACTCAACTAAGAGAATTGAACCACCGTTTTGAAGGAGCAGTTTTGAAACTCTCTTTTTCTGGAATCTGCAAGTGGATATTTGGCTAGCTTTGGGGATTTCGCTGGAAGCGGGAATACATATAAAAAGCACACAGCAGCGTTCTGAGAAACTGCTTTCTGATGTTTGCATTCAAGTCAAAAGTTGAACACTCCCTTTCATAGAGCAGTCTTGAAACACCCCTTTTGTAGTATCTGGAACTGGACTTTTGGAGCGATTTCAGGGCTAAGGTGAAAAAGGAAATATCTTCCCATAAAAACTGGACAGAAGCATTCTCAGAAACTTGTTTATGCTGTATCTACTCAACTAACAAAGTTGAACCTTTCTTTTGATAGAGCAGTTTTGAAATGGTCTTTTTGTGGAATCTGCAAGTGGATATTTGGCTAGTTTTGAGGATTTCGTTGGAAGCGGGAATTCATACAAATTGCAGACTGCAGCGTTCTGAGAAACATGTTTGTGATGTTTGTATTCAGGACACAGAGTTGAACATTCCCTATCATAGAGCAGGTTGGAATCACTCCTTTTGTAGTATCTGGAAGTGGACATTTGGAGCGCTTTCAGGCCTATTTTGGAAAGGGAAATATCTTCCCGTAACAACTATGCAGAAGCATTCTCAGAAACTTGTTTGTGATGTGTGCCCTCTACTGACAGAGTTGAACCTTTCTTTTCATAGAGCAGTTTTGAAACACTCTTTTTGTAGAATCTGCAAGAGGATATTTGCATAGCTTTGAGGATTTCGTGGGAAACGGGATTGTCTTCAGGTAAAATCTAGACAGAAGCATTCTCAGAAACTTCTTTGGGATGTTTGCATTCAAGTCACAGAGTAGAACATTCCCTTTGGTAGAGCAGGTTTGAAACACTCTTTTTGTAGTATCTGGAAGTGGACATTTGGAGCGCTTTCAGGCCCATGTTGGAAAGGGAAATATCTTCCCGTAACAACTAGGCAGAAGCATTCTCAGAAACTTATTTGAGATGTGTGTACTCAACTAAGAGAATTGAACCACCGTTTTGAAGGAGCAGTTTTGAAACACTCTTTTTCTGGAATCTGCAAGAGTATATTTGCCTAGCCTTGAGGATTTCGTTGGAAACGGGATTGTCTTCAGAGAAAATCTAGACAGAAGCATTCTCAGAAACTTCTTTGGGATGTTTGCATTCAAGTCACAGAGTAGAACATTCCCTTTGGTAGAGCAGGTTTGAAACAGTCTTTTTTTAGTATATGGAAGTGGACATTTGGAGCGCTTTCAGGCCTACGTTGGAAAAGGAAATATCTTCCCATAACAACTAGACAGAAGCATTCTCAGAAACTAGTTTCTGATGTGTGTCCTCAACTAACACAGTTGTACATTTCTTTAGACAGAACAGTTTTGAAACACTCTTTTTGTGGAATCTGCAAGTGGATATTGGGCTAGATTTGAGGATTTCGTTGGAAACGGGATTACATATAAATAGCAGTCAGCAGCATTCTCAGAAAGTTCTTTGTGATGATTGCATTCAAGTCACAGAATTGAACATTCCCTTTCATAGAGCAGGTTGGAAACACTCTTTTTGTAGTGTGTGTAAGTGGACATTTGGAGCGCTTTCCGGCCTAAGGTGAAAAAGGACATATCTTCCCATAAAAACTAGACAGAAGCATTCTCAGAAACTTACTCGTGATGTGTGTCCTCACCTAAAGGAGTAGAACCTTTCTATTGATAGAGAAGTTTTGAAACGCTCTTTTTGTGCAATCTCCAAGTGGATATTTGGCTAGTTTTGAGGATTTCGTTGGAAGCGGGAATTCATACAAATTGCAGACTGCAGCGTTCTGAGAAACATCTTTGTGATGTTTGTATTCAAGACACAGAGATGAACATTCCCTATCATAGAGCATGTTGGAATCACTCCTTTTGTAGTATCTGGAAGTGGACATTTGGAGCGCTTTCAGGCCTATGTTGAAAAAGGAAATATCTTCCCATAACAACTAGACACAAGCATTCTCAGAAACTTGTTTGTGATGTGTGCCCTCTACTGACAGAGTTGAACCTTTCTTTTCATAGAGCAGTTTTGAAACACTCTTTTTGTAGAATCCGCAAGAGGATATTTGCATAACTTTGAGGATTTCGTGGGAAACGGGATTGTCTTCAGGTAAAATCTAGACAGAAGCATTCTCAGAAACTTCTTTGGGATGTTTGCATTCAAGTCACAGAGTAGAACATTCCCTTTGGTAGAGCAGGTTTGAAACACTCTTTTTGTAGTATCTGGAAGTGGACATTTGGAGCGCTTTCAGGCCCATGTTGGAAAGGGAAATATCTTCCCGTAACAACTAAGCAGAATCATTCTCAGAAACTTATTTGAGATGTGTGTACTCAACGAAGAGAATTGAACCACCGTTTTGAAGGAGCAGTTTTGAAACCCTCTTTTTCTGGAATCTGCAAGAGTATATTTGACTAGCCTTGAGGATTTCGTTGGAAACGGGATTGTCTTCAGATAAAATCTAGACAAAAGCATTCTCAGAAACTTCTTTGGGATGTTTGCATTCAAGTCACAGAGTAGAACATTCCCTTTGGTAGAGCAGGTTTGAAACACTCTTTTTTTAGTATATGGAAGTGGACATTTGGAGCGCTTTCAGGCCTACGTTGGAAAAGGAAATATCTTCCCATAACAACTAGACAGAAGCATTCTCAGAAACTAGTTTCTGATGTGTGTCCTCAACTAACACAGTTGAACATTTCTTTAGACAGAACAGTTTTGAAACACTCTTTTTGTGGAATCTGCAAGTGGCTATTTGGCTAGATTTGAGGATTTCGTTGGAAACGGGATTACATATAAAAAGCAGTCAGCAGCATTCTCAGAAAGTTCTTTGTGATGATTGCATTCAAGTCACAGAATTGAACATTCCCTTTCACAGAGCAGGTTTGAAACACTCTTTTTGTAGTGTGTGTAAGTGGACATTTGGAGCACTTACCGGCCTAAGGTGAAAAAGGAAATATCTTCCCATAAAAACTAGACAGAAGCATTCTCAGAAACTTACTCGTGATGTGTGTCCTCAACTAAAGGAGTAGAACCTTTCTTTTCATAGAGAAGTTTTGAAACGCTCTTTTTGTGGAATCTGCAAGTGGATATTTGGCTAGTTTTGAGGATTTCGTTGGAAGCGGGAATTCATACAAATTGCAGACTGCAGCGTTGTGAGAAACATCTTTGTGATGTTTGTATTCAGGACACAGAGTTGAACATTCCCTATCATAGAGCAGGTTGGAATCACTCCTTTTGTAGTATCTGGAAGTGGACATTTGGAGCGCTTTCAGGCCTATGTTGGAAAAGGAAATATCTTCCCATAACAACTAGACAGAAGCATTCTCAGAAACTTATTTGAGATGTGTGTACTCAACTAAGAGAATTGAACCACCGTTTTGAAGGAGCAGTTTTGAAACTCTCTTTTTCTGGAATCTGCAAGTGGATATTTGGCTAGCTTTGGGGATTTCGCTGGAAGCGGGAATACATATAAAAAGCACACAGCAGCGTTCTGAGAAACTGCTTTCTGATGTTTGCATTCAAGTCAAAAGTTGAACACTCCCTTTCATAGAGCAGTCTTGAAACACCCCTTTTGTAGTATCTGGAACTGGACTTTTGGAGCGATTTCAGGGCTAAGGTGAAAAAGGAAATATCTTCCCATAAAAACTGGACAGAAGCATTCTCAGAAACTTGTTTATGCTGTATCTACTCAACTAACAAAGTTGAACCTTTCTTTTGATAGAGCAGTTTTGAAATGGTCTTTTTGTGGAATCTGCAAGTGGATATTTGGCTAGTTTTGAGGATTTCGTTGGAAGCGGGAATTCATACAAATTGCAGACTGCAGCGTTCTGAGAAACATCTTTGTGATGTTTGTATTCAGGACACAGAGTTGAACATTCCCTATCATAGAGCAGGTTGGAATCACTCCTTTTGTAGTATCTGGAAGTGGACATTTGGAGCGCTTTCAGGCCTATGTTGGAAAAGGAAATATCTTCCCATAACAACTAGACAGAAGCATTCTCAGAAACTTATTTGAGATGTGTGTACTCAACTAAGAGAATTGAACCACCGTTTTGAAGGAGCAGTTTTGAAACTCTCTTTTTCTGGAATCTGCAAGTGGATATTTGGCTAGCTTTGGGGATTTCGCTGGAAGCGGGAATACATATAAAAAGCACACAGCAGCGTTCTGAGAAACTGCTTTCTGATGTTTGCATTCAAGTCAAAAGTTGAACACTCCCTTTCATAGAGCAGTCTTGAAACACCCCTTTTGTAGTATCTGGAACTGGACTTTTGGAGCGATTTCAGGGCTAAGGTGAAAAAGGAAATATCTTCCCATAAAAACTGGACAGAAGCATTCTCAGAAACTTGTTTATGCTGTATCTACTCAACTAACAAAGTTGAACCTTTCTTTTGATAGAGCAGTTTTGAAATGGTCTTTTTGTGGAATCTGCAAGTGGATATTTGGCTAGTTTTGAGGATTTCGTTGGAAGCGGGAATTCATACAAATTGCAGACTGCAGCGTTCTGAGAAACATCTTTGTGATGTTTGTATTCAGGACACAGAGTTGAACATTCCCTATCATAGAGCAGGTTGGAATCACTCCTTTTGTAGTATCTGGAAGTGGACATTTGGAGCGCTTTCAGGCCTATGTTGGAAAGGGAAATATCTTCCCGTAACAACTATGCAGAAGCATTCTCAGAAACTTGTTTGTGATGTGTGCCCTCTACTGACAGAGTTGAACCTTTCTTTTCATAGAGCAGTTTTGAAACACTCTTTTTGTAGAATCTGCAAGAGGATATTTGCATAGCTTTGAGGATTTCGTGGGAAACGGGATTGTCTTCAGGTAAAATCTAGACAGAAGCATTCTCAGAAACTTCTTTGGGATGTTTGCATTCAAGTCACAGAGTAGAACATTCCCTTTGGTAGAGCAGGTTTGAAACACTCTTTTTGTAGTATCTGGAAGTGGACATTTGGAGCGCTTTCAGGCCCATGTTGGAAAGGGAAATATCTTCCCGTAACAACTAGGCAGAAGCATTCTCAGAAACTTATTTGAGATGTGTGTACTCAACTAAGAGAATTGAACCACCGTTTTGAAGGAGCAGTTTTGAAACACTCTTTTTCTGGAATCTGCAAGAGTATATTTGCCTAGCCTTGAGGATTTCGTTGGAAACGGGATTGTCTTCAGAGAAAATCTAGACAGAAGCATTCTCAGAAACTTCTTTGGGATGTTTGCATTCAAGTCACAGAGTAGAACATTCCCTTTGGTAGAGCAGGTTTGAAACACTCTTTTTTTAATATCTGGAAGTGGACATTTGGAGCGCTTTCAGGCCTACGTTGGAAAAGGAAATATCTTCCCATAACAACTAGACAGAAGCATTCTCAGAAACTAGTTTCTGATGTGTGTCCTCAACTAACACAGTTGAACATTTCTTTAGACAGAACAGTTTTGAAACACTCTTTTTGTGGAATCTGCAAGTGGCTATTTGGCTAGATTTGAGGATTTCGTTGGAAACGGGATTACATATAAAAAGCAGTCAGCAGCATTCTCAGAAAGTTCTTTGTGATGATTGCATTCAAGTCACAGAATTGAACATTCCCTTTCACAGAGCAGGTTTGAAACACTCTTTTTGTAGTGTGTGTAAGTGGACATTTGGAGCACTTACCGGCCTAAGGTGAAAAAGGAAATATCTTCCCATAAAAACTAGACAGAAGCATTCTCAGAAACTTACTCGTGATGTGTGTCCTCAACTAAAGGAGTAGAACCTTTCTTTTCATAGAGAAGTTTTGAAACGCTCTTTTTGTGGAATCTGCAAGTGGATATTTGGCTAGTTTTGAGGATTTCGTTGGAAGCGGGAATTCATACAAATTGCAGACTGCAGCGTTCTGAGAAACATCTTTGTGATGTTTGTATTCAGGACACAGAGTTGAACATTCCCTATCATAGAGCAGGTTGGAATCACTCCTTTTGTAGTATCTGGAAGTGGACATTTGGAGCGCTTTCAGGCCTATGTTGGAAAAGGAAATATCTTCCCATAACAACTAGACAGAAGCATTCTCAGAAACTTATTTGAGATGTGTGTACTCAACTAAGAGAATTGAACCACCGTTTTGAAGGAGCAGTTTTGAAACTCTCTTTTTCTGGAATCTGCAAGTGGATATTTGGCTAGCTTTGGGGATTTCGCTGGAAGCGGGAATACATATAAAAAGCACACAGCAGCGTTCTGAGAAACTGCTTTCTGATGTTTGCATTCAAGTCAAAAGTTGAACACTCCCTTTCATAGAGCAGTCTTGAAACACCCGTTTTGTAGTATCTGGAACTGGACTGTTGGAGCGATTTCAGGGCTAAGGTGAAAAAGGAAATATCTTCCCATAAAAACTGGACAGAAGCATTCTCAGAAACTTGTTTATGCTGTAACTACTCAACTAACAAAGTTGAACCTTTCTTTTGATAGAGCAGTTTTGAAATGGTCTTTTTGTGGAATCTGCAAGTGGATATTTGGCTAGTTTTGAGGATTTCGTTGGAAGCGGGAATTCATACAAATTGCAGACTGCAGCGTTCTGAGAAACATCTTTGTGATGTTTGTATTCAGGACACAGAGTTGAACATTCCCTATCATAGAGCAGGTTGGAATCACTCCTTTTGTAGTATCTGGAAGTGGACATTTGGAGCGCTTTCAGGCCTATTTTGGAAAGGGAAATATCTTCCCGTAACAACTATGCAGAAGCATTCTCAGAAACTTGTTTGTGATGTGTGCCCTCTACTGACAGAGTTGAACCTTTCTTTTCATAGAGCAGTTTTGAAACACTCTTTTTGTAGAATCTGCAAGAGGATATTTGCATAGCTTTGAGGATTTCGTGGGAAACGGGATTGTCTTCAGGTAAAATCTAGACAGAAGCATTCTCAGAAACTTCTTTGGGATGTTTGCATTCAAGTCACAGAGTAGAACATTCCCTTTGGTAGAGCAGGTTTGAAACACTCTTTTTGTAGTATCTGGAAGTGGACATTTGGAGCGCTTTCAGGCCCATGTTGGAAAGGGAAATATCTTCCCGTAACAACTAGGCAGAAGCATTCTCAGAAACTTATTTGAGATGTGTGTACTCAACTAAGAGAATTGAACCACCGTTTTGAAGGAGCAGTTTTGAAACACTCTTTTTCTGGAATCTGCAAGAGTATATTTGCCTAGCCTTGAGGATTTCGTTGGAAACGGGATTGTCTTCAGAGAAAATCTAGACAGAAGCATTCTCAGAAACTTCTTTGGGATGTTTGCATTCAAGTCACAGAGTAGAACATTCCCTTTGGTAGAGCAGGTTTGAAACACTCTTTTTTTAGTATATGGAAGTGGACATTTGGAGCGCTTTCAGGCCTACGTTGGAAAAGGAAATATCTTCCCATAACAACTAGACAGAAGCATTCTCAGAAACTAGTTTCTGATGTGTGTCCTCAACTAACACAGTTGAACATTTCTTTAGACAGAACAGTTTTGAAACACTCTTTTTGTGGAATCTGCAAGTGGCTATTTGGCTGGATTTGAGGATTTCGTTGGAAACGGGATTACATATAAAAAGCAGTCAGCAGCATTCTCAGAAAGTTCTTTGTGATGATTGCATTCAAGTCACAGAATTGAACATTCCCTTTCACAGAGCAGGTTTGAAACACTCTTTTTGTAGTGTGTGTAAGTGGACATTTGGAGCTCTTACCGGCCTAAGGTGAAAAAGGAAATATCTTCCCATAAAAACTAGACAGAAGCATTCTCAGAAACTTACTCGTGATGTGTGTCCTCAACTAAAGGAGTAGAACCTTTCTTTTCATAGAGAAGTTTTGAAACGCTCTTTTTGTGGAATCTGCAAGTGGATATTTGGCTAGTTTGGAGGATTTCGTTGGAAGCGGGAATTCATACAAATTGCAGACTGCAGCGTTCTGAGAAACATCTTTGTGATGTTTGTATTCAGGACACAGAGATGAACATTCCCTATCATAGAGCAGGTTGGAATCACTCCTTTTGTAGTATCTGGAAGTGGACATTTGGAGCGCTTTCAGGCCTATGTTGAAAAAGGAAATATCTTCCCATAACAACTAGACACAAGCATTCTCAGAAACTTGTTTGTGATGTGTGCCCTCTACTGACAGAGTTGAACCTTTCTTTTCATAGAGCAGTTTTGAAACACTCTTTTTGTAGAATCTGCAAGAGGATATTTGCATAGCTTTGAGGATTTCGTGGGAAACGGGATTGTCTTCAGGTAAAATCTAGACAGAAGCATTCTCAGAAACTTCTTTGGGATGTTTGCATTCAAGTCACAGAGTAGAACATTCCCTTTGGTAGAGCAGGTTTGAAACACTCTTTTTGTAGTATCTGGAAGTGGACATTTGCAGCACTTTCAGGCCCATGTTGGAAAGGGAAATATCTTCCCGTAACAACTAGGCAGAAGCATTCTCTGAAACTTTTTTGAGATGTGTGTACTCAACTAAGAGAATTGAACCACCGTTTTGAAGGAGCAGTTTTGAAACACTCTTTTTCTGGAATCTGCTAGACGATATTTGCCTAGCCTTGAGGATTTCGTTGGAAACGGGATTGTCTTCAGATAAAATCTAGACAGAAGCATTCTCAGAAACTTCTTTGGGATGTTTGCATTCAAGTCACAGAGTAGAACATTCCCTTTGGTAGAGCAGGTTTGAAACACTCTTTTTTTAGTATATGGAAGTGGACATTTGGAGCGCTTTCAGGCCTACGTTGGAAAAGGAAATATCTTCCCATAACAACTAGACAGAAGCATTCTCAGAAACTAGTTTCTGATGTGTGTCCTCAACTAACACAGTTGAACATTTCTTTAGACAGAACAGTTTTGAAACACTCTTTTTGTGGAATCTGCAAGTGGCTATTTGGCTAGATTTGAGGATTTCGTTGGAAACGGGATTACATATAAAAAGCAGTCAGCAGCATTCTCAGAAAGTTCTTTGTGATGATTGCATTCAAGTCACAGAATTGAACATTCCCTTTCACAGAGCAGGTTTGAAACACTCTTTTTGTAGTGTGTGTAAGTGGACATTTGGAGCACTTACCGGCCTAAGGTGAAAAAGGAAATATCTTCCCATAAAAACTAGACAGAAGCATTCTCAGAAACTTACTCGTGATGTGTGTCCTCAACTAAAGGAGTAGAACCTTTCTTTTCATAGAGAAGTTTTGAAACGCTCTTTTTGTGGAATCTGCAAGTGGATATTTGGCTAGTTTTGAGGATTTCGTTGGAAGCGGGAATTCATACAAATTGCAGACTGCAGCGTTCTGAGAAACATCTTTGTGATGTTTGTATTCAGGACACAGAGTTGAACATTCCCTATCATAGAGCAGGTTTGAATCACTCCTTTTGTAGTATCTGGAAGTGGACATTTGGAGCGCTTTCAGGCCTATGTTGGAAAAGGAAATATCTTCCCATAACAACTAGACAGAAGCATTCTCAGAAACTTATTTGAGATGTGTGTACTCAACTAAGAGAATTGAACCACCGTTTTGAAGGAGCAGTTTTGAAACTCTCTTTTTCTGGAATCTGCAAGTGGATATTTGGCTAGCTTTGGGGATTTCGCTGGAAGCGGGAATACATATAAAAAGCACACAGCAGCGTTCTGAGAAACTGCTTTCTGATGTTTGCATTCAAGTCAAAAGTTGAACACTCCCTTTCATAGAGCAGTCTTGAAACACCCGTTTTGTAGTATCTGGAACTGGACTTTTGGAGCGATTTCAGGGCTAAGGTGAAAAAGGAAATATCTTCCCATAAAAACTGGACAGAAGCATTCTCAGAAACTTGTTTATGCTGTAACTACTCAACTAACAAAGTTGAACCTTTCTTTTGATAGAGCAGTTTTGAAATGGTCTTTTTGTGGAATCTGCAAGTGGATATTTGGCTAGTTTTGAGGATTTCGTTGGAAGCGGGAATTCATACAAATTGCAGACTGCAGCGTTCTGAGAAACATCTTTGTGATGTTTGTATTCAGGACAGAGAGTTGAACATTCCCTATCATAGAGCAGGTTGGAATCACTCCTTTTGTAGTATCTGGAAGTGGACATTTGGAGCGCTTTCAGGCCTATGTTGAAAAAGGAAATATCTTCCCATAACAACTAGACACAAGCATTCTCAGAAACTTGTTTGTGATGTGTGCCCTCTACTGACAGAGTTGAACCTTTCTTTTCATAGAGCAGTTTTGAAACACTCTTTTTGTAGAATCTGCAAGAGGATTTTTGCATAGCTTTGAGGATTTCGTGGGAAACGGGATTGTCTTCAGGTAAAATCTAGACAGAAGCATTCTCAGAAACTTCTTTGGGATGTTTGCATTCAAGTCACAGAGTAGAACATTCCCTTTGGTAGAGCAGGTTTGAAACACTCTTTTTGTAGTATCTGGAAGTGGACATTTGGAGCGCTTTCAGGCCTATGTTGGAAAGGGAAATATCTTCCGGTAACAACTAGGCAGAAGCATTCTCAGAAACTTATTTGAGATGTGTGTACTCAACTAAGAGGAATTGAACCACCGTTTTGAAGGAGCAGTTTTGAAACACTCTTTTTCTGGAATCTGCAAGAGGATATTTGCCTAGCCTTGAGGATTTCGTTGGAAACGGGATTGTCTTCAGATCAAATCTAGACAGAAGCATTCTCAGAAACTTCTTTGGGATGTTTGCATTCAAGTCACAGAGTAGAACATTCCCTTTGGTAGAGCAGGTGTGAAACACTCTTTTTTTAGTATATGGAAGTGGACATTTGGAGCGCTTTCAGGCCTACGTTGGAAAAGGAAATATCTTCCCATAACAACTAGACAGAAGCATTCTCAGAAACTAGTTTCTGATGTGTGTCCTCAACTAACACAGTTGAACATTTCTTTAGACAGAACAGTTTTGAAACTCTCTTTTTGTGGAATCTGCAAGTGGCTATTTGGCTAGATTTGAGGATTTCGTTGGAAACGGGATTATATATAAAAAGCAGACAGCAGCATTCTCAGAAAGTTCTTTGTGATGATTGCATTCAAGTCACAGAATTGAACATTCCCTTTCACAGAGCAGGTTTGAAACACTCTTTTTGTAGTGTGTGTAAGTGGACATTTGGAGCGCTTTCCGGCCTAAGGTGAAAAAGGAAATATCTTCCCATAAAAACTAGACAGAAGCATTCTCAGAAACTTACTCGTGATGTGTGTCCTCAACTAAAGGAGTAGAACCTTTCTATTCATAGAGAAGTTTTCAAACGCTCTTTTTGTGGAATCTCCAAGTGGATATTTGGCTAGTTTTGAGGATTTCGTTGGAAGCGGGAATTCATACAAATTGCAGACTGCAGCGTTCTGAGAAACATCTTTGTGATGTTTGTATTCAGGACACAGAGATGAACATTCCCTATCATAGAGCAGGTTGGAATCACTCCTTTTGTAGTATCTGGAAGTGGACATTTGGAGCGCTTTCAGGCCTATGTTGAAAAAGGAAATATCTTCCCATAACAACTAGACACAAGCATTCTCAGAAACTTGTTTGTGATGTGTGCCCTCTACTGACAGAGTTGAACCTTTCTTTTCATAGAGCAGTTTTGAAACACTCTTTTTGTAGAATCTGCAAGAGGATATTTGCATAGCTTTGAGGATTTCGTGGGAAACGGGATTGTCTTCAGGTAAAATCTAGACAGAAGCATTCTCAGAAACTTCTTTGGGATGTTTGCATTCAAGTCACAGAGTAGAACATTCCCTTTGGTAGAGCAGGTTTGAAAACCTCTTTTGGTAGTATCTGGAAGTGGACATTTGGAGCGCTATCAGGCCCATGTTGGAAAGGGAAATATCTTCCCGTAACAACTAGGCAGAAGCATTCTCAGAAACTTATTTGAGATGTGTGTACTCAATTAAGAGAATTGAACCACCGTTTTGAAGGAGCAGTTTTGAAACACTCTTTTTCTGGAATCTGCAAGAGTATATTTGCCTAGCCTTGAGGATTTCGTTGGAAACGGGATTGTCTTCAGATAAAATCTAGACAGAAGCATTCTCAGAAACTTCTTTGGGATGTTTGCATTCAAGTCACAGAGTAGAACATTCCCTTTGGTAGAGCAGGTTTGAAACACTCTTTTTGTAGTATCTGGAAGTGGACATTTGGAGCGCTTTCAGGCCCATGTTGGAAAGGGAAATATCTTCCCGTAACAACTAGGCAGAAGCGTTCTCAGAAACTTATTTGAGATGTGTGTACTCAAGTAAGAGAATTGAACCACCGTTTTGAAGGAGCAGTTTTGAAACACTCTTTTTCTGGAATCTGCAAGAGGATATTTGCCTAGCCTTGATGATTTCGTTGGAAACGGGATTGTCTTCAGATCAAATCTAGACAGAAGCATTCTCAGAAACTTCTTTGGGATGTTTGCATTCAAGTCACAGAGTAGAACATTCCCTTTGGTAGAGCAGGTTTGAAACAATCTTTTTGTAGTGTGTGTAAGTGGACATTTGGAGCGCTTTCAGGCCTACGTTGGAAAAGGAATTATCTTCCCATAACAACTAGACAGAAGCATTCTCAGAAACTAGTTTCTGATGTGTGTCCTCAACTAACACAGTTGAACTTTTCTTTAGACAGAACAGTTTTGAAACACTCTTTTTGTGGAATCTGCAAGTGGATATTTGGCTAGATTTGAGGATTTCGTTGGAAACGGGATTACATATAAAAAGCAGACTGCAGCATTCTCAGAAAGTTCTTTGTGGTGATTGCATTCAAGTCACAGAATTGAACATTCCCTTTCACAGAGCAGGTTTGAAACACTCTTTTTGTAGTGTGTGTAAGTGGACATTTGGAGCGCTTTCCGGCCTAAGGTGAAAAAGGAAATATCTTCCCATAAAAACTAGACAGAAGCATTCTCAGAAACTTACTCGTGATGTGTGTCCTCAACTAAAGGAGTAGAACCTTTCTATTCATAGAGAAGTTTTGAAAAGCTCTTTTTGTGGAATCTCCAAGTGGATATTTGGCTAGTTTTGAGGATTTCTTTGGAAGCGGGAATTCATACAAATTGCAGACTGCAGCGTTCTGAGAAACATCTTTGTGATGTTTGTATTCAGGACACAGAGATGAACATTCCCTATCATAGAGCAGGTTGGAATCACTCCTTTTGTAGTATCTGGAAGTGGACATTTGGAGCGCTTTCAGGCCTATGTTGAAAAAGGAAATATCTTCCCATAACAACTAGACACAAGCATTCTCAGAAACTTGTTTGTGATGTGTGCCCTCTACTGACAGAGTTGAACCTTTCTTTTCATAGAGCAGTTTTGAAACACTCTTTTTGTAGAATCTGCAAGAGGATATTTGCATAGCTTTGAGGATTTCGTGGGAAACGGGATTGTCTTCAGGTAAAATCTAGACAGAAGCATTCTCAGAAACTTCTTTGGGATGTTTACATTCAAGTCACAGAGTAGAACATTCCCTTTGGTAGAGCAGGTTTGAAACCCTCTTTTTGTAGTATCTGGAAGTGGACATTTGGAGCGCTTTCTGGCCCATGTTGCAAAAGGAAATATCTTCCCGTAACAACTAGGCAGAAGCATTCTCAGAAACTTATTTGAGATGTGTGTACTCAACTAAGAGAATTGAACCACCGTTTTGAAGGAGCAGTTTTGAAACCCTCTTTTTCTGGAATCTGCAAGAGTATATTTGCCTAGCCTTGAGGATTTCGTTGGAAACGGGATTGTCTTCAGATCAAATCTAGACAGAAGCATTCTCAGAAACTTCTTTGGGATGTTTGCATTCAAGTCACAGAGTAGAACATTCCCTTTGGTAGAGCAGGTTTGAAACACTCTTTTTTTAGTATATGGAAGTGGACATTTGGAGCACTTTCAGGCCTACGTTGGAAAAGGAAATATCTTCCCATAACAACTAGACAGAGAGCATTCTCAGAAACTAGTTTCTGATGTGTGTCCTCAACTAACACAGTTGAACTTTTCTTTAGACAGAACAGTTTTGAAACACTCTTTTTGTGGAATCTGCAAGTGGATGTTGGGCTAGATTTGAGGATTTCGTTGGAAACGGGATTACATATAAAAAGCAGACAGCAGCATTCTCAGAAAGTTCTTTGTGATGATTGCATTCAAGTCACAGAATTGAACATTCTCTTTAACAGAGCAGGTTTGAAACACTCTTTTTGTAGTGTGTGTAAGTGGACATTTGGAGCGCTTTCCGGCCTAAGGTGAAAAAGGACATATCTTCCCATAAAAACTAGACAGAAGCATTCTCAGAAACTTACTCGTGATGTGTGTCCTCAACTAAAGGAGTAGAACCTTTCTATTCATAGAGAAGTTTTGAAACGCTCTTTTTGTGGAATCTCCAAGTGGATATTTGGTTAGTTTTGAGGATTTCGTTGGAAGCGGGAATTCATACAAATTGCAGACTGCAGCGTTCTGAGAAACATCTTTGTGATGTTTGTATTCAGGACACAGAGATGAACATTCCCTATCATAGAGCAGGTTGGAATCACTCCTTTTGTAGTATCTGGAAGTGGACATTTGGAGCGCTTTCAGGCCTATGTTGAAAAAGGAAATATCTTCCCATAACAACTAGACACAAACATTCTCAGAAACTTGTTTGTGATGTGTGCCCTCTACTGACAGAGTTGAACCTTTCTTTTCATAGAGCAGTTTTGAAACACTCTTTTTGTAGAATCTGCAAGAGGATATTTGCATAGCTTTGAGGATTTCGTGGGAAACGGGATTGTCTTCAGGTAAAATCTAGACAGAAGCATTCTCAGAAACTTCTTTGGGATGTTTGCATTCAAGTCACAGAGTAGAACATTCCCTTTGGTAGAGCAGGTTTGAAACACTCTTTTTGTAGTATCTGGAAGTGGACATTTGGAGCGCTTTCAGGCCCATGTTGGAAAGGGAAATATCTTCCCGTAACAACTAGGCAGAAGCATTCTCAGAAACTTATTTGAGATGTGTGGACTCAACTAAGAGAATTGAACCACCGTTTTGAAGGAGCAGTTTTGAAACACTCTTTTTCTGGAATCTGCAAGAGTATATTTGCCTAGCCTTGAGGATTTCGTTGGAAACGGGATTGTCTTCAGATAAAATCTAGACAGAAGCATTCTCAGAAACTTCTTTGGGATGTTTGCATTCAAGTCACAGAGTAGAACATTCCCTTTGGTAGAGCAGGTTTGAAACACTCTTTTTTTAGTATATGGAAGTGGACATTTGGAGCGCTTTCAGGCCTACGTTGGAAAAGGAAATATCTTCCCATAACAACTAGACAGAAGCATTCTCAGAAACTAGTTTCTGATGTGTGTCCTCAACTAACACAGTTGAACTTTTCTTTAGACAGAACAGTTTTGAAACACTCTTTTTGTGGAATCTGCAAGTGGATATTGGGTTAGATTTGAGGATTTCGTTGGAAAGGGGATTACATATAAAAAGCAGACAGCAGCATTCTCAGAAAGTTGTTTGTGATGATTGCATTCAAGTCACAGAATTGAACATTCCCTTTCACAGAGCAGGTTTGAAACACTCTTTTTGTAGTGTGTGTAAGTGGACATTTGGAGCGCTTTCCGGCCTAAGGTGAAAAAGGACATATCTTCCCATAAAAACTAGACAGAAGCATTCTCAGAAACTTACTCGTGATGTGTGTCCTCAACTAAGGGAGTAGAACCTTTCTATTCATAGAGAAGTTTTGAAACGCTCTTTTTGTGGAATCTCCAAGTGGATATTTGCCTAGTTTTGAGGATTTCGTTGGAAGCGGGAATTCATACAAATTGCAGACTGCAGCATTCTCAGAAACTTGTTTATGCTGTATCTGCTCAACTAACAAAGTTGAACCTTTCTTTTGATAGAGCAGTTTTGAAATGCTCTTTTTGTGGAATCTGCAAGTGGATATTTGGCTAGTTTTGAGGATTTCGTTGGAAGCGGGAATTCATACAAATTGCAGACTGCAGCGTTCTGAGAAACATCTTTGTGATGTTTGTACTCAGGACACAGAGTTGAACATTCCCTATCATAGAGCAGGTTGGGATCACTCCTTTTGTAGTATCTGGAAGTGGACATTTGGAGCGCTTTCAGGCCTATGTTGAAAAAGGAAAAATCTTCCCATAACAACTAGACAGAAGCATTCTCAGAAACTTGTTGGTGATGTGTTTCCTCTACTGACAGAGTTGAACCTTTCTTTTCATAGAGCAGTTTCAAAACACTCTTTATGTAGAATCTGCAAGAGGATATTTGCATAGCTCTGAGGATTTCGTGGGAAACGGGATTGTCTTCAGGTAAAATCTAGACAGAAGCATTCTCAGAAACTTCTTCGGGATGTTTGCATTCAAGTCACAGAGTAGAACATTCCCTTTGGTAGAGCAGGTTTGAAACACTCTTTTTGTCGTATCTGGAAGTGGACATTTGTTGCGCTTTCAGGCCTATGTTGGAAAGGGAAATATCTTCCCGTAACAACTAGGCAGAAGCATTCTCAGAAACTTATTTGAGATGTGTGTACTCAACTAAGAGAATTGAACCACCGTTTTGAAGGAGCAGTTTGGAAACACTCTTTTTCTGGAATCTGCAAGAGGATATTTGCCTAGCTTTGAGGATTTCGTTGGAAAAGGGATTGTCTTCAGATCAAATCTAGACAGAAGCATTCTCAGAAACTTCTTTGGGATGTTTGCATTCAAGTCACAGAGTAGAACATTCCTTTGGTAGAGCAGGTTTGAAACACTCTTTTTTTAGTATATGGAAGTGGACATTTGGAGCGCTTTCAGGCCTACGTTGGAAAAGGAAATATCTTCCCATAACAACTAGACAGAAGCATTCTCAGAAACTAGTTTCTGATGTGTGTCCTCAATTAACACAGTTGAACATTTCTTTAGACAGAACAGTTTTGAAACACTCTTTTTGTGGAATCTGCAAGTGGATATTTGGCTAGATTTGAGGATTTCGTTGGAAACGGGATTACATATAAAAAGCAGACAGCAGCATTCTCAGAAACTTCTTTGTGATGATTGCATTCAAGTCACAGAATTGAACATTCCCTTTCACAGAGCAGGTTTGAAACACTCTTTTTGTAGTGTGTGTAAGTGGACATTTGGAGCGCTTTCCGGCCTAAGGTGAACAAGGAAATATCTTCCCATAAAAACTAGACAGAAGCATTCTCAGAAACTTACTCGTGATGTGTGTCCTCAACTAAAGGAGTAGAACCTTTCTTTTCATAGAGAAGTTTTGAAACGCTCTTTTTGTGGAATCTGCAAGTGGATATTTGGCTAGTTTGGAGGATTTCGTTGGAAGCGGGAATTCATACAAGATGCAGACTGCAGCGTTCTGAGAAACATCTTTGTGATGTTTGTATTCAGGACACAGAGTTGAACATTCCCTATCATAGAGCAGGTTTGAATCACTCCTTTTGTAGTATCTGGAAGTGGACATTTGGAGCGCTTTCAGGCCTATGTTGGAAAAGGAAATATCTTCCCATAACAACTAGACAGAAGCATTCCCAGAAACTTATTTGAGATGTGTGTACTCAACTAAGAGAATTGAACCACCGTTTTGAAGGAGCAGTTTGGAAACACTCTTTTTCTGGAATCTGCAAGTGGATATTTGGCTAGCTATGGGGATTTCGCTGGAAGCGGGAATACATATAAAAAGCACACAGCAGCGTTCTGAGAAACTGCTTTCTGATGTTTGCATTCAAGTCAAAAGTTGAACACTCCCTTTCATAGAGCAGTCTTGAAACACCCCTTTTGTAGTATCTGGAACTGGACATTTGGAGCGCTTTCAGGGCTAAGGTGAAAAAGGAAATATCTTCCCATAAAAACTGGACAGAAGCATTCTCAGAAACTTGTTTATGCTGTATCTGCTCAACTAACAAAGTTGAACCTTTCTTTTGATAGAGCAGTTTTGAAATGCTCTTTTTGTGGAATCTGCAAGTGGATATTTGGCTAGTTTTGAGGATTTCGTTGGAAGCGGGAATTCATACAAATTGCAGACTGCAGCGTTCTGAGAAACATCTTTGTGATGTTTGTATTCAGGACACAGAGTTGAACATTCCCTATCATAGAGCAGGTTGGGATCACTCCTTTTGTAGTATCTGGAAGTGGACATTTGGAGCGCTTTCAGGCCTATGTTGAAAAAGGAAAAATCTTCCCATAACAACTAGACAGAAGCATTCTCAGAAACTTGTTGGTGATGTGTTTCCTCTACTGACAGAAGTTGAACCTTTCTTTTCATAGAGCAGTTTCGAAACACTCTTTTTGTAGAATCTGCAAGAGGATATTTGCATAGCTCTGAGGATTTCGTGGGAAACGGGATTGTCTTCAGGTAAAACCTAGACAGAAGCATTCTCAGAAACTTCTTCGGGATGTTTGCATTCAAGTCACAGAGTAGAACATTCCCTTTGGTAGAGCAGGTTTGAAACACTCTTTTTGTCGTATCTGGAAGTGGACATTTGTTGCGCTTTCAGGCCTATGTTGGAAAGGGAAATATCTTCCCGTAACAACTAGGCAGAAGCATTCTCAGAAACTTATTTGAGATGTGTGTACTCAACTAAGAGAATTGAACCACCGTTTTGAAGGAGCAGTTTGGAAACACTCTTTTTCTGGAATCTGCAAGAGGATATTTGCCTAGCTTTGAGGATTTCGTTGGAAAAGGGATTGTCTTCAGATCAAATCTAGACAGAAGCATTCTCAGAAACTTCTTTGTGATGATTGCATTCAAGTCACAGAATTGAACATTCCCTTTCACAGAGCAGGTTGAAACACTCTTTTTGTAGTGTGTGTAAGTGGACATTTGGAGCGCTTTCAGGCCTACGTTGGAAAAGGAAATATCTTCCCATAACAACTAGACAGAAGCATTCTCAGAAACTAGTTTCTGATGTGTGTCCTCAACTAACACAGTTGAACATTTCTTTAGACAGAACAGTTTTGAAACACTCTTTTTGTGGAATCTGCAAGTGGATATTTGGCTAGATTTGAGGATTTCGTTGGAAACGGGATTACATATAAAAAGCAGACAGCAGCATTCTCAGAAACTTCTTTTTGATGATTGCATTCAAGTCACAGAATTGAACATTCCCTTTCACAGAGCAGGTTTGAAACACTCTTTTTGTAGTGTGTGTAAGTGGACATTTGGAGCGCTTTCCGGCCTAAGGTGAACAAGGAAATATCTTCCCATAAAAACTAGACAGAAGCATTCTCAGAAACTTACTCGTGATGTGTGTCCTCAACTAAAGGAGTAGAACCTTTCTTTTCATAGAGAAGTTTTGAAACGCTCTTTTTGTGGAATCTGCAAGTGGATATTTGGCTAGTTTGGAGGATTTCGCTGGAAGCGGGAATTCATACAAGATGCAGACTGCAGCGTTCTGAGAAACATCTTTGTGATGTTTGTATTCAGGACACAGAGTTGAACATTCCCTATCATAGAGCAGGTTTGAATCACTCCTTTTGTAGTATCTGGAAGTGGACATTTGGAGCGCTTTCAGGCCTATGTTGGAAAAGGAAATATCTTCCCATAACAACTAGACAGATAAGCATTCTCAGAAAACTTATTTGAGATGTGTGTACTCAACTAAGAGAATTGAACCACCGTTTTGAAGGAGCAGTTTTGAAACTCTCTTTTTCTGGAATCTGCAAGTGGATATTTGGCTAGCTTTGGGGATTTCGCTGGAAGCGGGAATACATATAAAAAGCACACAGCAGCGTTCTGAGAAACTGCTTTCTGATGTTTGCATTCAAGTCAAAAGTTGAACACTCCCTTTCATAGAGCAGTCTTGAAACACCCCTTTTGTAGTATCTGGAACTGGACTTTTGGAGCGATTTCAGGGCTAAGGTGAAAAAGGAAATATCTTCCCATAAAAACTGGACAGAAGCATTCTCAGAAACTTGTTTATGCTGTATCTACTCAACTAACAAAGTTGAACCTTTCTTTTGATAGAGCAGTTTTGAAATGGTCTTTTTGTGGAATCTGCAAGTGGATATTTGGCTAGTTTTGAGGATTTCGTTGGAAGCGGGAATTCATACAAATTGCAGACTGCAGCGTTCTGAGAAACATCTTTGTGATGTTTGTATTCAGGACACAGAGTTGAACATTCCCTATCATAGAGCAGGTTGGAATCACTCCTTTTGTAGTATCTGGAAGTGGACATTTGGAGCGCTTTCAGGCCTATTTTGGAAAGGGAAATATCTTCCCGTAACAACTATGCAGAAGCATTCTCAGAAACTTGTTTGTGATGTGTGCCCTCTACTGACAGAGTTGAACCTTTCTTTTCATAGAGCAGTTTTGAAACACTCTTTTTGTAGAATCTGCAAGAGGATATTTGCATAGCTTTGAGGATTTCGTGGGAAACGGGATTGTCTTCAGGTAAAATCTAGACAGAAGCATTCTCAGAAACTTCTTTGGGATGTTTGCATTCAAGTCACAGAGTAGAACATTCCCTTTGGTAGAGCAGGTTTGAAACACTCTTTTTGTAGTATCTGGAAGTGGACATTTGGAGCGCTTTCAGGCCTATGTTGGAAAGGGAAATATCTTCCCGTAACAACTAGGCAGAAGCATTCTCAGAAACTTATTTGAGATGTGTGTACTCAACTAAGAGAATTGAACCACGGTTTTGAAGGAGCAGTTTTGAAACACTCTTTTTCTGGAATCTGCAAGAGGATATTTGCCTAGCCTTGAGGATTTCGTTGGAAACGGGATTGTCTTCAGATCAAATCTGGACAGAAGCATTCTCAGAAACTTCTTTGGGATGTTTGCATTCAAGTCACAGAGTAGAACATTCCCTTTGGTAGAGCAGGTTTGAAACACTCTTTTTTTAGTATATGGAAGTGGACATTTGGAGCGCTTTCAGGCCTACTTTGGAAAAGGAAATATCTTCCCATAACAACTAGACAGAAGCATTCTCAGAAACTAGTTTCTGATGTGTGTCCTCAACTAACACAGTTGAACATTTCTTTAGACAGAACAGTTTTGAAACACTCTTTTTGTGGAATCTGCAAGTGGCTATTTGGCTAGATTTGAGGATTTCGTTGGAAACGGGATTACATATAAAAAGCAGACAGCAGCATTCTCAGAAAGTTCTTTGTGATGATTGCATTCAAGTCACAGAATTGAACATTCCCTTTCACAGAGCAGGTTTGAAACACTCTTTTTGTAGTGTGTGTAAGTGGACATTTGGAGCACTTTCCGGCCTAAGGTGAAAAAGGAAATATCTTCCCTTAAAAACTAGACAGAAGCATTCTCAGAAACTTACTCGTGATGTGTGTCCTCAACTAAAGGAGTAGAACCTTTCTTTTCATAGAGAAGTTTTGAAACGCTCTTTTTGTGGAATCTGCAAGTGGATATTTGGCTAGTTTTGAGGATTTCGTTGGAAGCGGGAATTCATACAAATTGCAGACTGCAGCGTTCTGAGAAACATCTTTGTGATGTTTGTATTCAGGACAGAGAGTTGAACATTCCCTATCATAGACCAGGTTGGAATCCCTCCTTTTGTAGTATCTGGAAGTGGACATTTGGAGCGCTTTCAGGCCTATGTTGGAAAAGGAAATATCTTCCCATAACAACTAGACACAAGCATTCTCAGAAACTTGTTTGTGATGTGTGCCCTCTACTGACAGAGTTGAACCTTTCTTTTCATAGAGCAGTTTTGAAACACTCTTTTTGTAGAATCTGCAAGAGGATATTTGCATAGCTTTGAGGATTTCATGGGAAACGGGATTGTCTTCAGGAAAAATCTAGACAGAAGCATTCTCAGAAACTTCTTTGGGATGTTTACATTCAAGTCACAGAATAGAACATTCCCTTTGGTAGAGCAGGTTTCAAACACTCTTTTTGTAGTATCTGGAAGTGGACATTTGGAGCGCTTTCAGGCCTATGTTGGAAAGGGAAATATCTTCCCGTAACAACTAGGCAGAAGCATTCTCAGAAACTTATTTGAGATGTGTGTACTCAACTAAGAGAATTGAACCACCGTTTTGAAGGACCAGTTTTGAAACACACTTTTTCTGGAATCTGCTAGAGGATATTTGCCTAGCTTTGAGGATTTCGTTGGAAACGGGATTGTCTTCAGATAAAATCTAGACAGAAGCATTCTCAGAAACTTCTTTGGGATGTTTGCATTCAAGTCACAGAGTAGAACATTCCCTTTGGTAGAGCAGGTTTGAAACACTCTTTTTGTAGTATCTGGAAGTGGACATTTGGAGCGCTTTCAGGCCTATGTTGGAAAGGGAAATATCTTCCCGTAACAACTAGGCAGAAGCATTCTCAGAAACTTATTTGAGATGTGTGTACTCAACTAAGAGAATTGAACCACCCTTTTGAAGGAGCAGTTTTGAAACACTCTTTTTCTGGAATCTGCAAGAGGATATTTGCCTAGCCTTGAGGATTTCGTTGGAAACGGGATTGTCTTCAGATCAAATCTAGACAGAAGCATTCTCAGAAACTTCTTTGGGATGTTTGCATTCAAGTCACAGAGTAGAACATTCCCTTTGGTAGAGCAGGTTTGAAACACTCTTTTTTTAGTATATGGAAGTGGACATTTGGATCGCTTTCAGGCCTACGTTGGAAAAGGAAATATCTTCCCATAACAACTAGACAGAAGCATTCTCAGAAACTAGTTTCTGATGTGTGTCCTCAACTAACACAGTTGAACATTTCTTTAGACAGAACAGTTTTGAAACACTCTTTTTGTGGAATCTGCAAGTGGCTATTTGGCTAGATTTGAGGATTTCGTTGGAAACGGGATTACATATAAAAAGCAGTCAGCAGCATTCTCAGAAAGTTCTTTGTGATGATTGCATTCAAGTCACAGAATTGAACATTCCCTTTCACAGAGCAGGTTTGAAACACTCTTTTTGTAGTGTGTGTAAGTGGACATTTGGAGCACTTACCGGCCTAAGGTGAAAAAGGAAATATCTTCCCATAAAAACTAGACAGAAGCATTCTCAGAAACTTACTCGTGATGTGTGTCCTCAACTAAAGGAGTAGAACCTTTCTTTTCATAGAGAAGTTTTGAAACGCTCTTTTTGTGGAATCTGCAAGTGGATATTTGGCTAGTTTTGAGGATTTCGTTGGAAGCGGGAATTCATACAAATTGCAGACTGCAGCGTTCTGAGAAACATCTTTGTGATGTTTGTATTCAGGACACAGAGTTGAACATTCCCTATCATAGAGCAGGTTGGAATCACTCCTTTTGTAGTATCTGGAAGTGGACATTTGGAGCGCTTTCAGGCCTATGTTGGAAAAGGAAATATCTTCCCATAACAACTAGACAGAAGCATTCTCAGAAACTTATTTGAGATGTGTGTACTCAACTAAGAGAATTGAACCACCGTTTTGAAGGAGCAGTTTTGAAACACTCTTTTTCTGGAATCTGCAAGTGGATATTTGGCTAGCTTTGGGGATTTCGCTGGAAGCGGGAATACATATAAAAAGCACACAGCAGCGTTCTGAGAAACTGCTTTCTGATGTTTGCATTCAAGTCAAAAGTTGAACACTCCCTTTCACAGAGCAGTCCTGAAACACTCCTTTTGTAGTATCTGGAACTGGACTTTTGGAGCGCTTTCAGGGCTAAGGTGAAAAAGGAAATATCTTCCCATAAAAACTGGACAGAAGCATTCTCAGAAACTTGTTTATGCTATATCTACTCAACTAACAAAGTTGAACCTTTCTTTTGATAGAGCAGTTTGAAATGCTCTTTTTGTGGAATCTGCAAGTGGATATTTGGCTAGGTTTGAGGATTTCGTTGGAAGCGGGAATTCATACAAATTGCAGACTGCAGCGTTCTGAGAAACATCTTTGTGATGTTTGTATTCAGGACACAGAGTTGAACATTCCCTATCATAGAGCAGGTTGGAATCACTCCTTTTGTAGTATCTGGAAGTGGACATTTGGAGCGCTTTCAGGCCTATTTTGGAAAGGGAAATATCTTCCCGTAACAACTATGCAGAAGCATTCTCAGAAACTTGTTTGTGATGTGTGCCCTCTACTGACAGAGTTGAACCTTTCTTTTCATAGAGCAGTTTTGAAACACTCTTTTTGTAGAATCTGCAAGAGGATATTTGCATAGCTTTGAGGATTTCGTGGGAAACGGGATTGTCTTCAGGTAAAATCTAGACAGAAGCATTCTCAGAAACTTCTTTGGGATGTTTGCATTCAAGTCACAGAGTAGAACATTCCCTTTGGTAGAGCAGGTTTGAAACACTCTTTTTGTAGTATCTGGAAGTGGACATTTGGAGCGCTTTCAGGCCTATGTTGGAAAGGGAAATATCTTCCCGTAACAACTAGGCAGAAGCATTCTCAGAAACTTATTTGAGATGTGTGTACTCAACTAAGAGAATTGAACCACCGTTTTGAAGGAGCAGTTTTGAAACACTCTTTTTCTGGAATCTGCAAGAGGATATTTGCCTAGCCTTGAGGATTTCGTTGGAAACGGGATTGTCTTCAGATCAAATCTAGTCAGAAGCATTCTCAGAAACTTCTTTGGGATGTTTGCATTCAAGTCACAGAGTAGAACATTCCCTTTGGTAGAGCAGGTTTGAAACACTCTTTTTTTAGTATATGGAAGTGGACATTTGGAGCGCTTTCAGGCCTACGTTGGAAAAGGAAATATCTTCCCATAACAACTAGACAGAAGCATTCTCAGAAACTAGTTTCTGATGTGTGTCCTCAACTAACACAGTTGAACATTTCTTTAGACAGAACAGTTTTGAAACACTCTTTTTGTGGAATCTGCAAGGGGCTATTTGGCTAGATTTGAGGATTTCGTTGGAAACGGGATTACATATAAAAAGCAGTCAGCAGCATTCTCAGAAAGTTCTTTGTGATGATTGCATTCAAGTCACAGAATTGAACATTCCCTTTCACAGAGCAGGTTTGAAACACTCTTTTTGTAGTGTGTGTAAGTGGACATTTGGAGCGCTTTCCGGCCTAAGGTGAAAAAGGAAATATCTTCCCATAAAAACTAGACAGAAGCATTCTCAGAAACTTACTCGTGATGTGTGTCCTCAACTAAAGGAGTAGAACCTTTCTATTCATAGAGAAGTTTTGAAACGCTCTTTTTGTGGAATCTCCAAGTCGATATTTGGCTAGTTTTGAGGATTTCGTTGGAAGCGGGAATTCATCCAAATTGCAGACTGCAGCGTTCTGAGAAACATCTTTGTGATGTTTGTATTCAGGACACAGAGATGAACATTCCCTATCATAGAGCAGGTTGGAATCACTCCTTTTGTAGTATCTGGAAGTGGACATTTGGAGCGCTTTCAGGCCTATGTTGAAAAAGGAAATATTTTCCCATAACAACTAGACACAAGCATTCTCAGAAACTTGTTTGTGATGTGTGCCCTCTACTGACAGAGTTGAACCTTTCTTTTCATAGAGCAGTTTTGAAACACTCTTTTTGTAGAATCCGCAAGAGGATATTTGCATAGCTTTGAGGATTTCGTGGGAAACGGGATTGTCTTCAGGTAAAATCTAGACAGAAGCATTCTCAGAAACTTCTTTGGGATGTTTGCATTGAAGTCACAGAGTAGAACATTCCCTTTGGTAGAGCAGGTTTGAAACACTCTTTTTGTAGTATCTGGAAGTGGACATTTGGAGCGCTTTCAGGCCCATGTTGGAAAGGGAAATATCTTCCCGTAACAACTAGGCAGAAGCATTCTCAGAAACTTATTTGAGATGTGTGTACTCAACTAAGAGAATTGAACCACCGTTTTGAAGGAGCAGTTTTGAAACACTCTTTTTCTGGAATCTGCAAGAGTATATTTGCCTAGCCTTGAGGATTTCGTTGGAAACGGGATTGTCTTCAGAGAAAATCTAGACAGAAGCATTCTCAGAAACTTCTTTGGGATGTTTGCATTCAAGTCACAGAGTAGAACATTCCCTTTGGTAGAGCAGGTTTGAAACACTCTTTTTTTAGTATATGGAAGTGGACATTTGGAGCGCTTTCAGGCCTACGTTGGAAAAGGAAATATCTTCCCATAACAACTAGACAGAAGCATTCTCAGAAACTAGTTTCTGATGTGTGTCCTCAACTAACACAGTTGAACATTTCTTTAGACAGAACAGTTTTGAAACACTCTTTTTGTGGAATCTGCAAGTGGCTATTTGGCTAGATTTGAGGATTTCGTTGGAAACGGGATTACATATAAAAAGCAGTCAGCAGCATTCTCAGAAAGTTCTTTGTGATGATTGCATTCAAGTCACAGAATTGAACATTCCCTTTCACAGAGCAGGTTTGAAACACTCTTTTTGTAGTGTGTGTAAGTGGACATTTGGAGCACTTACCGGCCTAAGGTGAAAAAGGAAATATCTTCCCATAAAAACTAGACAGAAGCATTCTCAGAAACTTACTCGTGATGTGTGTCCTCAACTAAAGGAGTAGAACCTTTCTTTTCATAGAGAAGTTTTGAAACGCTCTTTTTGTGGAATCTGCAAGTGGATATTTGGCTAGTTTTGAGGATTTCGTTGGAAGCGGGAATTCATACAAATTGCAGACTGCAGCGTTCTGAGAAACATCTTTGTGATGTTTGTATTCAGGACACAGAGTTGAACATTCCCTATCATAGAGCAGGTTGGAATCACTCCTTTTGTAGTATCTGGAAGTGGACATTTGGAGCGCTTCAGGCCTATGTTGGAAAAGGAAATATCTTCCCATAACAACTAGACAGAAGCATTCTCAGAAACTTATTTGAGATGTGTGTACTCAACTAAGAGAATTGAACCACCGTTTTGAAGGAGCAGTTTTGAAACTCTCTTTTTCTGGAATCTGCAAGTGGATATTTGGCTAGCTTTGGGGATTTCGCTGGAAGCGGGAATACATATAAAAAGCACACAGCAGCGTTCTGAGAAACTGCTTTCTGATGTTTGCATTCAAGTCAAAAGTTGAACACTCCCTTTCATAGAGCAGTCTTGAAACACCCGTTTTGTAGTATCTGGAACTGGACTTTTGGAGCGATTTCAGGGCTAAGGTGAAAAAGGAAATATCTTCCCATAAAAACTGGACAGAAGCATTCTCAGAAACTTGTTTATGCTGTATCTACTCAACTAACAAAGTTGAACCTTTCTTTTGATAGAGCAGTTTTGAAATGGTCTTTTTGTGGAATCTGCAAGTGGATATTTGGCTAGTTTTGAGGATTTCGTTGGAAGCGGGAATTCATACAAATTGCAGACTGCAGCGTTCTGAGAAACATCTTTGTGATGTTTGTATTCAGGACACAGAGTTGAACATTCCCTATCATAGAGCAGGTTGGAATCACTCCTTTTGTAGTATCTGGAAGTGGACATTTGGAGCGCTTTCAGGCCTATTTTGGAAAGGGAAATATCTTCCCGTAACAACTATGCAGAAGCATTCTCAGAAACTTGTTTGTGATGTGTGCCCTCTACTGACAGAGTTGAACCTTTCTTTTCATAGAGCAGTTTTGAAACACTCTTTTTGTAGAATCTGCAAGAGGATATTTGCATAGCTTTGAGGATTTCGTGGGAAACGGGATTGTCTTCAGGTAAAATCTAGACAGAAGCGTTCTCAGAAACTTCTTTGGGATGTTTGCATTCAAGTCACAGAGTAGAACATTCCCTTTGGTAGAGCAGGTTTGAAACACTCTTTTTGTAGTATCTGGAAGTGGACATTTGGAGCGCTTTCAGGCCCATGTTGGAAAGGGAAATATCTTCCCGTAACAACTAGGCAGAAGCATTCTCAGAAACTTATTTGAGATGTGTGTACTCAACTAAGAGAATTGAACCACCGTTTTGAAGGCGCAGTTTTGAAACACTCTTTTTCTGGAATCTGCAAGAGTATATTTGCCTAGCCTTGAGGATTTCGTTGGAAACGGGATTGTCTTCAGAGAAAATCTAGACAGAAGCATTCTCAGAAACTTCTTTGGGATGTTTGCATTCAAGTCACAGAGTAGAACATTCCCTTTGGTAGAGCAGGTTTGAAACACTCTTTTTTTAGTATATGGAAGTGGACATTTGGAGCGCTTTCAGGCCTACGTTGGAAAAGGAAATATCTTCCCATAACAACTAGACAGAAGCATTCTCAGAAACTAGTTTCTGATGTGTGTCCTCAACTAACACAGTTGAACATTTCTTTAGACAGAACAGTTTTGAAACACTCTTTTTGTGGAATCTGCAAGTGGCTATTTGGCTAGATTTGAGGATTTCGTTGGAAACGGGATTACATATAAAAAGCAGTCAGCAGCATTCTCAGAAAGTTTTTTGTGATGATTGCATTCAAGTCACAGAATTGAACATTCCCTTTCATAGAGCAGGTTTGAAACACTCTTTTTGTAGTGTGTGTAAGTGGACATTTGGAGCGCTTTCCGGCCTAAGGTGAAAAAGGACATATCTTCCCATAAAAACTAGACAGAAGCATTCACAGAAACTTACTCGTGATGTGTGTCCTCAACTAAAGGAGTAGAACCTTTCTATTCATAGAGAAGTTTTCAAACGCTCTTTTTGTGGAATCTCCAAGTGGATATTTGGCTAGTTTTGAGGATTTCGTTGGAAGCGGGAATTCATACAAATTGCAGACTGCAGCGTTCTGAGAAACATCTTTGTGATGTTTGTATTCAGGACACAGAGATGAACATTCCCTATCATAGAGCAGGTTGGAATCACTCCTTTTGTAGTATCTGGAAGTGGACATTTGGAGCGCTTTCAGGCCCTATGTTGAAAAAGGAAATATCTTCCCATAACAACTAGACACAAGTATTCTCAGAAACTTGTTTGTGATGTGTGCCCTCTACTGACAGAGTTGAACCTTTCTTTTCATAGAGCAGTTTTGAAACACTCTTTTTGTAGAATCTGCAAGAGGATATTTGCATAGCTTTGAGGATTTCGTGGGAAACGGGATTGTCTTCAGGTAAAATCTAGACAGAAGCATTCTCAGAAACTTCTTTGGGATGTTTGCATTCAAGTCACAGAGTAGAACATTCCCTTTGGTAGAGCAGGTTTCAAACACTCTTTTTGTAGTATCTGGAAGTGGACATTTGAAGCGCTTTCAGGCCTATGTTGGAAAGGGAAATATCTTCCCGTAACAACTAGGCAGAAGCATTCTCAGAAACTTATTTGAGATGTGTGTACTCAACTAAGAGAATTGAACCACCGTTTTGAAGGCGCAGTTTTGAAACACTCTTTTTCTGGAATCTGCAAGAGTATATTTGCCTAGCCTTGAGGATTTCGTTGGAAACGGGATTGTCTTCAGATAAAATCTAGACAGAAGCATTCTCAGAAACTTCTTTGGGATGTTTGCATTCAAGTCACAGAGTAGAACATTCCCTTTGGTAGAGCAGGTTTGAAACACTCTTTTTTTAGTATATGGAAGTGGACATTTGGAGCGCTTTCAGGCCTACGTTGGAAAAGGAAATATCTTCCCATAACAACTAGACAGAAGCATTCTCAGAAACTAGTTTCTGATGTGTGTCCTCAACTAACACAGTTGAACTTTTCTTTAGACAGAACAGTTTTGAAACACTCTTTTTGTGGAATCTGCAAGTGGATACTGGGCTAGATTTGAGGATTTCGTTGGAAACGGGATTACATATAAAAAGCAGTCAGCAGCATTCTCAGAAAGTTCTTTGTGATGATTGCATTCAAGTCACAGAATTGAACATTCCCTTTCACAGAGCAGGTTTGAAACACTCTTTTTGTAGTGTGTGTAAGTGGACATTTGGAGCGCTTTCCGGCCTAAGGTGAAAAAGGACATATCTTCCCATAAAAACTAGAGAGAAGCATTCTCAGAAACTTACTCGTGATGTGTGTCCTCAACTAAAGGAGTAGAACCTTTCTATTCATAGAGAAGTTTTGAAACGCTCTTTTTGTGGAATCTCCAAGTGGATATTTGGCTAGTTTTGAGGATTTCGTTGGAAGCGGGAATTCATACAAATTGCAGACTGCAGCGTTCTGAGAAACATCTTTGTGATGTTTGTATTCAGGACACAGAGATGAACATTCCCTATCATAGAGCAGGTTGGAATCACTCCTTTTGTAGTATCTGGAAGTGGACATTTGGAGCGCTTTCAGGCCTATGTTGAAAAAGGAAATATCTTCCCATAACAACTAGACACAAGCATTCTCAGAAACTTGTTTGTGATGTGTGCCCTCTACTGACAGAGTTGAACCTTTCTTTTCATAGAGCAGTTTTGAAACACTCTTTTTGTAGAATCTGCAAGAGGATATTTGCATAGCTTTGAGGATTTCGTGGGAAACGGGATTGTCTTCAGGTAAAATCTAGACAGAAGCATTCTCAGAAACTTCTTTGGGATGTTTGCATTCAAGTCACAGAGTAGAACATTCCCTTTGGTAGAGCAGGTTTGAAACACTCTTTTTGTAGTATCTGGAAGTGGACATTTGGAGCGCTTTCAGGCCCATGTTGGAAAGGGAAATATCTTCCCGTAACAACTAGGCAGAAGCATTCTCAGAAACTTATTTGAGATGTGTGTACTCAACTAAGAGAATTGAACCACCGTTTTGAAGGAGCAGTTTTGAAACACTCTTTTTCTGGAATCTGCAAGAGTATATTTGCCTAGCCTTGAGGATTTCGTTGGAAACGGGATTGTCTTCAGATAAAATCTAGACAGAAGCATTCTCAGAAACTTCTTTGGGATGTTTGCATTCAAGTCACAGAGTAGAACATTCCCTTTGGTAGAGCAGGTTTGAAACACTCTTTTTTTAGTATATGGAAGTGGACATTTGGAGCGCTTTCAGGCCTACGTTGGAAAAGGAAATATCTTCCCATAACAACTAGACAGAAGCATTCTCAGAAACTAGTTTCTGATGTGTGTCCTCAACTAACACAGTTGTACATTTCTTTAGACAGAACAGTTTTGAAACACTCTTTTTGTGGAATCTGCAAGTGGATATTGGGCTAGATTTGAGGATTTCGTTGGAAACGGGATTACATATAAAAAGCAGTCAGCAGCATTCTCAGAAAGTTCTTTGTGATGATTGCATTCAAGTCACAGAATTGAACATTCCCTTTCACAGAGCAGGTTTGAAACACTCTTTTTGTAGTGTGTGTAAGTGGACATTTGGAGCGCTTTCCGGCCTAAGGTGAAAAAGGACATATCTTCCCATAAAAACTAGACAGAAGCATTCTCAGAAACTTACTCGTGATGTGTGTCCTCAACTAAAGGAGTAGAACCTTTCTATTCATAGAGAAGTTTTGAAACGCTCTTTTTGTGGAATCTCCAAGTGGATATTTGGCTAGTTTTGAGGATTTCGTTGGAAGCGGGAATTCATACAAATTGCAGACTGCAGCGTTCTGAGAAACATCTTTGTGATGTTTGTATTCAGGACACAGAGATGAACATTCCCTATCATAGAGCAGGTTGGAATCACTCCTTTTGTAGTATCTGGAAGTGGACATTTGGAGCGCTTTCAGGCCTATGTTGAAAAAGGAAATATCTTCCCATAACAACTAGACACAAGCGTTCTCAGAAACTTGTTTGTGATGTGTGCCCTCCACTGACAGAGTTGAACCTTTCTTTTCATAGAGCAGTTTTGAAACACTCTTTTTGTAGAATCTGCAAGAGGATATTTGCATAGCTTTGAGGATTTCGTGGGAAACGGGATTGTCTTCAGGTAAAATCTAGACAGAAGCATTCTCAGAAACTTCTTTGGGATGTTTGCATTCAAGTCACAGAGTAGAACATTCCCTTTGGTAGAGCAGGTTTGAAACACTCTTTTTGTAGTATCTGGAAGTGGACATTTGGAGCGCTTTCAGGCCTATGTTGGAAAGGGAAATATCTTCCCGTAACAACTAGGCAGAAGCATTCTCAGAAACTTATTTGAGATGTGTGTACTCAACTAAGAGAATTGAATCACCGTTTTGAAGGAGCAGTTTTGAAACACTCTTTTTCTGGAATCTGCAAGAGGATATTTGCCTAGCCTTGAGGATTTCGTTGGAAACGGGATTGTCTTCAGATCAAATCTAGACAGAAGCATTCTCAGAAACTTCTTTGGGATGTTTGCATTCAAGTCACGGAGTAGAACATTCCCTTTGGTAGAGCAGGTTTGAAACACTCTTTTTTTAGTATATGGAAGTGGACATTTGGAGCGCTTTCAGGCCTACGTTGGAAAAGGAAATATCTTCCCATAACAACTAGACAGAAGCATTCTCAGAAACTAGTTTCTGATATGTGTCCTCAACTAACACAGTTGAACATTTCTTTAGACAGAACAGTTTTGAAACACTCTTTTTGTGGAATCTGCAAGTGGCTATTTGGCTAGATTTGAGGATTTCGTTGGAAACGGGATTACATATAAAAAGCAGACAGCAGCATTCTCAGAAAGTTCTTTGTGATGATTGCATTCAAGTCACAGAATTGAACATTCCCTTTCACAGAGCAGGTTTGAAACACTCTTTTTGTAGTGTGTGTAAGTGGACATTTGGAGCACTTTCCGGCCTAAGGTGAAAAAGGAAATATCTTCCCATAAAAACTAGACAGAAGCATTCTCAGAAACTTACTCGTGATGTGTGTCCTCAACTAAAGGAGTAGAACCTTTCTTTTCATAGAGAAGTTTTGAAACGCTCTTTTTGTGGAATCTGCAAGTGGATATTTGGCTAGTTTGGAGGATTTCGTTGGAAGCGGGAATTCATACAAATTGCAGACTGCAGCGTTCTGAGAAACATCTTTGTGATGTTTGTATTCAGGACACAGAGTTGAACATTCCCTATCATAGAGCAGGTTGGAATCACTCCTTTTGTAGTATCTGGAAGTGGACATTTGGAGTGCTTTCAGGCCTATGTTGGAAAAGGAAATATCTTCCCATAACAACTAGACAGAAGCATTCTCAGAAACTTATTTGAGATGTGTGTACTCAACTAAGAGAATTGAACCACCGTTTTGAAGGAGCAGTTTTGAAACACTCTTTTTCTGGAATCTGCAAGTGGATATTTGGCTAGCTTTGGGGATTTCGCTGGAAGCGGGAATACATATAAAAAGCACACAGCAGCGTTCTGAGAAACTGCTTTCTGATGTTTGCATTCAAGTCAAAAGTTGAACACTCCCTTTCATAGAGCAGTCTTGAAACACTCCTTTTGTAGTATCTGGAACTGGACTTTTGGAGCGATTTCAGGGCTAAGGTGAAAAAGGAAATATCTTCCCATAAAAACTGGACAGAAGCATTCTCAGAAACTTGTTTATGCTGTATCTACTCAGCTAACAAAGTTGAACTTTCTTTTGATAGAGCAGTTTTGAAATGGTCTTTTTGTGGAATCTGCAAGTGGATATTTGGCTAGTTTTGAGGATTTCGTTGGAAGCGGGAATTCATACAAATTGCAGACTGCAGCGTTCTGAGAAACATCTTTGTGATGTTTGTATTCAGGACACAGAGTTGAACATTCCCTATCATAGAGCAGGTTGGAATCACTCCTTTTGTAGTATCTGGAAGTGGACATTTGGAGCGCTTTCAGGCCTATTTTGGAAAGGGAAATATCTTCCCGTAACAACTATGCAGAAGCATTCTCAGAAACTTGTTTGTGATGTGTGCCCTCTACTGACAGAGTTGAACCTTTCTTTTCATAGAGCAGTTTTGAAACACTCTTTTTGTAGAATCTGCAAGAGGATATTTGCATAGCTTTGAGGATTTCGTGGGAAACGGGATTGTCTTCAGGTAAAATCTAGACAGAAGCATTCTCAGAAACTTCTTTGGGATGTTTGCATTCAAGTCACAGAGTAGAACATTCCCTTTGGTAGAGCAGGTTTGAAACACTCTTTTTGTAGTATCTGGAAGTGGACATTTGGAGCGCTTTCAGGCCCATGTTGGAAAGGGAAATATCTTCCCGTAACAACTAGGCAGAAGCATTCTCAGAAACTTATTTGAGATGTGTGTACTCAACTAAGAGAATTGAACCACCGTTTTGAAGGAGCAGTTTTGAAACACTCTTTTTCTGGAATCTGCAAGAGTATATTTGCCTAGCCTTGAGGATTTCGTTGGAAACGGGATTGTCTTCAGAGAAAATCTAGACAGAAGCATTCTCAGAAACTTCTTTGGGATGTTTGCATTCAAGTCACAGAGTAGAACATTCCCTTTGGTAGAGCAGGTTTGAAACACTCTTTTTTTAGTATATGGAAGTGGACATTTGGAGCGCTTTCAGGCCTACGTTGGAAAAGGAAATATCTTCCCATAACAACTAGACAGAAGCATTCTCAGAAACTAGTTTCTGATGTGTGTCCTCAACTAACACAGTTGAACATTTCTTTAGACAGAACAGTTTTGAAACACTCTTTTTGTGGAATCTGCAAGTGGCTATTTGGCTAGATTTGAGGATTTCGTTGGAAACGGGATTACATATAAAAAGCAGTCAGCAGCATTCTCAGAAAGTTCTTTGTGATGATTGCATTCAAGTCACAGAATTGAACATTCCCTTTCACAGAGCAGGTTTGAAACACTCTTTTTGTAGTGTGTGTAAGTGGACATTTGGAGCACTTACCGGCCTAAGGTGAAAAAGGAAATATCTTCCCATAAAAACTAGACAGAAGCATTCTCAGAAACTTACTCGTGATGTGTGTCCTCAACTAAAGGAGTAGAACCTTTCTTTTCATAGAGAAGTTTTGAAGCGCTCTTTTTGTGGAATCTGCAAGTGGATATTTGGCTAGTTTTGAGGATTCGTTGGAAGCGGGAATTCATACAAATTGCAGACTGCAGCGTTCTGAGAAACATATTTGTGATGTTTGTATTCAGGACACAGAGTTGAACATTCCCTTTCATAGAGCAGGTTTGAATCACTCCTTTTGTAGTATCTGGAAATGGACATTTGGAGCGCTTTCAGGCCTATGTTGGAAAAGGAAATATCTTCCCATAACAACTAGACAGAAGCATTCTCAGAAACTTATTTGAGATGTGTGTACTCAACTAAGAGAATTGAACCACCGTTTTGAAGGAGCTGTTTTGAAACACTCTTTTTCTGGAATCTGCAAGTGGATATTTGGCTAGCTTTGGGGATTTCGCTGGAAGCGGGAATACATATAAAAAGCACACAGCAGCGTTCTGAGAAACTGCTTTCTGATGTTTGCATTCAAGTCAAAAGTTGAACACTCCCTTTCATAGAGCAGTCTTGAAACACCCCTTTTGTAGTATCTGGAACTGGACTTTTGGAGCGATTTCAGGGCTAAGGTGAAAAAGGAAATATCTTCCCATAAAAACTGGACAGAAGCATTCTCAGAAACTTGTTTATGCTGTATCTACTCAACTAACAAAGTTGAACCTTTCTTTTGATAGAGCAGTTTTGAAATGGTCTTTTTGTGGAATCTGCAAGTGGATATTTGGCTAGTTTTGAGGATTTCGTTGGAAGCGGGAATTCATACAAATTGCAGACTGCAGCGTTCTGAGAAACATCTTTGTGATGTTTGTATTCAGGACACAGAGTTGAACATTCCCTATCATAGAGCAGGTTGGAATCACTCCTTTTGTAGTATCTGGAAGTGGACATTTGGAGCGCTTTCAGGCCCATGTTGGAAAGGGAAATATCTTCCCGTAACAACTAGGCAGAAGCATTCTCAGAAACTTATTTGAGATGTGTGTACTCAACTAAGAGAATTGAACCACCGTTTTGAAGGAGCAGTTTTGAAACTCTCTTTTTCTGGAATCTGCAAGTGGATATTTGGCTAGCTTTGGGGATTTCGCTGGAAGCGGGAATACATATAAAAAGCACACAGCAGCGTTCTGAGAAACTGCTTTCTGATGTTTGCATTCAAGTCAAAAGTTGAACACTCCCTTTCATAGAGCAGTCTTGAAACACCCCTTTTGTAGTATCTGGAACTGGACTTTTGGAGCGATTTCAGGGCTAAGGTGAAAAAGGAAATATCTTCCCATAAAAACTGGACAGAAGCATTCTCAGAAACTTGGTTATGCTGTATCTACTCAACTAACAAAGTTGAACCTTTCTTTTGATAGAGCAGTTTTGAAATGGTCTTTTTGTGGAATCTGCAAGTGGATATTTGGCTAGTTTTGAGAATTTCGTTGGAAGCGGGAATTCATACAAATTGCAGACTGCAGCGTTCTGAGAAACATCTTTGTGATGTTTGTATTCAGGACACAGAGTTGAACATTCCCTATCATAGAGCAGGTTGGAATCACTCCTTTTGTAGTATCTGGAAGTGGACATTTGGAGCGCTTTCAGGCCTATTTTGGAAAGGGAAATATCTTCCCGTAACAACTATGCAGAAGCATTCTCAGAAACTTGTTTGTGATGTGTGCCCTCTACTGACAGAGTTGAACCTTTCTTTTCATAGAGCAGTTTTGAAACACTCTTTTTGTAGAATCTGCAAGAGGATATTTGCATAGCTTTGAGGATTTCGTGGGAAACGGGATTGTCTTCAGGTAAAATCTAGACAGAAGCATTCTCAGAAACTTCTTTGGGATGTTTGCATTCAAGTCACAGAGTAGAACATTCCCTTTGGTAGAGCAGGTTTGAAACACTCTTTTTGTAGTATCTGGAAGTGGACATTTGGAGCGCTTTCAGGCCCATGTTGGAAAGGGAAATATCTTCCCGTAACAACTAGGCAGAAGCATTCTCAGAAACTTATTTGAGATGTGTGTACTCAACTAAGAGAATTGAACCACCGTTTTGAAGGAGCAGTTTTGAAACACTCTTTTTCTGGAATCTGCAAGAGTATATTTGCCTAGCCTTGAGGATTTCGTTGGAAACGGGATTGTCTTCAGAGAAAATCTAGACAGAAGCATTCTCAGAAACTTCTTTGGGATGTTTGCATTCAAGTCACAGAGTAGAACATTCCCTTTGGTAGAGCAGGTTTGAAACACTCTTTTTGTAGTATCTGGAAGTGGACATTTGGAGCGCTTTCAGGCCTACGTTGGAAAAGGAAATATCTTCCCATAACAACTAGACAGAAGCATTCTCAGAAACTAGTTTCTGATGTGTGTCCTCAACTAACACAGTTGAACATTTCTTTAGACAGAACAGTTTTGAAACACTCTTTTTGTGGAATCTGCAAGTGGCTATTTGGCTAGATTTGAGGATTTCGTTGGAAACGGGATTACATATAAAAAGCAGTCAGCAGCATTCTCAGAAAGTTCTTTGTGATGATTGCATTCAAGTCACAGAATTGAACATTCCCTTTCACAGAGCAGGTTTGAAAGACTCTTTTTGTAGTGTGTGTAAGTGGACATTTGGAGCACTTACCGGCCTAAGGTGAAAAAGGAAATATCTTCCCATAAAAACTAGACAGAAGCATTCTCAGAAACTTACTCGTGATGTGTGTCCTCAACTAAAGGAGTAGAACCTTTCTTTTCATAGAGAAGTTTTGAAACGCTCTTTTTGTGGAATCTGCAAGTGGATATTTGGCTAGTTTTGAGGATTTCGTTGGAAGCGGGAATTCATACAAATTGCAGACTGCAGCGTTCTGAGAAACATCTTTGTGATGTTTGTATTCAGGACACAGAGTTGAACATTCCCTATCATAGAGCAGGTTTGAATCACTACTTTTGTAGTATCTGGAAGTGGACATTTGGAGCGCTTTCAGGCCTATGTTGGAAAAGGAAATATCTTCCCATAACAACTAGACAGAAGCATTCTCAGAAACTTATTTGAGATGTGTGTACTCAACTAAGAGAATTGAACCACCGTTTTGAAGGAGCAGTTTTGAAACTCTCTTTTTCTGGAATCTGCAAGTGGATATTTGGCTAGCTTTGGGGATTTCGCTGGAAGCGGGAATACATATAAAAAGCACACAGCAGCGTTCTGAGAAACTGCTTTCTGATGTTTGCATTCAAGTCAAAAGTTGAACACTCCCTTTCATAGAGCAGTCCTGAAACACCCCTTTTGTAGTATCTGGAACTGGACTTTTGGAGCGATTTCAGGGCTAAGGTGAAAAAGGAAATATCTTCCCATAAAAACTGGACAGAAGCATTCTCAGAAACTTGTTTATGCTGTATCTACTCAACTAACAAAGTTGAACCTTTCTTTTGATAGAGCAGTTTTGAAATGCTCTTTTTGTGGAATCTGCAAGTGGATATTTGGCTAGTTTTGAGGATTTGGTTGGAAGCGGGAATTCATACAAATTGCAGACTGCAGCGTTCTGAGAAACATCTTTGTGATGTTTGTATTCAGGACAGAGAGTTGAACATTCCCTATCATAGAGCAGGTTGGAATCACTCCTTTTGTAGTATCTGGAAGTGGACATTTGGAGCGCTTTCAGGCCTATGTTGAAAAAGGAAATATCTTCCCATAACAACTAGACACAAGCATTCTCAGAAACTTGTTTGTGATGTGTGCCCTCTACTGACAGAGTTGAACCTTTCTTTTCATAGAGCAGTTTTGAAACACTCTTTTTGTAGAATCTGCAAGAGGATATTTGCATAGCTTTGAGGATTTCGTGGGAAACGGGATTGTCTTCAGGTAAAATCTAGACAGAACCATTCTCAGAAACTTCTTTGGGATGTTTGCATTCAAGTCACAGAGCAGAACATTACCTTTGGTAGAGCAGGTTTGAAACACTCTTTTTGTAGTATCTGGAAGTGGACATTTGGAGCGCTTTCAGGCCTATGTTGGAAAGGGAAATATCTTCCCGTAACAACTAGGCAGAAGCATTCTCAGAAACTTATTTGAGATGTGTGTACTCAACTAAGAGAATTGAACCACCGTTTTGAAGGAGCAGTTTTGAAACACTCTTTTTCTGGAATCTGCAAGAGGATATTTGCCTAGCCTTGAGGATTTCGTTGGAAACGGGATTGTCTTCAGATCAAATCTAGACAGAAGCATTCTCAGAAACTTCTTTGGGATGTTTGCATTCAAGTCACAGAGTAGAACATTCCCTTTGGTAGAGCAGGTTTGAAACACTCTTTTTTTAGTATATGGAAGTGGACATTTGGAGCGCTTTCAGGCCTACGTTGGAAAAGGAAATATCTTCCCATAACAACTAGACAGAAGCATTCTCAGAAACTAGTTTCTGATGTGTGTCCTCAACTAACACAGTTGAACATTTCTTTAGACAGAACAGTTTTGAAAGTCTCTTTTTGTGGAATCTGCAAGTGGCTATTTGGCTAGATTTGAGGATTTCGTTGGAAACGGGATTACATATAAAAAGCAGACAGCAGCATTCTCAGAAAGTTCTTTGTGATGATTGCATTCAAGTCACAGAATTGAACATTCCCTTTCACAGAGCAGGTTTGAAACACTCTTTTTATAGTGTGTGTAAGTGGACATTTGGAGCACTTTCCGGCCTAAGGTGAAAAAGGAAATATCTTCCCATAAAAACTAGACAGAAGCATTCTCAGAAACTTACTCGTGATGTGTGTCCTCAACTAAAGGAGTAGAACCTTTGTTTTCATAGAGAAGTTTTGAAACGCTCTTTTTGTGGAATCTGCAAGTGGATATTTGGCTAGTTTTGAGGATTTCGTTGGAAGCGGGAATTCATACAAATTGCAGACTGCAGCGTTCTGAGAAACATCTTTGTGATGTTTGTATTCAGGACACAGAGTTGAACATTCCCTATCATAGAGCAGGTTGGAATCACTCCTTTTGTAGTATCTGGAAGTGGACATTTGGAGCGCTTTCAGGCCTATGTTGGAAAAGGAAATATCTTCCCATAACAACTAGACAGAAGCATTCTCAGAAACTTATTTGAGATGTGTGTACTCAACTAAGAGAATTGAACCACCGTTTTGAAGGAGCACTTTTGAAACACTCTTTTTCTGGAATCTGCAAGTGGATATTTGGCTAGCTTTGGGGATTTCGCTGGAAGCGGGAATACATATAAAAAGCACACAGCAGCGTTCTGAGAAACTGCTTTCTGATGTTTGCATTCAAGTCAAAAGTTGAACACTCCCTTTCATAGAGCAGTCCTGAAACACTCCTTTTGTAGTATCTGGAACTGGACTTTTGGAGCGCTTTCAGGGCTAAGGTGAAAAAGGAAATATCTTCCCATAAAAACTGGACAGAAGCATTCTCAGAAACTTGTTTATGCTGTATCTACTCAACTAACAAAGTTGAACCTTTCTTTTGATAGAGCAGTTTTGAAATGCTCTTTTTGTGGAATCTGCAAGTGGATATTTGGCTAGTTTTGAGGATTTCGTTGGAAGCGGGAATTCATACAAATTGCAGACTGCAGCGTTCTGAGAAACATCTTTGTGATGTTTGTATTCAGGACACAGAGTTGAACATTCCCTATCATAGAGCAGGTTGGAATCACTCCTTTTGTAGTATCTGGAAGTGGACATTTGGAGCGCTTTCAGGCCTATGTTGGAAAAGGAAATATCTTCCCATAACAACTAGACAGAAGCATTCTCAGAAACTTATTTGAGATGTGTGTACTCAACTAAGAGAATTGAACCACCGTTTTGAAGGAGCAGTTTTGAAACTCTCTTTTTCTGGAATCTGCAAGTGGATATTTGGCTAGCTTTGGGGATTTCGCTGGAAGCGGGAATACATATAAAAAGCACACAGCAGCGTTCTGAGAAACTGCTTTCTGATGTTTGCATTCAAGTCAAAAGTTGAACACTCCCTTTCATAGAGCAGTCTTGAAACACCCCTTTTGTAGTATCTGGACCTGGACTTTTGGAGCGATTTCAGGGCTAAGGTGAAAAAGGAAATATCTTCCCATAAAAACTGGACAGAAGCATTCTCAGAAACTTGGTTATGCTGTATCTACTCAACTAACAAAGTTGAACCTTTCTTTTGATAGAGCAGTTTTGAAATGGTCTTTTTGTGGAATCTGCAAGTGGATATTTGGCTAGTTTTGAGGATTTCGTTGGAAGCGGGAATTCATACAAATTGCAGACTGCAGCGTTCTGAGAAACATCTTTGTGATGTTTGTATTCAGGACACAGAGTTGAACATTCCCTATCATAGAGCAGGTTGGAATCACTCCTTTTGTAGTATCTGGAAGTGGACATTTGGAGCGCTTTCAGGCCTATTTTGGAAAGGGAAATATCTTCCCGTAACAACTATGCAGAAGCATTCTCAGAAACTTGTTTGTGATGTGTGCCCTCTACTGACAGAGTTGAACCTTTCTTTTCATAGAGCAGTTTTGAAACACTCTTTTTGTAGAATCTGCAAGAGGATATTTGCATAGCTTTGAGGATTTCGTGGGAAACGGGATTGTCTTCAGGTAAAATCTAGACAGAAGCATTCTCAGAAACTTCTTTGGGATGTTTGCATTCAAGTCACAGAGTAGAACATTCCCTTTGGTAGAGCAGGTTTGAAACACTCTTTTTTTAGTATCTGGAAGTGGACATTTGGAGCGCTTTCAGGCCCATGTTGGAAAGGGAAATATCTTCCCGTAACAACTAGGCAGAAGCATTCTCAGAAACTTATTTGAGATGTGTGTACTCAACTAAGAGAATTGAACCACCGTTTTGAAGGAGCAGTTTTGAAACACTCTTTTTCTGGAATCTGCAAGAGTATATTTGCCTAGCCTTGAGGATTTCGTTGGAAACGGGATTGTCTTCAGAGAAAATCTAGACAGAAGCATTCTCAGAAACTTCTTTGGGATGCTTGCATTCAAGTCACAGAGTAGAACATTCCCTTTGGTAGAGCAGGTTTGAAACACTCTTTTTGTAGTATCTGGAAGTGGACATTTGGAGCGCTTTCAGGCCTACGTTGGAAAAGGAAATATCTTCCCATAACAACTAGACAGAAGCATTCTCAGAAACTAGTTTCTGATGTGTGTCCTCAACTAACACAGTTGAACATTTCTTTAGACAGAACAGTTTTGAAACACTCTTTTTGTGGAATCTGCAAGTGGCTATTTGGCTAGATTTGAGGATTTCGTTGGAAACGGGATTACATATAAAAAGCAGTCAGCAGCATTCTCAGAAAGTTCTTTGTGATGATTGCATTCAAGTCACAGAATTGAACATTCCCTTTCACAGAGCAGGTTTGAAACACTCTTTTTGTAGTGTGTGTAAGTGGACATTTGGAGCACTTACCGGCCTAAGGTGAAAAAGGAAATATCTTCCCATAAAAACTAGACAGAAGCATTCTCAGAAACTTACTCGTGATGTGTGTCCTCAACTAAAGGAGTAGAACCTTTCTTTTCATAGAGAAGTTTTGAAACGCTCTTTTTGTGGAATCTGCAAGTGGATATTTGGCTAGTTTTGAGGATTTCGTTGGAAGCGGGAATTCATACAAATTGCAGACTGCAGCGTTCTGAGAAACATCTTTGTGATGTTTGTATTCAGGACACAGAGTTGAACATTCCCTATCATAGAGCAGGTTGGAATCACTCCTTTTGTAGTATCTGGAAGTGGACATTTGGAGCGCTTTCAGGCCTATGTTGGAAAAGGAAATATCTTCCCATAACAACTAGACAGAAGCATTCTCAGAAACTTATTTGAGATGTGTGTACTCAACTAAGAGAATTGAACCACCGTTTTGAAGGAGCAGTTTTGAAACTCTCTTTTTCTGGAATCTGCAAGTGGATATTTGGCTAGCTTTGGGGATTTCGCTGGAAGCGGGAATACATATAAAAAGCACACAGCAGCGTTCTGAGAAACTGCTTTCTGATGTTTGCATTCAAGTCAAAAGTTGAACACTCCCTTTCATAGAGCAGTCTTGAAACACCCCTTTTGTAGTATCTGGAACTGGACTTTTGGAGCGATTTCAGGGCTAAGGTGAAAAAGGAAATATCTTCCCATAAAAACTGGACAGAAGCATTCTCAGAAACTTGTTTATGCTGTATCTACTCAACTAACAAAGTTGAACCTTTCTTTTGATAGAGCAGTTTTGAAATGGTCTTTTTGTGGAATCTGCAAGTGGATATTTGGCTAGTTTTGAGGATTTCGTTGGAAGCGGGAATTCATACAAATTGCAGACTGCAGCGTTCTGAGAAACATCTTTGTGATGTTTGTATTCAGGACACAGAGTTGAACATTCCCTATCATAGAGCAGGTTGGAATCACTCCTTTTGTAGTATCTGGAAGTGGACATTTGGAGCGCTTTCAGGCCTATTTTGGAAAGGGAAATATCTTCCCGTAACAACTATGCAGAAGCATTCTCAGAAACTTGTTTGTGATGTGTGCCCTCTACTGACAGAGTTGAACCTTTCTTTTCATAGAGCACTTTTGAAACACTCTTTTTGTAGAATCTGCAAGAGGATATTTGCATAGCTTTGAGGATTTCGTGGGAAACGGGATTGTCTTCAGGTAAAATCTAGACAGAAGCATTCTCAGAAACTTCTTTGGGATGTTTGCATTCAAGTCACAGAGTAGAACATTCCCTTTGGTAGAGCAGGTTTGAAACACTCTTTTTGTAGTATCTGGAAGTGGACATTTGGAGCGCTTTCAGGCCCATGTTGGAAAGGGAAATATCTTCCCGTAACAACTAGGCAGAAGCATTCTCAGAAACTTATTTGAGATGTGTGTACTCAACTAAGAGAATTGAACCACCGTTTTGAAGGAGCAGTTTTGAAACACTCTTTTTCTGGAATCTGCAAGAGTATATTTGCCTAGCCTTGAGGATTTCGTTGGAAACGGGATTGTCTTCAGAGAAAATCTAGACAGAAGCATTCTCAGAAACTTCTTTGGGATGTTTGCATTCAAGTCACAGAGTAGAACATTCCCTTTGGTAGAGCAGGTTTGAAACACTCTTTTTTTAGTATATGGAAGTGGACATTTTGATCGCTTTCAGGGCCTACGTTGGAAAAGGAAATATCTTCCCATAACAACTAGACAGAAGCATTCTCAGAAACTAGTTTCTGATGTGTGTCCTCAACTAACACAGTTGAACATTTCTTTAGACAGAACAGTTTTGAAACACTCTTTTTGTGGAATCTGCAAGTGGCTATTTGGCTAGATTTGAGGATTTCGTTGGAAACGGGATTACATATAAAAAGCAGTCAGCAGCATTCTCAGAAAGTTCTTTGTGATGATTGCATTCAAGTCACAGAATTGAACATTCCCTTTCACAGAGCAGGTTTGAAACACTCTTTTTGTAGTGTGTGTAAGTGGACATTTGGAGCACTTACCGGCCTAAGGTGAAAAAGGAAATATCTTCCCATAAAAACTAGACAGAAGCATTCTCAGAAACTTACTCGTGATGTGTGTCCTCAACTAAAGGAGTAGAACCTTTCTTTTCATAGAGAAGTTTTGAAACGCTCTTTTTGTGGAATCTGCAAGTGGATATTTGGCTAGTTTTGAGGATTTCGTTGGAAGCGGGAATTCATACAAATTGCAGACTGCAGCGTTCTGAGAAACATCTTTGTGATGTTTGTATTCAGGACACAGAGTTGAACATTCCCTATCATAGAGCAGGTTGGAATCACTCCTTTTGTAGTATCTGGAAGTGGACATTTGGAGCGCTTTCAGGCCTATGTTGGAAAAGGAAATATCTTCCCATAACAACTAGACAGAAGCATTCTCAGAAACTTATTTGAGATGTGTGTACTCAACTAAGAGAATTGAACCACCGTTTTGAAGGAGCAGTTTTGAAACTCTCTTTTTCTGGAATCTGCAAGTGGATATTTGGCTAGCTTTGGAGATTTCGCTGGAAGCGGGAATACATATAAAAAGCACACAGCAGCGTTCTGAGAAACTGCTTTCTGATGTTTGCATTCAAGTCAAAAGTTGAACACTCCCTTTCATAGAGCAGTCCTGAAACACTCCTTTTGTAGTATCTGGAACTGGACTTTTGGAGCGCTTTCAGGGCTAAGGTGAAAAAGGAAATATCTTCCCATAAAAACTGGACAGAAGCATTCTCAGAAACTTGTTTATGCTGTATCTACTCTACTAACAAAGTTGAACCTTTCTTTTGATAGAGCAGTTTTGAAATGCTCTTTTTGTGGAATCTGCAAGTGGATATTTGGCTAGATTTGAGGATTTCGTTGGAAGCTGGAATTCATACAAATTGCAGACTGCAGCGTTCTGAGAAACATCTTTGTGATGTTTGTATTCAGGACACAGAGTTGAACATTCCCTATCATAGAACAGGTTGTAATCACTCCTTTTGTAGTATCTGGAAGTGGACATTTGGAGCGCTTTCAGGCCTATGTTGAAAAAGGATATATCTTCCCATAACAACTAGACACAAGCATTCTCAGAAACTTATTTGAGATGTGTGTACTCAACTAAGAGAATTGAACCACCGTTTTGAAGGAGCAGTTTTGAAACACTCTTTTTCTGGAATCTGCAAGTGGATATTTGGCTAGCTTTGGGGATTTCGCTGGAAGCGGGAATACATATAAAAAGCACACAGCAGCGTTCTGAGAAACTGCTTTCTGATGTTTGCATTCAAGTCAAAAGTTGAACACTCCCTTTCATAGAGCAGTCCTGAAACACTCCTTTTGTAGTATCTGGAACTGGACTTTTGGAGCGCTTTCAGGGCTAAGGTGAAAAAGGAAATATCTTCCCATAAAAACTGGACAGAAGCATTCTCAGAAACTTGTTTATGCTGTATCTACTCAACTAACAAAGTTGAACCTTTCTTTTGATAGAGCAGTTTTGAAATGCTCTTTTTGTGGAATCTGCAAGTGGATATTTGGCTAGTTTTGAGGATTTCGTTGGAAGCGGGAATTCATACAAATTGCAGACTGCAGCGTTCTGAGAAACATCTTTGTGATGTTTGTATTCAGGACAGAGAGTTGAACATTCCCTATCATAGAGCAGGTTGGAATCACTCCTTTTGTAGTATCTGGAAGTGGACATTTGGAGCGCTTTCAGGACTATGTTGAAAAAGGAAATATCTTCCCATAACAACTAGACACAAGCATTCTCAGAAACTTGTTTGTGATGTGTGCCCTCTACTGACAGAGTTGAACCTTTCTTTTCATAGAGCAGTTTTGAAACACTCTTTTTGTAGAATCTGAAAGAGGATATTTGCATAGCTTTGAGGATTTCGTGGGAAACGGGATTGTCTTCAGGTAAAATCTAGACAGAAGCATTCTCAGAAACTTCTTTGGGATGTTTGCATTCAAGTCACAGAGTAGAACATTCCCTTTGGTAGAGCAGGTTTCAAACACTCTTTTTGTAGTATCTGGAAGTGGACATTTGGAGCGCTTTCAGGCCCATGTTGGAAAGGGAAATATCTTCCCGTAACAACTAGGCAGAAGCATTCTCAGAAACTTATTTGAGATGTGTGTACTCAACTAAGAGAATTGAACCACCGTTTTGAAGGAGCAGTTTTGAAACACTCTTTTTCTGGAATCTGCAAGAGTATATTTGCCTAGCCTTGAGGATTTCGTTGGAAACGGGATTGTCTTCAGATAAAATCTAGACAGAAGCATTCTCAGAAACTTCTTTGGGATGTTTGCATTCAAGTCACAGAGTAGAACATTCCCTTTGGTAGAGCAGGTTTGAAACACTCTTTTTTTAGTATATGGAAGTGGACATTTGGAGCGCTTTCAGGCCTACGTTGGAAAAGGAAATATCTTCCCATAACAACTAGACAGAAGCATTCTCAGAAACTAGTTTCTGATGTGTGTCCTCAACTAACACAGTTGAACTTTTCTTTAGACAGAACAGTTTTGAAACACTCTTTTTGTGGAATCTGCAAGTGGATATTTGGCTAGATTTGAGGATTTCGTTGGAAACGGGATTACATATAAAAAGCAGACAGCAGCATTCTCAGAAAGTTCTTTGTGATGATTGCATTCAAGTCACAGAATTGAACATTCCCTTTCACAGAGCAGGTTTGAAACACTCTTTTTGTAGTGTGTGTAAGTGGACATTTGGAGCGCTTTCCGGCCTAAGGTGAAAAAGGAAATATCTTCCCATAAAAACTAGACAGAAGCATTCTCAGAAACTTACTCGTGATGTGTGTCCTCAACTAAAGGAGTAGAACCTTTCTATTCATAGAGAAGTTTTGAAACGCTCTTTTTGTGGAATCTCCAAGTGGATATTTGGCTAGTTTTGAGGATTTCGTTGGATTCGGGAATTCATACAAATTGCAGACTGCAGCGTTCTGAGAAACATCTTTGTGATGTTTGTATTCAGGACACAGAGATGAACATTCCCTATCATAGAGCAGGTTGGAATCACTCCTTTTGTAGTATCTGGAAGTGGACATTTGGAGCGCTTTCAGGCCTATGTTGAAAAAGGAAATATCTTCCCATAACAACTAGACACAAGCATTCTCAGAAACTTGTTTGTGATGTGTGCCCTCTACTGACAGAGTTGAACCTTTCTTTTCATAGAGCAGTTTTGAAACACTCTTTTTGTAGAATCTGCAAGAGGATATTTGCATAGCTTTGAGGATTTCGTGGGAAACGGGATTGCCTTCAGGTAAAATCTAGACAGAAGCATTCTCAGAAACTTCTTTGGGATGTTTGCATTCAAGTCACAGAGTAGAACACTCCCTTTGTTAGAGCAGGTTTGAAACCCTCCTTTTGTAGTATCTGGAAGTGGACATTTGGAGCGCTTTCAGGCCCATGTTGGAAAGGGAAATATCTTCCCGTAACAACTAGGCAGAAGCATTCTCAGAAACTTATTTGAGATGTGTGTACTCAACTAAGAGAATTGAACCACCGTTTGGAAGGCGCAGTTTTGAAACACTCTTTTTCTGGAATCTGCAAGAGTATATTTGCCTAGCCTTGAGGATTTCGTTGGAAACGGGATTGTCTTCAGATAAAATCTAGACAGAAGCATTCTCAGAAACTTCTTTCGGATGTTTGCATTCAAGTCACAGAGTAGAACATTCCCTTTGGTAGAGCAGGTTTGAAACACTCTTTTTTTAGTATATGGAAGTGGACATTTGGAGCGCTTTCAGGTCTACGTTGGAAAAGGAAATATCTTCCCATAACAACTAGACAGAAGCATTCTCAGAAACTAGTTTCTGATGTGTGTCCTCAACTAACACAGTTGAACATTTCTTTAGACAGAACAGTTTTGAAACACTCTTTTTGTGGAATCTGCAAGTGGCTATTTGGCTAGATTTGAGGATTTCGTTGGAAACGGGATTACATATAAAAAGCAGTCAGCAGCATTCTCAGAAAGTTCTTTGTGATGATTGCATTCAAGTCACAGAATTGAACATTCCCTTTCACAGAGCAGGTTTGAAACACTCTTTTTGTAGTGTGTGTAAGTGGACATTTGGAGCACTTACCGGCCTAAGGTGAAAAAGGAAATATCTTCCCATAAAAACTAGACAGAAGCATTCTCAGAAACTTACTCGTGATGTGTGTCCTCAACTAAAGGAGTAGAACCTTTCTTTTCATAGAGAAGTTTTGAAACGCTCTTTTTGTGGAATCTGCAAGTGGATATTTGGCTAGTTTTGAGGATTTCGTTGGAAGCGGGAATTCATACAAATTGCAGACTGCAGCGTTCTGAGAAACGTCTTTGTGATGTTTGTATTCAGGACACAGAGTTGAACATTCCCTATCATAGAGCAGGTTGGAATCCCTCCTTTTGTAGTATCTGGAAGTGGACATTTGGAGCGCTTTCAGGCCTATGTTGGAAAAGGAAATATCTTCCCATAACAACTAGACAGAAGCATTCTCAGAAACTTATTTGAGATGTGTGTACTCAACTAAGAGAATTGAACCACCGTTTTGAAGGAGCAGTTTTGAAACTCTCTTTTTCTGGAATCTGCAAGTGGATATTTGGCTAGCTTTGGGGATTTCGCTGGAAGCGGGAATACATATAAAAAGCACACAGCAGCGTTCTGAGAAACTGCTTTCTGATGTTTGCATTCAAGTCAAAAGTTGAACACTCCCTTTCATAGAGCAGTCTTGAAACACCCCTTTTGTAGTATCTGGAACTGGACTTTTGGAGCGATTTCAGGGCTAAGGTGAAAAAGGAAATATCTTCCCATAAAAACTGGACAGAAGCATTCTCAGAAACTTGGTTATGCTGTATCTACTCAACTAACAAAGTTGAACCTTTCTTTTGATAGAGCAGTTTTGAAATGGTCTTTTTGTGGAATCTGCAAGTGGATATTTGGCTAGTTTTGAGGATTTCGTTGGAAGCGGGAATTCATACAAATTGCAGACTGCAGCGTTCTGAGAAACATCTTTGTGATGTTTGTATTCAGGACACAGAGTTGAACATTCCCTATCATAGAGCAGGTTTGAATCACTCCTTTTGTAGTATCTGGAAGTGGACATTTGGAGTGCTTTCAGGCCTATGTTGGAAAAGGAAATATCTTCCCATAACAACTAGACAGAAGCATTCTCAGAAACTTATTTGAGATGAGTGTACTCAACTAAGAGAATTGAACCACCGTTTTGAAGGAGCAGTTTTGACACACTCTTTTTCTGGAATCTGCAAGTGGATATTTGGCTAGCTTTGGGGATTTCGCTGGAAGCGGGAATACATATAAAAAGCACACAGCAGCGTTCTGAGAAACTGCTTTCTGATGTTTGCATTCAAGTCAAAAGTTGAACACTCCCTTTCATAGAGCAGTCTTGAAACACCCCTTTTGTAGTATCTGGAACTGGACTTTTGGAGCGATTTCAGGGCTAAGGTGAAAAAGGAAATATCTTCCCATAAAAACTGGACAGAAGCATTCTCAGAAACTTGTTTATGCTGTATCTACTCAACTAACAAAGTTGAACCTTTCTTTTGATAGAGCAGTTTTGAAATGGTCTTTTTGTGGAATCTGCAAGTGGATATTTGGCTAGTTTTGAGGATTTCGTTGGAAGCGGGAATTCATACAAATTGCAGACTGCCAGCGTTCTGAGAAAACATCTTTGTGATGTTTGTATTCAGGACACAGAGTTGAACATTCCCTATCATAGAGCAGGTTGGAATCACTCCTTTTGTAGTATCTGGAAGTGGACATTTGGAGCGCTTTCAGGCCTATGTTGGAAAGGGAAATATCTTCCCGTAACAGCTATGCAGAAGCATTCTCAGAAACTTGTTTGTGATGTGTGCCCTCTACTGACAGAGTTGAACCTTTCTTTTCATAGAGCAGTTTTGAAACACTCTTTTTGTAGAATCTGCAAGAGGATATTTGCATAGCTTTGAGGATTTCGTGGGAAACGGGATTGTCTTCAGGTAAAATCTAGACAGAAGCATTCTCAGAAACTTCTTTGGGATGTTTGCATTCAAGTCACAGAGTAGAACATTCCCTTTGGTAGAGCAGGTTTGAAACACTCTTTTTGTAGTATCTGGAAGTGGACATTTGGAGCGCTTTCAGGCCTATGTTGGAAAGGGAAATATCTTCCCGTAACAACTAGGCAGAAGCATTCTCAGAAACTTATTTGAGATGTGTGTACTCAACTAAGAGAATTGAACCACCGTTTTGAAGGAGCAGTTTTGAAACACTCTTTTTCTGGAATCTGCAAGAGGATATTTGCCTAGCTTTGAGGATTTCGTTGGAAACGGGATTGTGTTCAGATCAAATCTAGACAGAAGCATTCTCAGAAACTTCTTTGGGATGTTTGCATTCAAGTCACAGAGTAGAACATTCCCTTTGGTAGAGCAGGTGTGAAACACTCTTTTTTTAGTATATGGAAGTGGACATTTGGAGCGCTTTCAGGCCTACGTTGGAAAAGGAAATATCTTCCCATAACAACTAGACAGAAGCATTCTCAGAAACTAGTTTCTGATGTGTGTCCTCAACTAACACAGTTGAACATTTCTTTAGACAGAACAGTTTTGAAACTCTCTTTTTGTGGAATCTGCAAGTGGCTATTTGGCTAGATTTGAGGATTTCGTTGGAAACGGGATTACATATAAAAAGCAGACAGCAGCATTCTCAGAAAGTTCTTTGTGATGATTGCATTCAAGTCACAGAATTGAACATTCCCTTTCACAGAGCAGGTTTGAAACACTCTTTTTGTAGTGTGTGTAAGTGGACATTTGGAGCACTTTCCGGCCTAAGGTGAGAAAGGAAATATCTTCCCATAAAAACTAGACAGAAGCATTCTCAGAAACTTACTCGTGATGTGTGTCCTCAACTAAAGGAGTAGAACCTTTCTTTCATAGAGAAGTTTTGAAACGCTCTTTTTGTGGAATCTGCAAGTGGATATTTGGCTAGTTTGGAGGATTTCGTTGGAAGCGGGAATTCTTACAAATTGCAGACTGCAGCGTTCTGAGAAACATCTTTGTGATGTTTGTATTCAGGACACAGAGTTGAACATTCCCTATCATAGAGCAGGTTGGAATCACTCCTTTTGTAGTATCTGGAAGTGGACATTTGGAGCGCTTTCAGGCCTACGTTGGAAAAGGAAATATCTTCCCATAACAACTAGACAGAAGCATTCTCAGAAACTAGTTTCTGATGTGTGTCCTCAACTAACACAGTTGAACATTTCTGTAGACAGAACAGTTTTGAAACACTCTTTTTGTGGAATCTGCAAGTGGCTATTTGGCTAGATTTGAGGATTTCGTTGGAAACGGGATTACATATAAAAAGCAGACAGCAGCATTCTCAGAAAGTTCTTTGTGATGATTGCATTCAAGTCACAGAATTGAACATTCCCTTTCACAGAGCAGGTTTGAAACACTCTTTTTGTAGTGTGTGTAAGTGGACATTTGGAGCACTTTCCGGCCTAAGGTGAAAAAGGAAATATCTTCCCATAAAAACTAGACAGAAGCACTCTCAGAAACTTACTCGTGATGTGTGTCCTCAACTAAAGGAGTAGAACCTTTCTTTTCATAGAGAAGTTTTGAAACGCTCTTTTTGTGGAATCTGCAAGTGGATATTTGGCTAGTTTGGAGGATTTCGTTGGAAGCGGGAATTCATACAAATTGCAGACTGCAGCGTTCTGAGAAACATCTTTGTGATGTTTGTATTCAGGACACAGAGTTGAACATTCCCTATCATAGAGCAGGTTTGAATCACTCCTTTTGTAGTATCTGGAAGTGGACATTTGGAGCGCTTTCAGGCCTATGTTGGAAAAGGAAATATCTTCCCATAACAACTAGACAGAAGCATTCTCAGAAACTTATTTGAGATGTGTGTACTCAACTAAGAGAATTGAACCACCGTTTTGAAGGAGCAGTTTTGAAACACTCTTTTTCTGGAATCTGCAAGTGGATATTTGGCTAGCTTTGGGGATTTCGCTGGAAGCGGGAATACATATAAAAAGCACACAGCAGCGTTCTGAGAAACTGCTTTCTGATGTTTGCATTCAAGTCAAAAGTTGAACACTCCCTTTCATAGAGCAGTCTTGAAACACCCCTTTTGTAGTATCTGGAACTGGACTTTTGAAGCGCTTTCAGGGCTAAGGTGAAAAAGGAAATATCTTCCCATAAAAACTGGACAGAAGCATTCTCAGAAACTTGTTTATGCTGTATCTACTCAACTAACAAAGTTGAACCTTTCTTTTGATAGAGCAGTTTTGAAATGCTCTTTTTGTGGAATCTGCAAGTGGATATTTGGCTAGTTTTGAGGATTTCGTTGGAAGCGGGAATTCATACAAATTGCAGACTGCAGCGTTCTGAGAAACATCTTTGTGATGTTTGTATTCAGGACAGAGAGTTGAACATTCCCTATCATAGAGCAGGTTGGAATCACTCCTTTTGTAGTATCTGGAAGTGGACATTTGGAGCGCTTTCAGGCCTATGTTGAAAAAGGAAATATCTTCCCATAACAACTAGACACAAGCATTCTCAGAAACTTGTTTGTGATGTGTGCCCTCTACTGACAGAGTTGAACCTTTCTTTTCATAGAGCAGTTTTGAAACACTCTTTTTGTAGAATCTGCAAGAGGATATTTGCATAGCTTTGAGGATTTCGTGGGAAACGGGATTGTCTTCAGGTAAAATCTAGACAGAAGCATTCTCAGAAACTTCTTTGGGATGTTTGCATTCAAGTCACAGAGTAGAACATTCCCTTTGGTAGAGCAGGTTTGAAACACTCTTTTTGTAGTATCTGGAAGTGGACATTTGGAGCGCTTTCAGGCCCATGTTGGAAAGGGAAATATCTTCCCGTAACAACTAGGCAGAAGCATTCTCAGAAACTTATTTGAGATGTGTGTACTCAACTAAGAGAATTGAACCACCGTTTTGAAGGAGCAGTTTTGAAACACTCTTTTTCTGGAATCTGCAAGAGTATATTTGCCTAGCCTTGAGGATTTCGTTGGAAACGGGATTGTCTTCAGAGAAAATCTAGACAGAAGCATTCTCAGAAACTTCTTTGGGATGTTTGCATTCAAGTCACAGAGTAGAACATTCCCTTTGGTAGAGCAGGTTTGAAACACTCTTTTTGTAGTATCTGGAAGTGGACATTTGGAGCGCTTTCAGGCCTACGTTGGAAAAGGAAATATCTTCCCATAACAACTAGACAGAAGCATTCTCAGAAACTAGTTTCTGATGTGTGTCCTCAACTAACACAGTTGAACATTTCTTTAGACAGAACAGTTTTGAAACACTCTTTTTGTGGAATCTGCAAGTGGCTATTTGGCTAGATTTGAGGATTTCGTTGGAAACGGGATTACATATAAAAAGCAGTCAGCAGCATTCTCAGAAAGTTCTTTGTGATGATTGCATTCAAGTCACAGAATTGAACATTCCCTTTCACAGAGCAGGTTTGAAACACTCTTTTTGTAGTGTGTGTAAGTGGACATTTGGAGCACTTACCGGCCTAAGGTGAAAAAGGAAATATCTTCCCATAAAAACTAGACAGAAGCATTCTCAGAAACTTACTCGTGATGTGTGTCCTCAACTAAAGGAGTAGAACCTTTCTTTTCATAGAGAAGTTTTGAAACGCTCTTTTTGTGGAATCTGCAAGTGGATATTTGGCTAGTTTTGAGGATTTCGTTGGAAGCGGGAATTCATACAAATTGCAGACTGCAGCGTTCTGAGAAACATCTTTGTGATGTTTGTATTCAGGACACAGAGTTGAACATTCCCTATCATAGAGCAGGTTTGAATCACTCCTTTTGTAGTATCTGGAAGTGGACATTTGGAGCGCTTTCAGGCCTATGTTGGAAAAGGAAATATCTTCCCATAACAACTAGACAGAAGCATTCTCAGAAACTTATTTGAGATGTGTGTACTCAACTAAGAGAATTGAACCACCGTTTTGAAGGAGCAGTTTTGAAACTCTCTTTTTCTGGAATCTGCAAGTGGATATTTGGCTAGCTTTGGGGATTTCGCTGGAAGCGGGAATACATATAAAAAGCACACAGCAGCGTTCTGAGAAACTGCTTTCTGATGTTTGCATTCAAGTCAAAAGTTGAACACTCCCTTTCATAGAGCAGTCCTGAAACACCCCTTTGGTAGTATCTGGAACTGGACTTTTGGAGCGATTTCAGGGCTAAGGTGAAAAAGGAAATATCTTCCCATAAAAACTGGACAGAAGCATTCTCAGAAACTTGTTTATGCTGTATCTACTCAACTAACAAAGTTGAACCTTTCTTTTGATAGAGCAGTTTTGAAATGGTCTTTTTGTGGAATCTGCAAGTGGATATTTGGCTAGTTTTGAGGATTTCGTTGGAAGCGGGAATTCATACAAATTGCAGACTGCAGCGTTCTGAGAAACATCTTTGTGATGTTTGTATTCAGGACACAGAGTTGAACATTCCCTATCATAGAGCAGGTTGGAATCACTCCTTTTGTAGTATCTGGAAGTGGACATTTGGAGCGCTTTCAGGCCTATTTTGGAAAGGGAAATATCTTCCCGTAACAACTATGCAGAAGCATTCTCAGAAACTTGTTTGTGATGTGTGCCCTCTACTGACAGAGTTGAACCTTTCTTTTCATAGAGCAGTTTTGAAACACTCTTTTTGTAGAATCTGCAAGAGGATATTTGCATAGCTTTGAGGATTTCGTGGGAAACGGGATTGTCTTCAGGTAAAATCTAGACAGAAGCATTCTCAGAAACTTCTTTGGGATGTTTGCATTCAAGTCACAGAGTAGAACATTCCCTTTGGTAGAGCAGGTTTGAAACACTCTTTTTGTAGTATCTGGAAGTGGACATTTGGAGCGCTTTCAGGCCCATGTTGGAAAGGGAAATATCTTCCCGTAACAACTAGGCAGAAGCATTCTCAGAAACTTATTTGAGATGTGTGTACTCAACTAAGAGAATTGAACCACCGTTTTGAAGGAGCAGTTTTGAAACACTCTTTTTCTGGAATCTGCAAGAGGATATTTGCCTAGCCTTGAGGATTTCGTTGGAAACGGGATTGTCTTCAGAGAAAATCTAGACAGAAGCATTCTCAGAAACTTCTTTGGGATGCTTGCATTCAAGTCACAGAGTAGAACATTCCCTTTGGTAGAGCAGGTTTGAAACACTCTTTTTGTAGTATCTGGAAGTGGACATTTGGAGCGCTTTCAGGCCTACGTTGGAAAAGGAAATATCTTCCCATAACAACTAGACAGAAGCATTCTCAGAAACTAGTTTCTGATGTGTGTCCTCAACTAACACAGTTGAACATTTCTTTAGACAGAACAGTTTTGAAACACTCTTTTTGTGGAATCTGCAAGTGGCTATTTGGCTAGATTTGAGGATTTCGTTGGAAACGGGATTACATATAAAAAGCAGTCAGCAGCATTCTCAGAAAGTTCTTTGTGATGATTGCATTCAAGTCACAGAATTGAACATTCCCTTTCACAGAGCAGGTTTGAAACACTCTTTTTGTAGTGTGTGTAAGTGGACATTTGGAGCACTTACCGGCCTAAGGTGAAAAAGGAAATAATCTTCCCATAAAAACTAGACAGAAGCATTCTCAGAAACTTACTCGTGATGTGTGTCCTCAACTAAAGGAGTAGAACCTTTCTTTTCATAGAGAAGTTTTGAAACGCTCTTTTTGTGGAATCTGCAAGTGGATATTTGGCTAGTTTTGAGGATTTCGTTGGAAGCGGGAATTCATACAAATTGCAGACTGCAGCGTTCTGAGAAACATCTTTGTGATGTTTGTATTCAGGACACAGAGTTGAACATTCCCTATCATAGAGCAGGTTTGAATCACTCCTTTTGTAGTATCTGGAAGTGGACATTTGGAGCGCTTTCAGGCCTATGTTGGAAAAGGAAATATCTTCCCATAACAACTAGACAGAAGCATTCTCAGAAACTTATTTGAGATGTGTGTACTCAACTAAGAGAATTGAACCACCGTTTTGAAGGAGCAGTTTTGAAACTCTCTTTTTCTGGAATCTGCAAGTGGATATTTGGCTAGCTTTGGGGATTTCGCTGGAAGCGGGAATACATATAAAAAGCACACAGCAGCGTTCTGAGAAACTGCTTTCTGATGTTTGCATTCAAGTCAAAAGTTGAACACTCCCTTTCATAGAGCAGTCCTGAAACACCCCTTTGGTAGTATCTGGAACTGGACTTTTGGAGCGATTTCAGGGCTAAGGTGAAAAAGGAAATATCTTCCCATAAAAACTGGACAGAAGCATTCTCAGAAACTTGTTTATGCTGTATCTACTCAACTAACAAAGTTGAACCTTTCTTTTGATAGAGCAGTTTTGAAATGGTCTTTTTGTGGAATCTGCAAGTGGATATTTGGCTAGTTTTGAGGATTTCGTTGGAAGCGGGAATTCATACAAATTGCAGACTGCAGCGTTATGAGAAACATCTTTGTGATGTTTGTATTCAGGACACAGAGTTGAACATTCCCTATCATAGAGCAGGTTGGAATCACTCCTTTTGTAGTATCTGGAAGTGGACATTTGGAGCGCTTTCAGGCCTATTTTGGACAGGGAAATATCTTCCCATAACAACTATGCAGAAGCATTCTCAGAAACTTGTTTGTGATGTGTGCCCTCTACTGACAGAGTTGAACCTTTCTTTTCTTAGAGCAGTTTTGAAACACTCTTTTTGTAGAATCTGCAAGAGGATATTTGCATAGCTTTGAGGATTTCGTGGGAAACGGGATTGTCTTCAGGTAAAATCTAGACAGAAGCATTCTCAGAAACTTCTTTGGGATGTTTGCATTCAAGACACAGAGTAGAACATTCCCTTTGGTAGAGCAGGTTTGAAACACTCTTTTTGTAGTATCTGGAAGTGGACATTTGGAGCGCTTTCAGGCCCATGTTGGAAAGGGAAATATCTTCCCGTAACAACTAGGCAGAAGCATTCTCAGAAACTTATTTGAGATGTGTGTACTCAACTAAGAGAATTGAACCACCGTTTTGAAGGAGCAGTTTTGAAACACTCTTTTTCTGGAATCTGCAAGAGTATATTTGCCTAGCCTTGAGGATTTCGTTGGAAACGGGATTGTCTTCAGATAAAATCTAGACAGAAGCATTCTCAGAAACTTCTTTGGGATGTTTGCATTCAAGTCACAGAGTAGAACATTCCCTTTGGTAGAGCAGGTTTGAAACACTCTTTTTTTAGTATATGGAAGTGGACATTTGGAGCGCTTTCAGGCCTACGTTGGAAAAGGAAATATCTTCCCATAACAACTAGACAGAAGCATTCTGAGAAACTAGTTTCTGATGTGTGTCCTCAACTAACACAGTTGAACTTTTCTTTAGACAGAACAGTTTTGAAACACTCTTTTTGTGGAATCTGCAATTGGATATTGGGCTAGATTTGAGGATTTCGTTGGAAACGGGATTACATATAAAAAGCAGACAGCAGCATTCTCAGAAAGTTCTTTGTGGTGATTGCATTCAAGTCACAGAATTGAACATTCCCTTTCACAGAGCAGGTTTGAAACACTCTTTTTGTAGTGAGTGTAAGTGGACATTTGGAGCGCTTTCCGGCCTAAGGTGAAAAAGGAAATATCTTCCCATAAAAACTAGACAGAAGCATTCTCAGAAACTTACTCGTGATGTGTGTCCTCAACTAAAGGAGTAGAACCTTTCTTTTCATAGAGAAGTTTTGAAACGCTCTTTTTGTGGAATCTGCAAGTGGATATTTGGCTAGTTTGGAGGATTTCGTTGGAAGCGGGAATTCATACAAATTGCAGACTGCAGCGTTCTGAGAAACATCTTTGTGATGTTTGTATTCAGGACACAGAGTTGAACATTCCCTATCATAGAGCAGGTTTGAATCACTCCTTTTGTAGTATCTGGAAGTGGACATTTGGAGCGCTTTCAGGCCTATGTTGGAAAAGGAAATATCTTCCCATAACAACTAGACAGAAGCATTCTCAGAAACTTATTTGAGATGTGTGTACTCAACTAAGAGAATTGAACCACCGTTTTGAAGGAGCAGTTTTGAAACTCTCTTTTTCTGGAATCTGCAAGTGGATATTTGGCTAGCTTTGGGGATTTCGCTGGAAGCGGGAATACATATAAAAAGCACACAGCAGCGTTCTGAGAAACTGCTTTCTGATGTTTGCATTCAAGTCAAAAGTTGAACACTCCCTTTCATAGGGCAGTCCTGAAACACCCCTTTTGTAGTATCTGGAACTGGACTTTTGGAGCGATTTCAGGGCTAAGGTGAAAAAGGAAATATCTTCCCATAAAAACTGGACAGAAGCATTCTCAGAAACTTGTTTATGCTGTATCTACTCAACTAACAAAGTTGAACCTTTCTTTTGATAGAGCAGTTTTGAAATGGTCTTTTTGTGGAATCTGCAAGTGGATATTTGGCTAGTTTTGAGGATTTCGTTGGAAGCGGGAATTCATACAAATTGCAGACTGCAGCGTTCTGAGAAACATCTTTGTGATGTTTGTATTCAGGACACAGAGTTGAACATTCCCTATCATAGAGCAGGTTGGAATCACTCCTTTTGTAGTATCTGGAAGTGGACATTTGGAGCGCTTTCAGGCCTATTTTGGAAAGGGAAATATCTTCCCGTAACAACTATGCAGAAGCATTCTCAGAAACTTGTTTGTGATGTGTGCCCTCTACTGACAGAGTTGAACCTTTCTTTTCATAGAGCAGTTTTGAAACACTCTTTTTGTAGAATCTGCAAGAGGATATTTGCATAGCTTTGAGGATTTCGTGGGAAACGGGATTGTCTTCAGGTAAAATCTAGACAGAAGCATTCTCAGAAACTTCTTTGGGATGTTTGCATTCAAGTCACAGAGTAGAACATTCCCTTTGGTAGAGCAGGTTTGAAACACTCTTTTTGTAGTATCTGGAAGTGGACATTTGGAGCGCTTTCAGGCCTATGTTGGAAAGGGAAATATCTTCCCGTAACAACTAGGCAGAAGCATTCTCAGAAACTTATTTGAGATGTGTGTACTCAACTAAGAGAATTGAACCACCGTTTTGAAGGAGCAGTTTTGAAACACTCTTTTTCTGGAATCTGCAAGAGGATATTTGCCTAGCTTTGAGGATTTCGTTGGAAACGGGATTGTCTTCAGATCAAATCTAGACAGAAGCATTCTCAGAAACTTCTTTGGGATGTTTGCATTCAAGTCACAGAGTAGAACATTCCCTTTGGTAGAGCAGGTTTGAAACACTCTTTTTTTAGTATATGGAAGTGGACATTTGGAGCGCTTTCAGGCCTACGTTGGAAAAGGAAATATCTTCCCATAACAATTAGACAGAAGCATTCTCAGAAACTAGTTTCTGACGTGTGTCCTCAACTAACACAGTTGAACATTTCTTTAGACAGAACAGTTTTGAAACTCTCTTTTTGTGGAATCTGCAAGTGGCTATTTGGCTAGATTTGAGGATTTCGTTGGAAACGGGGTTACATATAAAAAGCAGACAGCAGCATTCTCAGAACGTTCTTTGTGATGATTGCATTCAAGTCACAGAATTGAACATTCCCTTTCACAGAGCAGGTTTGAAACACTCTTTTTGTAGTGTGTGTAAGTGGACATTTGGAGCACTTTCCGGCCTAAGGTGAAAAAGGAAATATCTTCCCATAAAAACTAGACAGAAGCATTCTCAGAAACTTACTCGTGATGTGTGTCCTCAACTAAAGGAGTAGAACCTTTCTTTTCATAGAGAAGTTTTGAAACGCTCTTTTTGTGGAATCTGCAAGTGGATATTTGGCTAGTTTGGAGGATTTCGTTGGAAGCGGGAATTCATACAAATTGCAGACTGCAGCTTTCTGAGAAACATCTTTGTGATGTTTGTATTCAGGACACAGAGTTGAACATTCCCTATCATAGAGCAGGTTTGAATCACTCCTTTTGTAGTATCTGGAAGTGGACATTTGGAGCGCTTTCAAGCCTATGTTGGAAAAGGAAATATCTTCCCATAACAACTAGACAGAAGCATTCTCAGAAACTTATTTGAGATGTGTGTACTCAACTAAGAGAATTGAACCACCGTTTTGAAGGAGCAGTTTTGAAACACTCTTTTTCTGGAATCTGCAAGTGGATATTTGGCTAGCTTTGGGGATTTCGCTGGAAGCGGGAATACATATAAAAAGCACACAGCAGCGTTCTGAGAAACTGCTTTCTGATGTTTGCATTCAAGTCAAAAGTTGAACACTCCCTTTCATAGTGCAGTCCTGAAACACTCCTTTTGTAGTATCTGGAACTGGACTTTTGGAGCGCTTTCAGGGCTAAGGTGAAAAAGGAAATATCTTCCCATAAAAACTGGACAGAAGCATTCTCAGAAACTTGTTTATGCTGTATCTACTCAACTAACAAAGTTGAACCTTTCTTTTGATAGAGCAGTTTTGAAATGCTCTTTTTGTGGAATCTGCAAGTGGATATTTGGCTAGTTTTGAGGATTTCGTTGGAAGCGGGAATTCATACAAATTGCAGACTGCAGCGTTCTGAGAAACATCTTTGTGATGTTTGTATTCAGGACAGAGAGTTGAACATTCCCTATCATAGAGCAGGTTGGAATCACTCCTTTTGTAGTATCTGGAAGTGGACATTTGGAGCGCTTTCAGGCCTATGTTGAAAAAGGAAATATCTTCCCATAACAACTAGACACAAGCATTCTCAGAAACTTGTTTGTGATGTGTGCCCTCTACTGACAGAGTTGAACCTTTCTTTTCATAGAGCAGTTTTGAAACACTCTTTTTGTAGAATCTGCAAGAGGATATTTGCATAGCTTTGAGGATTTCGTGGGAAACGGGATTGTCTTCAGGTAAAATCTAGACAGAAGCATTCTCAGAAACTTCTTTGGGATGTTTGCATTCAAGTCACAGAGTAGAACATTCCCTTTGGTAGAGCAGGTTTGAAACACTCTTTTTGTAGTATCTGGAAGTGGACATTTGGAGCGCTTTCAGGCCTATGTTGGAAAGGGAAATATCTTCCCGTAACAACTAGGCAGAAGCATTCTCAGAAACTTATTTGAGATGTGTGTACTCAACTAAGAGAATTGAACCACCGTTTTGAAGGAGCAGTTTTGAAACACTCTTTTTCTGGAATCTGCAAGAGGATATTTGCCTAGCTTTGAGGATTTCGTTGGAAACGGGATTGTGTTCAGATCAAATCTAGACAGAAGCATTCTCAGAAACTTCTTTGGGATGTTTGCATTCAAGTCACAGAGTAGAACATTCCCTTTGGTAGAGCAGGTGTTAAACACTCTTTTTTTAGTATATGGAAGTGGACATTTGGAGCGCTTTCAGGCCTACGTTGGAAAAGGAAATATCTTCCCATAACAACTAGACAGAAGCATTCTCAGAAACTAGTTTCTGATGTGTGTCCTCAACTAACACAGTTGAACATTTCTTTAGACAGAACAGTTTTGAAACACTCTTTTTGTGGAATCTGCAAGTGGCTATTTGGCTAGATTTGAGGATTTCGTTGGAAACGGGATTACATATAAAAAGCAGACAGCAGCATTCTCAGAAAGTTCTTTGTGATGATTGCATTCAAGTCACAGAATTGAACATTCCCTTTCACAGAGCAGGTTTGAAACACTCTTTTTGTAGTGTGTGTAAGTGGACATTTGGAGCACTTTCCGGCCTAAGGTGAGAAAGGAAATATCTTCCCATAAAAACTAGACAGAAGCATTCTCAGAAACTTACTCGTGATGTGTGTCCTCAACTAAAGGAGTAGAACCTTTCTTTCGTAGAGAAGTTTTGAAACGCTCTTTTTGTGGAATCTGCAAGTGGATATTTGGCTAGTTTGGAGGATTTCGTTGGAAGCGGGAATTCATACAAATTGCAGACTGCAGCGTTCTGAGAAACATCTTTGTGATGTTTGTATTCAGGACACAGAGTTGAACATTCCCTATCATAGAGCAGGTTGGAATCACTCCTTTTGTAGTATCTGGAAGTGGACATTTGGAGCGCTTTCAGGCCTATGTTGGAAAAGGAAATATCTTCCCATAACAACTAGACAGAAGCATTCTCAGAAACTTATTTGAGATGTGTGTACTCAACTAAGAGAATTGAACCACCGTTTTGAAGGAGCAGTTTTGAAACACTCTTTTTCTGGAATCTGCAAGTGGATATTTGGCTAGCTTTGGGGATTTCGCTGGAAGCGGGAATACATATAAAAAGCACACAGCAGCGTTCTGAGAAACTGCTTTCTGATGTTTGCATTCAAGTCAAAAGTTGAACACTCCCTTTCATAGTGCAGTCCTGAAACACTCCTTTTGTAGTATCTGGAACTGGACTTTTGGAGCGCTTTCAGGGCTAAGGTGAAAAAGGAAATATCTTCCCATAAAAACTGGACAGAAGCATTCTCAGAAACTTGTTTATGCTGTATCTACTCAACTAACAAAGTTGAACCTTTCTTTTGATAGAGCAGTTTTGAAATGCTCTTTTTGTGGAATCTGCAAGTGGATATTTGGCTAGTTTGGAGGATTTCGTTGGAAGCGGGAATTCATACAAATTGCAGACTGCAGCGTTCTGAGAAACATCTTTGTGATGTTTGTATTCAGGACACAGAGTTGAACATTCCCTATCATAGAGCAGGTTGGAATCACTCCTTTTGTAGTATCTGGAAGTGGACATTTGGAGCGCTTTCAGGCCTGTGTTGGAAAAGGAAATATCTTCCCATAACAACTAGACAGAAACATTCTCAGAAACTTATTTGAGATGTGTGTACTCAACTAAGAGAATTGAACCACCGTTTTGAAGGAGCAGTTTTGAAACACTCTTTTTCTGCAATCTGCAAGTGGATATTTGGCTAGCTTTGGGGATTTCGCTGGAAGCGGGAATACATATAAAAAGCACACAGCAGCGTTCTGAGAAACTGCTTTCTGATGTTTGCATTCAAGTCAAAAGTTGAACACTCCCTTTCATAGAGCAGTCCTGAAACACTCCTTTTGTAGTATCTGGAACTGGACTTTTGGAGCGCTTTCAGGGCTAAGGTGAAAAAGGAAATATCTTCCCATAAAAACTGGACAGAATCATTCTCAGAAACTTGTTTATGCTGTATCTACTCAACTAACATAGTTGAACCTTTCTTTTGATAGAGCAGTTTTGAAATGCTCTTTTTGTGGAATCTGCAAGTGGATATTTGGCTAGTTTTGAGGATTTCGTTGGAAGCGGGAATTCATACAAATTGCAGACTGCAGCGTTCTGAGAAACATCTTTGTGATGTTTGTATTCAGGACACAGAGTTGAACATTCCCTATCATAGAGCAGGTTGGAATCACTCCTTTTGTAGTATCTGGAAGTGGACATTTGGAGCGCTTTCAGGCCTATTTTGGAAAGGGAAATATCTTCCCGTAACAACTATGCAGAAGCATTCTCAGAAACTTGTTTGTGATGTGTGCCCTCTACTGACAGAGTTGAACCTTTCTTTTCATAGAGCAGTTTTGAAACACTCTTTTTGTAGAATCTGCAAGAGGATATTTGCATAGCTTTGAGGATTTCGTGGGAAACGGGATTGTCTTCAGGTAAAATCTAGACAGAAGCATTCTCAGAAACTTCTTTGGGATGTTTGCATTCAAGTCACAGAGTAGAACATTCCCTTTGGTAGAGCAGGTTTGAAACACTCTTTTTGTAGTATCTGGAAGTGGACATTTGGAGCGCTTTCAGGCCTATGTTGGAAAGGGAAATATCTTCCCGTAACAACTAGGCAGAAGCATTCTCAGAAACTTATTTGAGATGTGTGTACTCAACTAAGAGAATTGAACCACCGTTTTGAAGGAGCAGTTTTGAAACACTCTTTTTCTGGAATCTGCAAGAGGATATTTGCCTAGCCTTGAGGATTTCGTTGGAAACGGGATTTTCTTCAGATCAAATCTAGACAGAAGCATTCTCAGAAACTTCTTTGGGATGTTTGCATTCAAGTCACAGAGTAGAACATTCCCTTTGGTAGAGCAGGTTTGAAACACTCTTTTTTTAGTATATGAAAGTGGACATTTGGAGCGCTTTCAGGCCTACGTTGGAAAAGGAAATATCTTCCCATAACAACTAGACAGAAAGCATTCTCAGAAACTAGTTTCTGATGTGTGTCCTCAACTAACACAGTTGAACATTTCTTTAGACAGAACAGTTTTGAAACACTCTTTTTGTGGAATCTGCAAGTGGCTATTTGGCTAGATTTGAGGATTTCGTTGGAAACGGGATTACATATAAAAAGCAGTCAGCAGCATTCTCAGAAAGTTCTTTGTGATGATTGCATTCAAGTCACAGAATTGAACATTCCCTTTCACAGAGCAGGTTTGAAACACTCTTTTTGTAGTGTGTGTAAGTGGACATTTGGAGCACTTACCGGCCTAAGGTGAAAAAGGAAATATCTTCCCATAAAAACTAGACAGAAGCATTCTCAGAAACTTACTCGTGATGTGTGTCCTCAACTAAAGGAGTAGAACCTTTCTTTTCATAGAGAAGTTTTGAAACGCTCTTTTTGTGGAATCTGCAAGTGGATATTTGGCTAGTTTGGAGGATTTCGTTGGAAGCGGGAATTCATACAAATTGCAGACTGCAGCGTTCTGAGAAACATCTTTGTGATGTTTGTATTCAGGACACAGAGTTGAACATTCCCTATCATAGAGCAGGTTTGAATCACTCCTTTTGTAGTATCTGGAAGTGGACATTTGGAGCGCTTTCAGGCCTATGTTGGGAAAGGAAATATCTTCCCATAACAACTAGACAGAAGCATTCTCAGAAACTTATTTGAGATGTGTGTACTCAACTAAGAGAATTGAACCACCGTTTTGAAGGAGCAGTTTTGAAACTCTCTTTTTCTGGAATCTGCAAGTGGATATTTGGCTAGCTTTGGGGATTTCGCTGGAAGCGGGAATACATATAAAAAGCACACAGCAGCGTTCTGAGAAACTGCTTTCTGATGTTTGCATTCAAGTCAAAAGTTGAACACTCCCTTTCATAGAGCAGTCTTGAAACACCCCTTTTGTAGTATCTGGAACTGGACTTTTGGAGCGATTTCAGGGCTAAGGTGAAAAAGGAAATATCTTCCCATAAAAACTGGACAGAAGCATTCTCAGAAACTTGGTTATGCTGTATCTACTCAACTAACAAAGTTGAACCTTTCTTTTGATAGAGCAGTTTTGAAATGGTCTTTTTGTGGAATCTGCAAGTGGATATTTGGCTAGTTTTGAGGATTTCGTTGGAAGCGGGAATTCATACAAATTGCAGACTGCAGCGTTCTGAGAAACATCTTTGTGATGTTTGTATTCAGGACACAGAGTTGAACATTCCCTATCATAGAGCAGGTTGGAATCACTCCTTTTGTAGTATCTGGAAGTGGACATTTGGAGCGCTTTCAGGCCTATTTTGGAAAGGGAAATATCTTCCCGTAACAACTATGCAGAAGCATTCTCAGAAACTTGTTTGTGATGTGTGCCCTCTACTGACAGAGTTGAACCTTTCTTTTCATAGAGCAGTTTTGAAACACTCTTTTTGTAGAATCTGCAAGAGGATATTTGCATAGCTTTGAGGATTTCGTGGGAAACGGGATTGTCTTCAGGTAAAATCTAGACAGAAGCATTCTCAGAAACTTCTTTGGGATGTTTGCATTCAAGTCACAGAGTAGAACATTCCCTTTGGTAGAGCAGGTTTGAAACACTCTTTTTGTAGTATCTGGAAGTGGACATTTGGAGCGCTTTCAGGCCCATGTTGGAAAGGGAAATATCTTCCCGTAACAACTAGGCAGAAGCATTCTCAGAAACTTATTTGAGATGTGTGTACTCAACTAAGAGAATTGAACCACCGTTTTGAAGGAGCAGTTTTGAAACACTCTTTTTCTGGAATCTGCAAGAGTATATTTGCCTAGCCTTGAGGATTTCGTTGGAAACGGGATTGTCTTCAGAGAAAATCTAGACAGAAGCATTCTCAGAAACTTCTTTGGGATGCTTGCATTCAAGTCACAGAGTAGAACATTCCCTTTGGTAGAGCAGGTTTGAAACACTCTTTTTGTAGTATCTGGAAGTGGACATTTGGAGCGCTTTCAGGCCTACGTTGGAAAAGGAAATATCTTCCCATAACAACTAGACAGAAGCATTCTCAGAAACTAGTTTCTGATGTGTGTCCTCAACTAACACAGTTGAACATTTCTTTAGACAGAACAGTTTTGAAACACTCTTTTTGTGGAATCTGCAAGTGGCTATTTGGCTAGATTTGAGGATTTCGTTGGAAACGGGATTACATATAAAAAGCAGTCAGCAGCATTCTCAGAAAGTTCTTTGTGATGATTGCATTCAAGTCACAGAATTGAACATTCCCTTTCACAGAGCAGGTTTGAAACACTCTTTTTGTAGTGTGTGTAAGTGGACATTTGGAGCACTTACCGGCCTAAGGTGAAAAAGGAAATAATCTTCCCATAAAAACTAGACAGAAGCATTCTCAGAAACTTACTCGTGATGTGTGTCCTCAACTAAAGGAGTAGAACCTTTCTTTTCATAGAGAAGTTTTGAAACGCTCTTTTTGTGGAATCTGCAAGTGGATATTTGGCTAGTTTTGAGGATTTCGTTGGAAGCGGGAATTCATACAAATTGCAGACTGCAGCGTTCTGAGAAACATCTTTGTGATGTTTGTATTCAGGACACAGAGTTGAACATTCCCTATCATAGAGCAGGTTTGAATCACTCCTTTTGTAGTATCTGGAAGTGGACATTTGGAGCGCTTTCAGGCCTATGTTGGAAAAGGAAATATCTTCCCATAACAACTAGACAGAAGCATTCTCAGAAACTTATTTGAGATGTGTGTACTCAACTAAGAGAATTGAACCACCGTTTTGAAGGAGCAGTTTTGAAACTCTCTTTTTCTGGAATCTGCAAGTGGATATTTGGCTAGCTTTGGGGATTTCGCTGGAAGCGGGAATACATATAAAAAGCACACAGCAGCGTTCTGAGAAACTGCTTTCTGATGTTTGCATTCAAGTCAAAAGTTGAACACTCCCTTTCATAGAGCAGTCTTGAAACACCCCTTTTGTAGTATCTGGAACTGGACTTTTGGAGCGATTTCAGGGCTAAGGTGAAAAAGGAAATATCTTCCCATAAAAACTGGACAGAAGCATTCTCAGAAACTTGGTTATGCTGTATCTACTCAACTAACAAAGTTGAACCTTTCTTTTGATAGAGCAGTTTTGAAATGGTCTTTTTGTGGAATCTGCAAGTTTATATTTGGCTAGTTTTGAGGATTTCGTTGGAAGCGGGAATTCATACAAATTGCAGACTGCAGCGTTCTGAGAAACATCTTTGTGATGTTTGTATTCAGGACACAGAGTTGAACATTCCCTATCATAGAGCAGGTTGGAATCACTCCTTTTGTAGTATCTGGAAGTGGACATTTGGAGCGCTTTCAGGCCTATTTTGGAAAGGGAAATATCTTCCCGTAACAACTATGCAGAAGCATTCTCAGAAACTTGTTTGTGATGTGTGCCCTCTACTGACAGAGTTGAACCTTTCTTTTCATAGAGCAGTTTTGAAACACTCTTTTTGTAGAATCTGCAAGAGGATATTTGCATAGCTTTGAGGATTTCGTGGGAAACGGGATTGTCTTCAGGTAAAATCTAGACAGAAGCATTCTCAGAAACTTCTTTGGGATGTTTGCATTCAAGTCACAGAGTAGAACATTCCCTTTGGTAGAGCAGGTTTGAAACACTCTTTTTGTAGTATCTGGAAGTGGACATTTGGAGCGCTTTTCAGGCCTATGTTGGAAAGGGAAATATCTTCCCGTAACAACTAGGCAGAAGCATTCTCAGAAACTTATTTGAGATGTGTGTACTCAACTAAGAGAATTGAACCACCGTTTTGAAGGAGCAGTTTTGAAACACTCTTTTTCTGGAATCTGCAAGAGGATATTTGCCTAGCCTTGAGGATTTCGTTGGAAACGGGATTGTCTTCAGATCAAATCTAGACAGAAGCATTCTCAGAAACTTTTTTGGGATGTTTGCATTCATGTCACACAGTAGAACATTCCCTTTGGTAGAGCAGGTTTGAAACACTCTTTTTTAAGTATATGGAAGTGGACATTTGGAGCGCTTTCAGGCCTACGTTGGAAAAGGAAATATCTTCCCATAACAACTAGACAGAAGCATTCTCAGAAACTAGTTTCTGATGTGTGTCCTCAACTAACACAGTTGAACATTTCTTTAGACAGAACAGTTTTGAAACACTCTTTTTGTGGAATCTGCAAGTGGCTATTTGGCTAGATTTGAGGATTTCGTTGGAAACGGGATTACATATAAAAAGCAGACAGCAAGCATTCTCAGAAAGTTCTTTGTGATGATTGCATTCAAGTCACAGAATTGAACATTCCCTTTCAAAGAGCAGGTTTGAAACACTCTTTATGTAGTGTGTGTAAGTGGACATTTGGAGCGCTTTCCGGCCTAAGGTGAAAAAGGAAATATCTTCCCATAAAAACTAGACAGAAGCATTCTCAGAAACTTACTCGTGATGTGTGTCCTCAACTAAAGGAGTAGAACCTTTCTATTCATAGAGAAGTTTTGAAATGCTCTTTTTGTGGAATCTCCAAGTGGATATTTGGCTAGTTTTGAGGATTTCGTTGGAAGCGGGAATTCATACAAATTGCAGACTGCAGCGTTCTGAGAAACATCTTTGTGATGTTTGTATTCAGGACACAGAGATGAACATTCCCTATGATAGAGCAGGTTGGAATCACTCCTTTTGTAGTATCTGGAAGTGGACATTTGGAGCGCTTTCAGGCCTATGTTGAAAAAGGAAATATCTTCCCATAACAACTAGACACAAGCATTCTCAGAAACTTATTTGAGATGTGTGTACTCAACTAAGAGAATTGAACCACCGTTTTGAAGGAGCAGTTTTGAAACTCTCTTTTTCTGGAATCTGCAAGTGGATATTTGGCTAGCTTTGGGGATTTCGCTGGAAGCGGGAATACATATAAAAAGCACACAGCAGCGTTCTGAGAAACTGCTTTCTGATGTTTGCATTCAAGTCAAAAGTTGAACACTCCCTTTCATAGAGCAGTCTTGAAACACCCCTTTTGTAGTATCTGGAACTGGACTTTTGGAGCGATTTCAGGGCTAAGGTGAAAAAGGAAATATCTTCCCATAAAAACTGGACAGAAGCATTCTCAGAAACTTGTTTATGCTGTATCTACTCAACTAACAAAGTTGAACCTTTCTTTTGATAGAGCAGTTTTGAAATGCTCTTTTTGTGGAATCTGCAAGTGGATATTTGGCTAGTTTTGAGGATTTTCGTTGGAAGCCGGAATTCATACAAATTGCAGACTGCAGCGTTCTGAGAAACATCTTTGTGATGTTTGTATTCAGGACAGAGAGTTGAACATTCCCTATCATAGAGCAGGTTGGAATCACTCCTTTTGTAGTATCTGGAAGTGGACATTTGGAGCGCTTTCAGGCCTATGTTGAAAAAGGAAATATCTTCCCATAACAACTAGACACAAGCATTCTCAGAAACTTGTTTGTGATGTGTGCCCTCTACTGACAGAGTTGAACCTTTCTTTTCATAGAGCAGTTTTGAAACACTCTTTTTGTAGAATCTGCAAGAGGATATTTGCATAGCTTTGAGGATTTCGTGGGAAACGGGATTGTCTTCAGGTAAAATCTAGACAGAAGCATTCTCAGAAACTTCTTTGGGAGGTTTGCATTCAAGTCACAGAGTAGAACATTCCCTTTCGTAGAGCAGGTTTGAAACACTCTTTTTGTAGTATCTGGAAGTGGACATTTGGAGCGCTTTCAGGCCTATGTTGGAAAGGGAAATATCTTCCCGTAACAACTAGGCAGAAGCATTCTCAGAAACTTATTTGAGATGTGTGTACTCAACTAAGAGAATTGAACCACCGTTTTGAAGGAGCAGTTTTGAAACACTCTTTTTCTGGAATCTGCAAGAGGATATTTGCCTAGCCTTGAGGATTTCGTTGGAAACGGGATTGTCTTCAGATCAAATCTAGACAGAAGCATTCTCAGAAACTTCTTTGGGATGTTTGCATTCAAGTCACAGAGTAGAACATTCCCTTTGGTAGAGCAGGTTTGAAACACTCTTTTTTTAGTATATGGAAGTGGACATTTGGAGCGCTTTCAGGCCTACGTTGGAAAAGGAAATATCTTCCCATAACAACTAGACAGAAGCATTCTCAGAAACTAGTTTCTGATGTGTGTCCTCAACTAACACAGTTGAACATTTCTTTAGACAGAACAGTTTTGAAACACTCTTTTTGTGGAATCTGCAAGTGGCTATTTGGCTAGATTTGAGGATTTCGTTGGAAACGGGATTACATATAAAAAGCAGACAGCAGCATTCTCAGAAAGTTCTTTGTGATGGTTGCATTCAAGTCACAGAATTGAACATTCCCTTTCACAGAGCAGGTTTGAAACACTCTTTTTGTAGTGTGTGTAAGTGGACATTTGGAGCACTTTCCGGCCTAAGGTGAAAAAGGAAATATCTTCCCATAAAAACTAGACAGAAGCATTCTCAGAAACTTACTCGTGATGTGTGTCCTCAACTAAAGGAGTAGAACCTTTCTTTTCATAGAGAAGTTTTGAAACGCTCTTTTTGTGGAATCTGCAAGTGGATATTTGGCTAGTTTGGAGGATTTCGTTGGAAGCGGGAATTCATACAAATTGCAGACTGCAGCGTTCTGAGAAACATCTTTGTGATGTTTGTATTCAGGACACAGAGTTGAACATTCCCTATCATAGAGCAGGTTGGAATCACTCCTTTTGTAGTATCTGGAAGTGGACATTTGGAGCGCTTTCAGGCCTATGTTGGAAAAGGAAATATCTTCCCATAACAACTAGACAGAAGCATTCTCAGAAACTTATTTGAGATGTGTGTACTCAACTAAGAGAATTGAACCACCGTTTTGAAGGAGCAGTTTTGAAACACTCTTTTTCTGGAATCTGCAAGTGGATATTTGGCTAGCTTTGGGGATTTCGCTGGAAGCGGGAATACATATAAAAAGCACACAGCAGCGTTCTGAGAAACTGCTTTCTGATGTTTGCATTCAAGTCAAAAGTTGAACACTCCCTTTCATAGAGCAGTCCTGAAACACTCCTTTTGTAGTATCTGGAACTGGACTTTTGGAGCGCTTTCAGGGCTAAGGTGAAAAAGGAAATATCTTCCCATAAAAACTGGACAGAAGCATTCTCAGAAACTTGTTTATGCTGTATCTACTCAACTAACAAAGTTGAACCTTTCTTTTGATAGAGCAGTTTTGAAATGCTCTTTTTGTGGAATCTGCAAGTGGATATTTGGCTAGTTTTGAGGATTTCGTTGGAAGCGGGAATTCATACAAATTGCAGACTGCAGCGTTCTGAGAAACATCTTTGTGATGTTTGTATTCAGGACACAGAGTTGAACATTCCCTATCATAGAGCAGGTTGGAATCACTCCTTTTGTAGTATCTGGAAGTGGACATTTGGAGCGCTTTCAGGCCTATTTTGGAAAGGGAAATATCTTCCCGTAACAACTATGCAGAAGCATTCTCAGAAACTTGTTTGTGATGTGTGCCCTCTACTGACAGAGTTGAACCTTTCTTTTCATAGAGCAGTTTTGAAACACTCTTTTTGTAGAATCTGCAAGAGGATATTTGCATAGCTTTGAGGATTTCGTGGGAAACGGGATTGTCTTCAGGTAAAATCTAGACAGAAGCATTCTCAGAAACTTCTTTGGGATGTTTGCATTCAAGTCACAGAGTAGAACATTCCCTTTGGTAGAGCAGGTTTGAAACACTCTTTTTGTAGTATCTGGAAGTGGACATTTGGAGCGCTTTCAGGCCCATGTTGGAAAGGGAAATATCTTCCCGTAACAACTAGGCAGAAGCATTCTCAGAAACTTATTTGAGATGTGTGTACTCAACTAAGAGAATTGAACCACCGTTTTGAAGGAGCAGTTTTGAAACACTCTTTTTCTGGAATCTGCAAGAGTATATTTGCCTAGCCTTGAGGATTTCGTTGGAAACGGGATTGTCTTCAGAGAAAATCTAGACAGAAGCATTCTCAGAAACTTCTTTGGGATGTTTGCATTCAAGTCACAGAGTAGAACATTCCCTTTGGTAGAGCAGGTTTGAAACACTCTTTTTTTAGTATCTGGAAGTGGACATTTGGAGCGCTTTCAGGCCTACGTTGGAAAAGGAAATATCTTCCCATAACAACTAGACAGAAGCATTCTCAGAAACTAGTTTCTGATGTGTGTCCTCAACTAACACAGTTGAACATTTCTTTAGACAGAACAGTTTTGAAACACTCTTTTTGTGGAATCTGCAAGTGGCTATTTGGCTGGATTTGAGGATTTCGTTGGAAACGGGATTACATATAAAAAGCAGTCAGCAGCATTCTCAGAAAGTTCTTTGTGATGATTGCATTCAAGTCACAGAATTGAACATTCCCTTTCACAGAGCAGGTTTGAAACACTCTTTTTGTAGTGTGTGTAAGTGGACATTTGGAGCACTTACCGGCCTAAGGTGAAAAAGGAAATATCTTCCCATAAAAACTAGACAGAAGCATTCTCAGAAACTTACTCGTGATGTGTGTCCTCAACTAAAGGAGTAGAACCTTTCTTTTCATAGAGAAGTTTTGAAACGCTCTTTTTGTGGAATCTGCAAGTGGATATTTGGCTAGTTTTGAGGATTTCGTTGGAAGCGGGAATTCATACAAATTGCAGACTGCAGCGTTCTGAGAAACATCTTTGTGATGTTTGTATTCAGGACACAGAGTTGAACATTCCCTATCATAGAGCAGGTTGGAATCACTCCTTTTGTAGTATCTGGAAGTGGACATTTGGAGCGCTTTCAGGCCTATGTTGGAAAAGGAAATATCTTCCCATAACAACTAGACAGAAGCATTCTCAGAAACTTATTTGAGATGTGTGTACTCAACTAAGAGAATTGAACCACCGTTTTGAAGGAGCAGTTTTGAAACTCTCTTTTTCTGGAATCTGCAAGTGGATATTTGGCTAGCTTTGGGGATTTCGCTGGAAGCGGGAATACATATAAAAAGCACACAGCAGCGTTCTGAGAAACTGCTTTCTGATGTTTGCATTCAAGTCAAAAGTTGAACACTCCCTTTCATAGAGCAGTCTTGAAACACCCCTTTTGTAGTATCTGGAACTGTTCTTTTGGAGCGATTTGAGGGCTAAGGTGAAAAAGGAAATATCTTCCCATAAAAACTGGACAGAAGCATTCTCAGAAACTTGGTTATGCTGTATCTACTCAACTAACAAAGTTGAACCTTTCTTTTGATAGAGCAGTTTTGAAATGGTCTTTTTGTGGAATCTGCAAGTGGATATTTGGCTAGTTTTGAGGATTTCTTTGGAAGCGGGAATTCATACAAATTGCAGACTGCAGCGTTCTGAGAAACATCTTTGTGATGTTTGTATTCAGGACACAGAGTTGAACATTCCCTATCATAGAGCAGGTTGGAATCACTCCTTTTGTAGTATCTGGAAGTGGACATTTGGAGCGCTTTCAGGCCTATGTTGAAAAAGGAAATATTTTCCCATAACAACTAGACACAAGCATTCTCAGAAACTTGTTTGTGATGTGTGCCCTCTACTGACAGAGTTGAACCTTTCTTTTCATAGAGCAGTTTTGAAACACTCTTTTTGTAGAATCTGCAAGAGGATATTTGCATAGCTTTGAGGATTTCGTGGGAAACGGGATTGTCTTCAGGTAAAATCTAGACAGAAGCATTCTCAGAAACTTCTTTGGGATGTTTGCATTCAAGTCACAGAGTAGAACATTCCCTTTGGTAGAGCAGGTTTGAAACACTCTTTTTGTAGTATCTGGAAGTGGACATTTGGAGCGCTTTCAGGCCCATGTTGGAAAGGGAAATATCTTCCCGTAACAACTAGGCAGAAGCATTCTCAGAAACTTATTTGAGATGTGTGTACTCAACTAAGAGAATTGAACCACCGTTTTGAAGGAGCAGTTTTGAAACACTCTTTTTCTGGAATCTGCAAGAGTATATTTGCCTAGCCTTGAGGATTTCGTTGGAAACGGGATTGTCTTCAGAGAAAATCTAGACAGAAGCATTCTCAGAAACTTCTTTGGGATGTTTGCATTCAAGTCACAGAGTAGAACATTCCCTTTGGTAGAGCAGGTTTGAAACACTCTTTTTTTAGTATATGGAAGTGGACATTTGGAGCGCTTTCAGGCCTACGTTGGAAAAGGAAATATCTTCCCATAACAACTAGACAGAAGCATTCTCAGAAACTAGTTTCTGATGTGTGTCCTCAACTAACACAGTTGAACATTTCTTTAGACAGAACAGTTTTGAAACACTCTTTTTGTGGAATCTGCAAGTGGCTATTTGGCTAGATTTGAGGATTTCGTTGGAAACGGGATTACATATAAAAAGCAGTCAGCAGCATTCTCAGAAAGTTCTTTGTGATGATTGCATTCAAGTCACAGAATTGAACATTCCCTTTCACAGAGCAGGTTTGAAACACTCTTTTTGTAGTGTGTGTAAGTGGACATTTGGAGCGCTTTCCGGCCTAAGGTGAAAAAGGAAATATCTTCCCATAGAAACTAGAGAGAAGCATTCTCAGAAACTTACTCGTGATGTGTGTCCTCAACTAAAGGAGTAGAACCTTTCTATTCATAGAGAAGTTTTGAAACGCTCTTTTTGTGGAATCTGCAAGTGGATATTTGGCTAGTTTTGAGGATTTCGTTGGAAACGGGAATTCATACAAATTGCAGACTGCAGCGTTCTGAGAAACATATTTGTGATGTTTGTATTCAGGACACAGAGATGAACATTCCCTATCATAGAGCAGGGTGGAATCACTCCTTTTGTAGTATCTGGAAGTGGACATTTGGAGCGCTTTCAGGCCTATGTTGAAAAAGGAAATATCTTCCCATAACAACTAGACACAAGCATTCTCAGAAACTTGTTTGTGATGTGTGCCCTCTACTGACAGAGTTGAACCTTTCTTTTCATAGAGCAGTTTTGAAACACTCTTTTTGTAGAATCTGCAAGAGGATATTTGCATAGCTTTGAGGATTTCGTGGGAAACGGGATTGCCTTCAGGTAAAATCTAGACAGAAGCATTCTCAGAAACTTCTTTGGGATGTTTGCATTCAAGTCACAGAGTAGAACATTCCCTTTGGTAGAGCAGGTTTGAAACCCTCCTTTTGTAGTATCTGGAAGTGGACATTTGGAGCGCTTTCAGGCCCATGTTGGAAAGGGAAATATCTTCCCGTAACAACTAGGCAGAAGCATTCTCAGAAACTTATTTGAGATGTGTGTACTCAACTAAGAGAATTGAACCACCGTTTTGAAGGAGCAGTTTTGAAACACTCTTTTTCTGGAATCTGTAAGAGTATATTTGCCTAGCCTTGAGGATTTCGTTGGAAACGGGATTGTCTTCAGATAAAATCTAGACAGAAGCATTCTCAGAAACTTCTTTGGGATGTTTGCATTCAAGTCACAGAGTAGAACATTCCCTTTGGTAGAGCAGTTTTGAAACACTCTTTTTTTAGTATATGGAAGTGGACATTTGGAGCGCTTTCAGGCCTACGTTGGAAAAGGAAATATCTTCCCATAACAACTAGACAGAAGCATTCTCAGAAACTAGTTTCTGATGTGTGTCCTCAACTAACACAGTTGAACTTTTCTTTAGACAGAACAGTTTTGAAACACTCTTTTTGTGGAATCTGCAAGTGGATATTTGGCTAGATTTGAGGATTTCGTTGGAAACGGGATTACATATAAAAAGCAGACTGTAGCATTCTCAGAAAGTTCTTTGTGATGATTGCATTCAAGTCACAGAATTGAACATTCCCTTTCACAGAGCAGGTTTGAAACACTCTTTTTGTAGTGTGTGTAAGTGGACATTTGGAGCGCTTTCCGGCCTAAGGTGAAAAAGGAAATATCTTCCCATAAAAACTGGACAGAAGCATTCTCAGAAACTTGTTTATGCTGTATCTACTCAACTAACAAAGTTGAACCTTTCTTTTGATAGAGCAGTTTTGAAATGGTCTTTTTGTGGAATCTGCAAGTGGATATTTGGCTAGTTTTGAGGATTTCGTTGGAAGCGGGAATTCATACAAATTGCAGACTGCAGCGTTCTGAGAAACATCTTTGTGATGTTTGTATTCAGGACACAGAGATGAACATTCCCTATCATAGAGCAGGTTGGAATCACTCCTTTTGTAATATCTGGAAGTGGACATTTGGAGCGCTTTCAGGCCTATGTTGAAAAAGGAAATATCTTCCCATAACAACTAGACACAAGCATTCTCAGAAACTTGTTTGTGATGTGTGCCCTCTACTGACAGAGTTGAACCTTTCTTTTCATAGAGCAGTTTTGAAACACTCTTTTTGTAGAATCTGCAAGAGGATATTTGCATAGCTTTGAGGATTTCGTGGGAAACGGGATTGTCTTCAGGTAAAATCTAGACAGAAGCATTCTCAGAAACTTCTTTAGGATGTTTGCATTCAAGTCACAGAGTAGAACATTCCCTTTGGTAGAGCAGGTTTGAAACACTCTTTTTGTAGTATCTGGAAGTGGACATTTGGAGCGCTTTCAGGCCTATGTTGGAAAGGGAAATATCTTCCGGTAACAACTAGGCAGAAGCATTCTCAGAAACTTATTTGAGATGTGTGTACTCAACTAAGAGAATTGAACCACCGTTTTGAAGGAGCAGTTTTGAAACACTCTTTTTCTGGAATCTGCAAGAGGATATTTGCCTAGCTTTGAGGATTTCGTTGGAAACGGGATTGTGTTCAGATCAAATCTAGACAGAAGCATTCTCAGAAACTTCTTTGGGATGTTTGCATTCAAGTCACAGAGTAGAACATTCCCTTTGGTAGAGCAGGTTTGAAACACCCTTTTTTTAGTATATGGAAGTGGACATTTGGAGCGCTTTCAGGCCTACGTTGGAAAAGGAAATATCTTCCCATAACAATTAGACAGAAGCATTCTCAGAAACTAGTTTCTGATGTGTGTCCTCAACTAACACAGTTGAACATTTCTTTAGACAGAACAGTTTTGAAACTCTCTTTTTGTGGAATCTGCAAGTGGCTATTTGGCTAGATTTGAGGATTTCGTTGGAAACGGGATTACATATAAAAAGCAGACAGCAGCATTCTCAGAAAGTTCTTTGTGATGATTGCATTCAAGTCACAGAATTGAACATTCCCTTTCACAGAGCAGGTTTGAAACACTCTTTTTGTAGTGTGTGTAAGTGGACATTTGGAGCACTTTCCGGCCTAAGGTGAGAAAGGAAATATCTTCCCATAAAAACTAGACAGAAGCATTCTCAGAAACTTACTCGTGATGTGTGTCCTCAACTAAAGGAGTAGAACCTTTCTTTCATAGAGAAGTTTTGAAACGCTCTTTTTGTGGAATCTGCAAGTGGATATTTGGCTAGTTTGGAGGATTTCGTTGGAAGCGGGAATTCATACAAATTGCAGACTGCAGCGTTCTGAGAAACATCTTTGAGATGTTTGTATTCAGGACACAGAGTTGAACATTCCCTATCATAGAGCAGGTTGGAATCACTCCTTTTGTAGTATCTGGAAGTGGACATTTGGAGCGCTTTCAGGCCTACGTTGGAAAAGGAAATATCTTCCCATAACAACTAGACAGAAGCATTCTCAGAAACTTATTTGAGATGTGTGTACTCAACTAAGAGAATTGAACCACCGTTTTGAAGGAGCAGTTTTGAAACACTCTTTTTCTGGAATCTGCAAGTGGATATTTGGCTAGCTTTGGGGATTTCGCTGGAAGCGGGAATACATATAAAAAGCACACAGCAGCGTTCTGAGAAACTGCTTTCTGATGTTTGCATTCAAGTCAAAAGTTGAACACTCCCTTTCATAGAGCAGTCCTGAAACACTCCTTTTGTAGTATCTGGAACTGGACTTTTGGAGCGCTTTCAGGGCTAAGGTGAAAAAGGAAATATCTTCCCATAAAAACTGGACAGAAGCATTCTCAGAAACTTGTTTATGCTGTATCTACTCAACTAACAAAGTTGAACCTTTCTTTTGATAGAGCAGTTTTGAAATGGTCTTTTTGTGGAATCTGCAAGTGGATATTTGGCTAGTTTTGAGGATTTCGTTGGAAGCGGGAATTCATACAAATTGCAGACTGCAGCGTTCTGAGAAACATCTTTGTGATGTTTGTATTCAGGACACAGAGTTGAACATTCCCTATCATAGAGCAGGTTGGAATCACTCCTTTTGTAGTATCTGGAAGTGGACATTTGGAGCGCTTTCAGGCCTATTTTGGAAAGGGAAATATCTTCCCGTAACAACTATGCAGAAGCATTCTCAGAAACTTGTTTGTGATGTGTGCCCTCTACTGACAGAGTTGAACCTTTCTTTTCATAGAGCAGTTTTGAAACACTCTTTTTGTAGAATCTGCAAGAGGATATTTGCATAGCTTGAGGATTTCGTGGGAAACGGGATTGTCTTCAGGTAAAATCTAGACAGAAGCATTCTCAGAAACTTCTTTGGGATGTTTGCATTCAAGTCACAGAGCAGAACATTCCCTTTGGTAGAGCAGGTTTGAATCACTCCTTTTGTAGTATCTGGAAGTGGACATTTGGAGCGCTTTCAGGCCCATGTTGGAAAGGGAAATATCTTCCCGTAACAACCAGGCAGAAGCATTCTCAGAAACTTATTTGAGATGTGTGTACTCAACTAAGAGAATTGAACCACCGTTTTGAAGGAGCAGTTTTGAAACACTCTTTTTCTGGAATCTGCAAGAGTATATTTTCCTAGCCTTGAGGATTTCGTTGGAAACGGGATTGTCTTCAGATAAAATCTAGACAGAAGCATTCTCAGAAACTTCTTTGGGATGTTTGCATTCAAGTCACAGAGTAGAACATTCCCTTTGGTAGAGCAGGTTTGAAACACTCTTTTTTTAGTATATGGAAGTGGACATTTGGAGCGCTTTCAGGCCTACGTTGGAAAAGGAAATATCTTCCCATAACAACTAGACAGAAGCATTCTCAGAAACTAGTTTCTGATGTGTGTCCTCAACTAACACAGTTGTACATTTCTTTAGACAGAACAGTTTTGAAACACTCTTTTTGTGGAATCTGCAAGTGGATATTGGGCTAGATTTGAGGATTTCGTTGGAAACGGGATTACATATAAAAAGCAGTCAGCAGCATTCTCAGAAAGTTCTTTGTGATGATTGCATTCAAGTCACAGAATTGAACATTCCCTTTCACAGAGCAGGTTTGAAACACTCTTTTTGTAGTGTGTGTAAGTGGACATTTGGAGCGCTTTCCGGCCTAAGGTGAAAAAGGACATATCTTACCATAAAAACCAGACAGAAGCATTCTCAGAAACTTACTCGTGATGTGTGTCCTCAACTAAAGGAGTAGAACCTTTCTTTTCATAGAGAAGTTTTGAAACGCTCTTTTTGTGGAATCTGCAAGTGGATATTTGGCTAGTTTGGAGGATTTCGTTGGAAGCGGGAATTCATACAAATTGCAGACTGCAGCGTTCTGAGAAACATCTTTGTGATGTTTGTATTCAGGACACAGAGTTGAACATTCCCTATCATAGAGCAGGTTTGAATCACTCCTTTTGTAGTATCTGGAAGTGGACATTTGGAGCGCTTTCAGGCCTATGTTGGAAAAGGAAATATCTTCCCATAACAACTAGACAGAAGCATTCTCAGAAACTTATTTGAGATGTGTGTACTCAACTAAGAGAATTGAACCACCGTTTTGAAGGAGCAGTTTTGAAACACTCTTTTTCTGGAATCTGCAAGTGGATATTTGGCTAGCTTTGGGGATTTCGCTGGAGGCGGGAATACATATAAAAAGCACACAGCAGCGTTCTGAGAAACTGCTTTCTGATGTTTGCATTCAAGTCAAAAGTTGAACACTCCCTTTCATAGAGCAGTCCTGAAACACTCCTTTTGTAGTATCTGGAACTGGACTTTTGGAGCGCTTTCAGGGCTAAGGTGAAAAAGGAAATATCTTCCCATAAAAACTGGACAGAAGCATTCTCAGAAACTTGTTTATGCTGTATCTACTCAACTAACAAAGTTGAACCTTTCTTTTGATAGAGCAGTTTTGAAATGCTCTTTCTGTGGAATCTGCAAGTGGATATTTGGCTAGTTTTGAGGATTTCGTTGGAAGCGGGAATTCATACAAATTGCAGACTGCAGCGTTCTGAGAAACATCTTTGTGATGTTTGTATTCAGGACAGAGAGTTGAACATTCCCTATCATAGAGCAGGTTGGAATCACTCCTTTTGTAGTATCTGGAAGTGGACATTTGGAGCGCTTTCAGGCCTATGTTGAAAAAGGAAATATCTTCCCATAACAACTAGACACAAGCATTCTCAGAAACTTGTTTGTGATGTGTGCCCTCTACTGACAGAGTTGAACCTTTCTTTTCATAGAGCAGTTTTGAAACACTCTTTTTGTAGAATCTGCAAGAGGATATTTGCATAGCTTTGAGGATTTCGTGGGAAACGGGATTGTCTTCAGGTAAAATCTAGACAGAAGCATTCTCAGAAACTTCTTTGGGATGTTTGCATTCAAGTCACAGAGTAGAACATTCCCTTTAGTAGAGCAGGTTTGAAACACTCTTTTTGTAGTATCTGGAAGTGGACATTTGGAGCGCTTTCAGGCCTATGTTGGAAAGGGAAATATCTTCCGGTAACAACTAGGCAGAAGCATTCTCAGAAACTTATTTGAGATGTGTGTACTCAACTAAGAGAATTGAACCACCGTTTTGAAGGAGCAGTTTTGAAACACTCTTTTTCTGGAATCTGCAAGAGGATATTTGCCTAGCTTTGAGGATTTCGTTGGAAACGGGATTGTGTTCAGATCAAATCTAGACAGAAGCATTCTCAGAAACTTCTTTGGGATGTTTGCATTCAAGTCACAGAGTAGAACATTCCCTTTGGTAGAGCAGGTGTGAAACACTCTTTTTTTAGTATATGGAAGTGGACATTTGGAGCGCTTTCAGGCCTACTTTGGAAAACGAAATATCTTCCCATAACAACTAGACAGAAGCATTCTCAGAAACTAGTTTCTGATGTGTGTCCTCAACTAACACAGTTGAACATTTCTTTAGACAGAACAGTTTTGAAACACTCTTTTTGTGGAATCTGCAAGTGGCTATTTGGCTAGATTTGAGGATTTCGTTGGAAACGGGATTACATATAAAAAGCAGTCAGCAGCATTCTCAGAAACTTCTTTGTGATGATTGCATTCAAGTCACAGTATTGAACATTCCCTTTCACAGAGCAGGTTTGAAACACTCTTTGTATAGTGTGTGTAAGTGGACATTTGGAGCACTTTCCGGCCTAAGGTGAAAAAGGAAATATCTTCCCATAAAAACTAGACAGAAGCATTCTCAGAAACTTACTCGTGATGTGTGTCCTCAACTAAAGGAGTAGAACCTTTCTTTTCATAGAGAAGTTTTGAAACGCTCTTTTTGTGGAATCTGCAAGTGGATATTTGGCTAGTTTTGAGGATTTCGTTGGAAGCGGGAATTCATACAAATTGCAGACTGCAGCGTTCTGAGAAACATCTTTGTGATGTTTGTATTCAGGACACAGAGTTGAACATTCCCTATCATAGAGCAGGTTTGAATCACTCCTTTCGTAGTATCTGGAAGTGGACATTTGGAGTGCTTTCAGGCCTATGTTGGAAAAGGAAATATCTTCCCATAACAACTAGACAGAAGCATTCTCAGAAACTTATTTGAGATGTGTGTACTCAACTAAGAGAATTGAACCACCGTTTTGAAGGAGCAGTTTTGAAACACTCTTTTTCTGGAATCTGCAAGTGGATATTTGGCTAGCTTTGGGGATTTCGCTGGAAGCGGGAATACATATAAAAAGCACACAGCAGCGTTCTGAGAAACTGCTTTCTGATGTTTGCATTCAAGTCAAAAGTTGAACACTCCCTTTCATAGAGCAGTCTTGAAACACCCCTTTTGTAGTATCTGGAACTGGACATTTGGAGCGCTTTCAGGGCTAAGGTGAAAAAGGAAATATCTTCCCATAAAAACTGGACAGAAGCATTCTCAGAAACTTGTTTATGCTGTATCTACTCAACTAACAAAGTTGAACCTTTCTTTTGATAGAGCAGTTTTGAAATGCTCTTTTTGTGGAATCTGCAAGTGGATATTTGGCTAGTTTTGAGGATTTCGTTGGAAGCGGGAATTCATACAAATTGCAGACTGCAGCGTTCTGAGAAACATCTTTGTGATGTTTGTATTCAGGACAGAGAGTTGAACATTCCCTATCATAGAGCAGGTTGGAATCACTCCTTTTGTAGTATCTGGAAGTGGACATTTGGAGCGCTTTCAGGCCTATGTTGGAAAGGGAAATATCTTCCCGTAACAACTAGGCAGAAGCATTCTCAGAAACTTATTTGAGATGTGTGTACTCAACTAAGAGAATTGAACCACCGTTTTGAAGGAGCAGTTTTGAAACACTCTTTTTCTGTATTCTGCAAGTATATATTTGCCTAGCCTTGAGGATTTCGTTGGATACGGGATTGTCTTCAGATAAATTCTAGACAGAAGCATTCTCAGAAACTTCTTTCGGATGTTTCTATTCAAGTCACAGAGTAGAACATTCTCTTTGGAAGAGCAGGTTTGAAACACTCTTTTTTTAGTATATGGAAGTGGACATTTGGAGCGCTTTCAGGCCTATGTTGGAAAAGGAAATATCTTCCCATAACAACTAGACAGAATCATTCTCAGAAACTAGTTTCTGATGTGTGTCCTCAACTAACACAGTTGAACATTTCTTTAGACAGAACAGTTTTGAAACACTCTTTTTGTGGAATCTGCAAGTGGCTATTTGGCTAGATTTAAGGATTTCGTTGGAAACGGGATTACATATAAAAAGCACTCAGCAGCATTCTCAGAAAGTTCTTTGTGATGATTGCATTCAAGTCACAGAATTGAACATTCCCTTTCACAGAGCAGGTTTGAAACACTCTTTTTGTAGTGTGTGTAAGTGGACATTTGGAGCACTTACCGGCCTAAGGTGAAAAAGGAAGTATCTTCCCATAAAAACTAGACAGAAGCATTCTCAGAAACTTACTCGTGATGTGTGTCCTCAACTAAAGGAGTAGAACCTTTCTTTTCATAGAGAAGTTTTGAAACGCTCTTTTTGTGGAATCTGCAAGTCGATATTTGGCTAGTTTTGAGGATTTCGTTGGAAGCGGGAATTCATACAAATTGCAGACTGCAGCGTTCTGAGAAACATCTTTGTGATGTTTGTATTCAGGACACAGAGTTGAACATTCCCTATCATAGAGCAGGTTTGAATCACTCCTTTTGTAGTATCTGGAAGTGGACATTTGGAGCGCTTTCAGGCCTATGTTGGAAAAGGAAATATCTTCCCATAACAACTAGACAGAAGCATTCTCAGAAACTTATTTGAGATGTGTGTACTCAACTAAGAGAATTGAACCACCGTTTTCAAGGAGCAGTTTTGAAACACTCTTTCTCTGGAATCTGCAAGAGGATATTTGCCTAGACTTGAGGATTTCGTTGGAAACGGGATTGTCTTCAGATCAAATCTAGACAGAAGCATTCTCAAAAACTTCTTTGGGATGTTTGCATTCAAGTCACAGAGTAGAACATTCCCTTTGGTAGAGCAGGTTTGAAACACTCTTTTTTTAGTATATGGAAGTGGACATTTGGAGTGCTTTCAGGCCTACGTTGGAAAAGGAAATATCTTCCCATAACAACTAGACAGAAGCATTCTCAGAAACTAGTTTCTGATGTGTGTCCTCAACTAACACAGTTGAACATTTCTTTAGACAGAACAGTTTTGAAACACTCTTTTTGTGGAATCTGCAAGTGGCTATTTGGCTAGATTTGAGGATTTCGTTGGAAACGGGATTACATATAAAAAGCAGTCAGCAGCATTCTCAGAAAGTTCTTTGTGATGATTGCATTCAAGTCACAGAATTGAACATTCCCTTTCACAGAGCAGGTTTGAAACACTCTTTTTGTAGTGTGTGTAAGTGGACATTTGGAGCACTTACCGGCCTAAGGTGAAAAAGGAAATATCTTCCCATAAAAACTAGACAGAAGCATTCTCAGAAACTTACTCGTGATGTGTGTCCTCAACTAAAGGAGTAGAACCTTTCTTTTCATAGAGAAGTTTTGAAACGCTCTTTTTGTGGAATCTGCAAGTGGATATTTGGCTAGTTTGGAGGATTTCGTTGGAAGCGGGAATTCATACAAATTGCAGACTGCAGCGTTCTGAGAAACATCTTTGTGATGTTTGTATTCAGGACACAGAGTTGAACGTTCCCTATCATAGAGCAGGTTTGAATCACTCCTTTTGTAGTATCTGGAAGTGGACATTTGGAGCGCTTTCCGGCCTCAGGTGAAAAAGGAAATATCTTCCCATAAAAACTAGACAGAAGCATTCTCAGAAACTTATTTGAGATGTGTGTACTCAACTAAGAGAATTGAACCACCGTTTTGAAGGAGCAGTTTTGAAACACTCTTTTTCTGGAATCTGCAAGTGGATATTTGGCTAGCTTTGGGGATTTCGCTGGAAGCGGGAATACATATAAAAAGCACACAGCAGCGTTCTGAGAAACTGCTTTCTGATGTTTGCATTCAAGTCAAAAGTTGAACACTCCCTTTCATAGAGCAGTCTTCAAACACCCCTTTTGTAGTATCTGGAACTGGACATTTGGAGCGCTTTCAGGGCTAAGGTGAAAAAGGAAATACCTTCCCATAAAAACTGGACAGAAGCATTCTCAGAAACTTGTTTATGCTGTATCTACTCAACTAACAAAGTTGAACCTTTCTTTTGATAGAGCAGTTTTGAAATGCTCTTTTTGTGGAATCTGCAAGTGGATATTTGGCTAGGTTTGAGGATTTCGTTGGAAGCGGGAATTCATACAAATTGCAGACTGCAGCGTTCTGAGAAACATCTTTGTGATGTTTGTATTCAGGACACAGAGTTGAACATTCCCTATCATAGAGCAGGTTGGAATCACTCCTTGTGTAGTATCTGGAAGTGGACATTTGGAGCGCTTTCAGGCCTATGTTGAAAAAGGAAATATCTTCCCATAACAACTAGGCAGAAGCATTCCCAGAAACTTATTTGAGATGTGTGTACTCAACTAAGAGAATTGAACCACCGTTTTGAAGGAGCAGTTTTGAAACTCTCTTTTTCTGGAATCTGCAAGTGGATATTTGGCTAGCTTTGGGGATTTCGCTGGAAGCGGGAATACATATAAAAAGCACACAGCAGCGTTCTGAGAAACTGCTTTCTGATGTTTGCATTCAAGTCAAAAGTTGAACACTCCCTTTCATAGAGCAGTCTTGAAACACCCCTTTTGTAGTATCTGGAACTGAACATTTGGAGCGCTTTCAGGGCTAAGGTGAAAAAGGAAATATCGTCCCATAAAAACTGGACAGAAGCATTCTCAGAAACTTGTTTATGCTGTATCTACTCAACTAACAAAGTTGAACCTTTCTTTTGATAGAGCAGTTTTGAAATGCTCTTTTTGTGGAATCTGCAAGTGGATATTTGGCTAGTTTTGAGGATTTCGTTGGAAGCGGGAATTCATACAAATTGCAGACTGCAGCGTTCTGAGAAACATCTTTGTGATGTTTGTATTCAGGACAGAGAGTTGAACATTCCCTATCATAGAGCAGGTTGGAATCACTCCTTTTGTAGTATCTGGAAGTGGACATTTGGAGCGCTTTCAGGCCTATGTTGAAAAAGGAAATATCTTCCCATAACAACTAGACACAAGCATTCTCAGAAACTTGTTTGTGATGTGTGCCCTCTACTGACAGAGTTGAACCTTTCTTTTCATAGAGCAGTTTTGAAACACTCTTTTTGTAGAATCTGCAAGAGGATATTTGCATAGCTTTGAGGATTTCGTGGGAAACGGGATTGTCTTCAGGTAAAATCTAGACAGAAGCATTCTCAGAAACTTCTTTGGGATGTTTGCATTCAAGTCACAGAGTAGAACATTCCCTTTGGTAGAGCAGGTTTGAAACACTCTTTTTGTAGTATCTGGAAGTGGACATTTGGAGCGCTTTCAGGCCTATGTTGGAAAGGGAAATATCTTCCCGTAACAACTAGGCAGAAGCATTCTCAGAAACTTATTTGAGATGTGTGTACTCAACTAAGAGAATTGAACCACCGTTTTGAAGGAGCAGTTTTGAAACACTCTTTTTCTGGAATCTGCAAGAGGATATTTGCCTAGCCTTGAGGATTTCGTTGGAAACGGGATTGTCTTCAGATCAAATCTAGACAGAAGCATTCTCAGAAACTTCTTTGGGATGTTTGCATTCAAGTCACAGAGTAGAACATTCCCTTTGGTAGAGCAGGTTTGAAACACTCTTTTTTTAGTATATGGAAGTGGACATTTGGAGCGCTTTCAGGCCTACGTTGGAAAAGGAAATATCTTCCCATAACAACTAGACAGAAGCATTCTCAGAAACTAGTTTCTGATGTGTGTCCTCAACTAACACAGTTGAACATTTCTTTAGACAGAACAGTTTTGAAACACTCTTTTTGTGGAATCTGCAAGTGGCTATTTGGCTAGATTTGAGGATTTCGTTGGAAACGGGATTACATATAAAAAGCAGACAGCAGCATTCTCAGAAAGTTCTTTGTGATGATTGCATTCAAGTCACAGAATTGAACATTCCCTTTCACAGAGCAGGTTTGAAACACTCTTTTTGTAGTGTGTGTAAGTGGACATTTGGAGCACTTTCCGGCCTAAGGTGAAAAAGGAAATATCTTCCCATAAAAACTAGACAGAAGCATTCTCAGAAACTTACTCGTGATGTGTGTCCTCAACTAAAGGAGTAGAACCTTTCTTTTCATAGAGAAGTTTTGAAACGCTCTTTTTGTGGAATCTGCAAGTGGATATTTGGCTAGTTTTGAGGATTTCGTTGGAAGCGGGAATTCATACAAATTGCAGACTGCAGCGTTCTGAGAAACATCTTTGTGATGTTTGTATTCAGGACACAGAGTTGAACATTCCCTATCATAGAGCAGGTTTGAATCACTCCTTTTGTAGTATCTGGAAGTGGACATTTGGAGCGCTTTCAGGCCTATGTTGGAAAAGGAAATATCTTCCCATAACAACTAGACAGAAGCATTCTCAGAAAGTTATTTGAGGATGGGTGTACTCAACTAAGAGAATTGAACCACCGTTTTCAAGGAGCAGTTTTGAAACGCTCTTTTTCTGGAATCTGCAAGTGGATATTTGGCTAGCTTTGGGGATTTCGCTGGAAGCGGGAATACATATAAAAAACACACAGCAGCGTTCTGAGAAACTGCTTTCTGATGTTTGCATTCAAGTCAAAAGTTGAACACTCCCTTTCATAGAGCAGTCTTGAAACACCCCTTTTGTAGTATCTGGAACTGGACTTTTGGAGCGATTTCAGGGCTAAGGTGAAAAAGGAAATATCTTCCCATAAAAACTGGACAGAAGCATTCTCAGAAACTTGTTTATGCTGTATCTACTCAACTAACAAAGTTGAACCTTTCTTTTGATAGAGCAGTTTTGAAATGGTCTTTTTGTGGAATCTGCAAGTGGATATTTGGCTAGTTTTGAGGATTTCGTTGGAAGCGGGAATTCATACAAATTGCAGACTGCAGCGTTCTGAGAAACATCTTTGTGATGTTTGTATTCAGGACACAGAGTTGAACATTCCCTATCATAGAGCAGGTTGGAATCACTCCTTTTGTAGTATCTGGAAGTGGACATTTGGAGCGCTTTCAGGCCTATTTTGGAAAGGGAAATATCTTCCCGTAACAACTATGCAGAAGCATTCTCAGAAACTTGTTTGTGATGTGTGCCCTCTACTGACAGAGTTGAACCTTTCTTTTCATAGAGCAGTTTTGAAACACTCTTTTTGCAGAATCTGCAAGAGGATATTTGCATAGCTTTGAGGATTTCGTGGGAAACGGGATTGTCTTCAGGTAAAATCTAGACAGAAGCATTCTCAGAAACTTCTTTGGGATGTTTGCATTCAAGTCACAGAGCAGAACATTCCGTTTGGTAGAGCAGGTTTGAAACACTCTTTTTGTAGTATCTGGAAGTGGACATTTGGAGCGCTTTCAGGCCTATGTTGGAAAGGGAAATATCTTCCCGTAACAACTAGGCAGAAGCATTCTCAGAAACTTATTTGAGATGTGTGTACTCAACTAAGAGAATTGAACCACCGTTTTGAAGGAGCAGTTTTGAAACACTCTTTTTCTGGAATCTGCAAGAGGATATTTGCCTAGCCTTGAGGATTTCGTTGGAAACGGGATTGTCTTCAGATCAAATCTAGACAGAAGCATTCTCAGAAACTTCTTTGGGATGTTTGCATTCAAGTCACAGAGTAGAACATTCCCTTTGGTAGAGCAGGTTTGAAACACTCTTTTTTTAGTATATGGAAGTGGACATTTGGAGCGCTTTCAGGCCTACGTTGGAAAAGGAAATATCTTCCCATAACAACTAGACAGAAGCATTCTCAGAAACTAGTTTCTGATGTGTGTCCTCAACTAACACAGTTGAACATTTCCTTAGACAGAACAGTTTTGAAACACTCTTTTTGTGGAATCTGCAAGTGGCTTTCTGGCTAGATTTGAGGATTTCGTTGGAAACGGGATTACATATAAAAAGCAGTCAGCAGCATTCTCAGAAAGTTCTTTGTGATGATTGCATTCAAGTCACAGAATTGAACATTCCCTTTCACAGAGCAGGTTTGAAACACTCTTTTTGTAGTGCGTGTAAGTGGACATTTGGAGCACTTACCGGCCTAAGGTGAAAAAGGAAATATCTTCCCATAAAAACTAGACAGAAGCATTCTCAGAAACTTACTCGTGATGTGTGTCCTCAACTAAAGGAGTAGAACCTTTCTTTTCATAGAGAAGTTTTGAAACGCTCTTTTTGTGGAATCTGCAAGTGGATATTTGGCTAGTTTTGAGGATTTCGTTGGAAGCGGGAATTCATACAAATTGCAGACTGCAGCGTTCTGAGAAACTGCTTTCTGATGTTTGCATTCAAGTCAAAAGTTGAACACTCCCTTTCATAGAGCAGTCTTGAAACACCCCTTTTGTAGTATCTGGAACTGGACATTTCGGGCGCTTTCAGGGCTAAGGTGAAAAAGGAAATATCTTCCCATAAAAACTGGACAGAAAGCATTCTCAGAAACTTATTTGAGATGTGTGTACTCAACTAAGAGAATTGAACCACCGTTTTGAAGGAGCAGTTTTGAAACACTCTTTTTCTGGAATCTGCAAGTGGATATTTGGCTAGCTTTGGGGACTTCGCTGGAGGCGGGAATACATATAAAAAGCACACAGCAGCGTTCTGAGAAACTGCTTTCTGATGTTTGCATTCAAGTCAAAAGTTGAACACTCCCTTTCATAGAGCAGTCCTGAAACACTCCTTTTGTAGTATCTGGAACTGGACTTTTGGAGCGCTTTCAGGGCTAAGGTGAAAAAGGAAATATCTTCCCATAAAAACTGGACAGAAGCATTCTCAGAAACTTGTTTATGCTGTATCTACTCAACTAACAAAGTTGAACCTTTCTTTTGATAGAGCAGTTTTGAAATGCTCTTTTTGTGGAATCTGCAAGTGGATATTTGGCTAGTTTTGAGGATTTCGTTGGAAGCGGGAATTCATACAAATTGCAGACTGCAGCGTTCTGAGAAACTGCTTTCTGATGTTTGCATTCAAGTCAAAAGTTGAACACTCCCTTTCATAGAGCAGTCCTGGAACACTCCTTTTGTAGTATCTGGAACTGGACTTTTGGAGCGCTTTCAGGGCTAAGGTGAAAAAGGAAATATCTTCCCATAAAAACTAGACAGAAGCATTCTCAGAAACTTATTTGAGATGTGTGTACTCAACTAAAGAGAATTGAACCACCGTTTTGAAGGAGCAGTTTTGAAACTCTCTTTTTCTGGAATCTGCAAGTGGATATTTGGCTAGCTTTGGGGATTTCGCTGGAAGCGGGAATACATATAAAAAGCACACAGCAGCGTTCTGAGAAACTGCTTTCTGATGTTTGCATTCAAGTCAAAAGTTGAACACTCCCTTTCATAGAGCAGTCCTGAAACACTCCTTTTGTAGTATCTGGAACTGGACATTTGGAGCGCTTTCAGGGCTAAGGTGAAAAAGGAAATATCTTCCCATAAAAACTGGACAGAAGCATTCTCAGAAACTTGTTTATGCTGTATCTACTCAACTAACAAAGTTGAACCTTTCTTTTGATAGAGCAGTTTTGAAATGCTCTTTTTGTGGAATCTGCAAGTGGATATTTGGCTAGTTTTGAGGATTTCGTTGGAAGCGGGAATTCATACAAATTGCAGACTGCAGCGTTCTGAGAAACATCTTTGTGATGTTTGTATTCAGGACAGAGAGTTGAACATTCCCTATCATAGAGCAGGTTGGAATCACTCCTTTTGTAGTATCTGGAAGTGGACATTTGGAGCGCTTTCAGGCCTATGTTGGAAAGGGAAATATCTTCCCGTAACAACTAGGCAGAAGCATTCTCAGAAACTTATTTGAGATGTGTGTACTCAACTAAGAGAATTGAACCACCGTTTTGAAGGAGCAGTTTTGAAACACTCTTTTTCTGTATTCTGCAAGTATATATTTGCCTAGCCTTGAGGATTTCGTTGGATACGGGATTGTCTTCAGATAAATTCTAGACAGAAGCATTCTCAGAAACTTCTTTGGGATGTTTGCATTCAAGTCACAGAGTAGAACATTCCCTTTGGTAGAGCAGGTTTGAAACACTCTTTTTTTAGTATATGGAAGTGGACATTTGGAGCGCTTTCAGGCCTACGTTGGAAAAGGAAATATCTTCCCATAACAACTAGACAGAAGCATTCTCAGAAACTAGTTTGTGATGTGTGTCCTCAACTAACACAGTTGTACATTTCTTTAGACAGAACAGTTTTGAAACACTCTTTTTGTGGAATCTGCAAGTGGATATTGGGCTAGATTTGAGGATTTCGTTGGAAACGGGATTACATATAAAAAGCAGACAGCAGCATTCTCAGAAAGTTCTTTGTGATGATTGCATTCAAGTCACAGAATTGAACATTCCCTTTCACAGAGCAGGTTTGAAACACTCTTTTTGTAGTGTGTGTAAGTGGACATTTGGAGCGCTTTCCGGCCTAAGGTGAAAAAGGAAATATCTTCCCATAAAAACTAGACAGAAGCATTCTCAGAAACTTACTCGTGATGTGTGTCCTCAACTAAAGGAGTAGAACCTTTCTATTCATAGAGAAGTTTTGAAACGCTCTTTTTGTGGAATCTCCAAGTGGATATTTGGCTAGTTTTGAGGATTTCGTTGGAAGCGGGAATTCATACAAATTGCAGACTGCAGCGTTATGAGAAACATCTTTGTGATGTTTGTATTCAGGACACAGAGATGAACATTCCCTATCATAGAGCAGGTTGGAATCACTCCTTTTGTAGTATCTGGAAGTGGACATTTGGAGCGCTTTGAGGCCTATGTTGAAAAAGGAAATATCTTCCCATAACAACTAGACACAAGCATTCTCAGAAACTTGTTTGTGATGTGTGCCCTCTACTGACAGAGTTGAACCTTTCTTTTCATAGAGCAGTTTTGAAACACTCTTTTTGTAGAATCTGCAAGAGGATATTTGCATAGCTTTGAGGATTTCGTGGGAAACGGGATTGTCTTCAGGTAAAATCTAGACAGAAGCATTCTCAGAAACTTCTTTGGGATGTTTGCATTCAAGTCACAGAGTAGAACATTCCCTTTGGTAGAGCAGGTTTGAAACACTCTTTTTGTAGTATCTGGAAGTGGACATTTGGAGCGCTTTCAGGCCTATGTTGGAAAGGGAAATATCTTCCCGTAACAACTAGGCAGAAGCATTCTCAGAAACTTATTTGAGATGTGTGTACTCAACTAAGAGAATTGAACCACCGTTTTGAAGGAGCAGTTTTGAAACACTCTTTTTCTGGAATCTGCAAGAGTATATTTGCCTAGCCTTGAGGATTTCGTTGGAAACGGGATTGTCTTCAGATAAAATCTAGACAGAAGCATTCTCAGAAACTTCTTTGGGATGTTTGCATTCAAGTCACAGAGTAGAACATTCCCTTTGGTAGAGCAGGTTTGAAACACTCTTTTTTTAGTATATGGAAGTGGACATTTGGAGCGCTTTCAGGCCTACGTTGGAAAAGGAAATATCTTCCCATAACAACTAGACAGAAGCATTCTCAGAAACTAGTTTCTGATGTGTGTCCTCAACTGACACAGTTGTACATTTCTTTAGACAGAACAGTTTTGAAACACTCTTTTTGTGGAATCTGCAAGTGGATATTGGGCTAGATTTGAGGATTTCGTTGGAAACGGGATTACATATAAAAAGCAGTCAGCAGCATTCTCAGAAAGTTCTTTGTGATGATTGCATTCAAGTCACAGAATTGAACATTCCCTTTCACAGAGCAGGTTTGAAACACTCTTTTTGTAGTGTGTGTAAGTGGACATTTGGAGCGCTTTCCGGCCTAAGGTGAAAAAGGACATATCTTCCCATAAAAATTAGACAGAAGCATTCTCAGAAACTTACTCGTGATGTGTGTCCTCAACTAAAGGAGTAGAACCTTTCTATTCATAGAGAAGTTTTGAAACGCTCTTTTTGTGGAATCTCCAAGTGGATATTTGGCTAGTGTTGAGGATTTCGTTGGAAGCGGGAATTCATACAAATTGCAGACTGCAGCGTTCTGAGAAACATCTTTGTGATGTTTGTATTCAAGACACAGAGATGAACATTCCCTATCATAGAGCATGTTGGAATCACTCCTTTTGTACTATCTGGAAGTGGACATTTGGAGCGCTTTCAGGCCTATGTTGAAAAAGGAAATATCTTCCCATAACAACTAGACACAAGCATTCTCAGAAACTTGTTTGTGATGTGTGCCCTCTACTGACAGAGTTGAACCTTTCTTTTCATAGAGCAGTTTTGAAACACTCTTTTTGTAGAATCTGCAAGAGGATATTTGCATAGCTTTGAGGATTTCGTGGGAAACGGGATTGTCTTCAGGTAAAATCTAGACAGAAGCATTCTCAGAAACTTCTTTGGGATGTTTGCATTCAAGTCACAGAGTAGAACATTCCCTTTGGTAGAGCAGGTTTGAAACACTCTTTTTGTAGTATCTGGAAGTGGACATTTGGAGCGCTTTCAGGCCCATGTTGGAAAGGGAAATATCTTCCCGTAACAACTAGGCAGAAGCATTCTCAGAAACTTATTTGAGATGTGTGTACTCAACTAAGAGAATTGAACCACCGTTTTGAAGGAGCAGTTTTGAAACACTCTTTTTCTGGAATCTGCAAGAGTATATTTGCCTAGCCTTGAGAATTTCGTTGGAAACGGGATTGTCTTCAGATAAAATCTAGACAGAAGCATTCTCAGAAACTTCTTTGGGATGTTTGCATTCAAGTCACAGAGTAGAACATTCCCTTTGGTAGAGCAGGTTTGAAACACTCTTTTTTTAGTATATGGAAGTGGACATTTGGAGCACTTTCAGGCCTACGTTGGAAAAGGAAATATCTTCCCATAACAACTAGACAGAGAGCATTCTCAGAAACTAGTTTCTGATGTGTGTCCTCAACTAACACAGTTGAACATTTCTTTAGACAGAACAGTTTTGAAACACTCTTTTTGTGGAATCTGCAAGTGGCTATTTGGCTAGATTTGAGGATTTCGTTGGAAACGGGATTACATATAAAAAGCAGTCAGCAGCATTCTCAGAAAGTTCTTTGTGATGATTGCATTCAAGTCAAAGAATTGAACATTCCCTTTCACAGAGCAGGTTCGAAACACTCTTTTTGTAGTGTGTGTAAGTGGACATTTGGAGCACTTTCCGGCCTAAGGTGAGAAAGGAAATATCTTCCCATAAAAACTAGACAGAAGCATTCTCAGAAACTTACTCGTGATGTGTGTCCTCAACTAAAGGAGTAGAACCTTTCTTTCATAGAGAAGTTTTGAAACGCTCTTTTTGTGGAATCTGCAAGTGGATATTTGGCTAGTTTGGAGGATTTCGTTGGAAGCGGGAATTCATACAAATTGCAGACTGCAGCGTTCTGAGAAACATCTTTGTGATGTTTGTATTCAGGACACAGAGTTGAACATTCCCTATCATAGAGCAGGTTGGAATCACTCCTTTTGTAGTATCTGGAAGTGGACATTTGGAGCGCTTTCAGGCCTATGTTGGAAAAGGAAATATCTTCCCATAACAACTAGACAGAAGCATTCTCAGAAACTAGTTTCTGATGTGTGTCCTCAACTAACACAGTTGAACATTTCTGTAGACAGAACAGTTTTGAAACACTCTTTTTGTGGAATCTGCAAGTGGCTATTTGGCTAGATTTGAGGATTTCGTTGGAAACGGGATTACATATAAAAAGCAGACAGCAGCATTCTCAGAAAGTTCTTTGTGATGATTGCATTCAAGTCACAGAATTGAACATTCCCTTTCACAGAGCAGGTTTGAAACACTCTTTTTGTAGTGTGTGTAAGTGGACATTTGGAGCACTTTCCGGCCTAAGGTGAAAAAGGAAATATCTTCCCATAAAAACTAGACAGAAGCACTCTCAGAAACTTACTCGTGATGTGTGTCCTCAACTAAAGGAGTAGAACCTTTCTTTTCATAGAGAAGTTTTGAAACGCTCTTTTTGTGGAATCTGCAAGTGGATATTTGGCTAGTTTTGAGGATTTCGTTGGAAGCGGGAATTCATACAAATTGCAGACTGCAGCGTTCTGAGAAACATCTTTGTGATGTTTGTATTCAGGACACAGAGTTGAACATTCCCTATCATAGAGCAGGTTTGAATCACTCCTTTTGTAGTATCTGGAAGTGGACATTTGGAGCGCTTTCAGGCCCTATGTTGGAAAAGGAAATATCTTCCCATAACAAATAGACAGGAAGCATTCTCAGAAACTTATTTGAGATGTGTGTACTCAACTAAGAGAATTGAACCACCGTTTTGAAGGAGCAGTTTTGAAACACTCTTTTTCTGGAATCTGCAAGTGGATATTTGGCTAGCTTTGGGGATTTCGCTGGAAGCGGGAATACATATAAAAAGCACACAGCAGCGTTCTGAGAAACTGCTTTCTGATGTTTGCATTCAAGTCAAAAGTTGAACACTCCCTTTCATAGAGCAGTCTTGAAACACTCCTTTTGTAGTATCTGGAACTGGACTTTTGGAGCGATTTCAGGGCTAAGGTGAAAAAGGAAATATCTTCCCATAAAAACTGGACAGAAGCAATCTCAGAAACTTGTTTATGCTGTATCTACTCTACTAACAAATTTGAACCTTTCTTTTGATAGAGCAGTTTTGAAATGCTCTTTTTGTGGAATCTGCAAGTGGATATTTGGCTAGTTTTGAGGATTTCGTTGGAAGCTAGAATTCATACAAATTGCAGACTGCAGCGTTCTGAGAAACATCTTTGTGATGTTTGTATTCAGGACAGAGAGTTGAACATTCCCTATCATAGAGCAGGTTGGAATCACTCCTTTTGTAGTATCTGGAAGTGGACATTTGGAGCGCTTTCAGGCCTATGTTGAAAAAGGAAATATCTTCCCATAACAACTAGACACAAGCATTCTCAGAAACTTGTTTGTGATGTGTGCCCTCTACTGACAGAGTTGAACCTTTCTTTTCATAGAGCAGTTTTGAAACACTCTTTTTGTAGAATCTGCAAGAGGATATTTGCATAGCTTTGAGGATTTCGTGGGAAACGGGATTGTCTTCAGGTAAAATCTAGACAGAAGCATTCTCAGAAACTTCTTTGGGATGTTTGCATTCAAGTCACAGAGCAGAACATTCCCTTTGGTAGAGCAGGTTTGAAACACTCTTTTTGTAGTATCTGGAAGTGGACATTTGGAGCGCTTTCAGGCCTATGTTGGAAAGGGAAATATCTTCCCGTAACAACTAGGCAGAAGCATTCTCAGAAACTTATTTGAGATGTGTGTAGTCAACTAAGAGAATTGAACCACCGTTTTGAAGGAGCAGTTTTGAAACACTCTTTTTCTGGAATCTGCAAGAGGATATTTGCCTAGCCTTGAGGATTTCGTTGGAAACGGGATTGTCTTCAGATCAAATCTAGACAGAAGCATTCTCAGAAACTTCTTTGGGATGTTTGCATTCAAGTCACAGAGTAGAACATTCCCTTTGGTAGAGCAGGTTTGAAACACTCTTTTTTTAGTATATGGAAGTGGACATTTGGAGCGCTTTCAGGCCTACGTTGGAAAAGGAAATATCTTCCCATAACAACTAGACAGAAGCATTCTCAGAAACTAGTTTCTGATGTGTGTCCTCAACTAACACAGTTGCACATTTCTTTAGACAGAACAGTTTTGAAACACTCTTTTTGTGGAATCTGCAAGTGGCTATTTGGCTAGATTTGAGGATTTCGTTGGAAACGGGATTACATATAAAAAGCAGACAGCAGCATTCTCAGAAAGTTCTTTGTGATGATTGCATTCAAGTCACAGAATTGAACATTCCCTTTCACAGAGCAGGTTTGAAACACTCTTTTTGTAGTGTGTGTAAGTGGACATTTGGAGCACTTTCCGGACTTAGGTGAAAAAGGAAATATCTTCCCATAAAAACTAGACAGAAGCATTCTCAGAAACTTACTCGTGATGTGTGTCCTCAACTAAAGGAGTAGAACCTTTCTTTTCATAGAGAAGTTTTGAAACGCTCTTTTTGTGGAATCTGCAAGTGGATATTTGGCTAGTTTTGAGGATTTCGTTGGAAGCGGGAATTCATACAAATTGCAGACTGCAGCGTTCTGAGAAACATCTTTGTGATGTTTGTATTCAGGACACAGAGTTGAACATTCCCTATCATAGAGCAGGTTGGAATCACTCCTTTTGTAGTATCTGGAAGTGGACATTTGGAGCGCTTTCAGGCCTATGTTGGAAAAGGAAATATCTTCCCATAACAACTAGACAGAAGCATTCTCAGAAACTTATTTGAGATGTGTGTACTCAACTAAGAGAATTGAACCACCGTTTTGAAGGAGCAGTTTTGAAACTCTCTTTTTCTGGAATCTGCAAGTGGATATTTGGCTAGCTTTGGGGATTTCACTGGAAGCGGGAATACATATAAAAAGCACACAGCAGCGTTCTGAGAAACTGCTTTCTGATGTTTGCATTCAAGTCAAAAGTTGAACACTCCCTTTCATAGAGCAGTCTTGAAACACCCCTTTTGTAGTATCTGGAACTGGACTTTTGGAGCGATTTCAGGGCTAAGGTGAAAAAGGAAATATCTTCCCATAAAAACTGGACAGAAGCATTCTCAGAAACTTGTTTATGCTGTATCTACTCAACTAACAAAGTTGAACCTTTCTTTTGATAGAGCAGTTTTGAAATGGTCTTTTTGTGGAATCTGCAAGTGGATATTTGGCTAGTTTTAAGGATTTCGTTGGAAGCGGGAATTCATACAAATTGCAGACTGCAGCGTTCTGAGAAACATCTTTGTGATGTTTGTATTCAGGACACAGAGTTGAACATTCCCTATCATAGAGCAGGTTGGAATCACTCCTTTTGTAGTATCTGGAAGTGGACATTTGGAGCGCTTTCAGGCCTATTTTGGAAAGGGAAATATCTTCCCGTAACAACTATGCAGAAGCATTCTCAGAAACTTGTTTGTGATGTGTGCCCTCTACTGACAGAGTTGAACCTTTCTTTTCATAGAGCAGTTTTGAAACACTCTTTTTGTAGAATCTGCAAGAGGATATTTGCATAGCTTTGAGGATTTCGTGGGAAACGGGATTGTCTTCAGGTAAAATCTAGACAGAAGCATTCTCAGAAACTTCTTTGGGATGTTTGCATTCAAGTCACAGAGTAGAACATTCCCTTTGGTAGAGCAGGTTTGAAACACTCTTTTTGTAGTATCTGGAAGTGGACATTTGGAGCGCTTTCAGGCCCATGTTGGAAAGGGAAATATCTTCCCGTAACAACTAGGCAGAAGCATTCTCAGAAACTTATTTGAGATGTGTGTACTCAACTAAGAGAATTGAACCACCGTTTTGAAGGAGCAGTTTTGAAACACTCTTTTTCTGGAATCTGCAAGAGTATATTTGCCTAGCCTTGAGGATTTCGTTGGAAACGGGATTGTCTTCAGAGAAAATCTAGACAGAAGCATTCTCAGAAACTTCTTTGGGATGTTTGCATTCAAGTCACAGAGTAGAACATTCCCTTTGGTAGAGCAGGTTTGAAACACTCTTTTTGTAGTATCTGGAAGTGGACATTTGGAGCGCTTTCAGGCCTACGTTGGAAAAGGAAATATCTTCCCATAACAACTAGACAGAAGCATTCTCAGAAACTAGTTTCTGATGTGTGTCCTCAACTAACACAGTTGAACATTTCTTTAGACAGAACAGTTTTGAAACACTCTTTTTGTGGAATCTGCAAGTGGCTATTTGGCTAGATTTGAGGATTTCGTTGGAAACGGGATTACATATAAAAAGCAGTCAGCAGCATTCTCAGAAAGTTCTTTGTGATGATTGCATTCAAGTCACAGAATTGAACATTCCCTTTCACAGAGCAGGTTTGAAACACTCTTTTTGTAGTGTGTGTAAGTGGACATTTGGAGCACTTACCGGCCTAAGGTGAAAAAGGAAATATCTTCCCATAAAAACTAGACAGAAGCATTCTCAGAAACTTACTCGTGATGTGTGTCCTCAACTAAAGGAGTAGAACCTTTCTTTTCATAGAGAAGTTTTGAAACGCTCTTTTTGTGGAATCTGCAAGTGGATATTTGGCTAGTTTTGAGGATTTCGTTGGAAGCGGGAATTCATACAAATTGCAGACTGCAGCGTTCTGAGAAACATCTTTGTGATGTTTGTATTCAGGACACAGAGTTGAACATTCCCTATCATAGAGCAGGTTTGAATCACTCCTTTTGTAGTATCTGGAAGTGGACATTTGGAGCGCTTTCAGGCCTATGTTGGAAAAGGAAATATCTTCCCATAACAACTAGACAGAAGCATTCTCAGAAACTTATTTGAGATGTGTGTACTCAACTAAGAGAATTGAACCACCGTTTTGAAGGAGCAGTTTTGAAACTCTCTTTTTCTGGAATCTGCAAGTGGATATTTGGCTAGCTTTGGGGATTTCGCTGGAAGCGGGAATACATATAAAAAGCCCACAGCAGCGTTCTGAGAACTGCTTTCTGATGTTTGCATTCAAGTCAAAAGTTGAACACTCCCTTTCATAGAGCAGTCCTGAAACACCCCTTTTGTAGTATCTGGAACTGGACTTTTGGAGCGATTTCAGGGCTAAGGTGAAAAAGGAAATATCTTCCCATAAAAACTGGACAGAAGCATTCTCAGAAACTTGTTTATGCTGTATCTACTCAACTAACAAAGTTGAACCTTTCTTTTGATAGAGCAGTTTTGAAATGGTCTTTTTGTGGAATCTGCAAGTGGATATTTGGCTAGTTTTGAGGATTTCGTTGGAAGCGGGAATTCATACAAATTGCAGACTGCAGCGTTCTGAGAAACATCTTTGTGATGTTTGTATTCAGGACACAGCAGTTGAACATTCCCTATCATAGAGCAGGTTGGGATCACTCCTTTTGTAGTATCTGGAAGTGGACATTTGGAGCGCTTTCAGGCCTATGTTGAAAAAGGAAAAATCTTCCCATAACAACTAGACAGAAGCATTCTCAGAAACTTGTTTGTGATGTGTGCCCTCTACTGACAGAGTTGAACCTTTCTTTTCATAGAGCAGTTTTGAAACACTCTTTTTGTAGAATCTGCAAGAGGATATTTGCATAGCTTTGAGGATTTCGTGGGAAACGGGATTGTCTTCAGGTAAAATCTAGACAGAAGCATTCTCAGAAACTTCTTTGGGATGTTTGCATTCAAGTCACAGAGTAGAACATTCCCTTTGGTAGAGCAGGTTTGAAACACTCTTTTTGTAGTATCTGGAAGTGGACATTTGGAGCGCTTTGAGGCCCATGTTGGAAAGGGAAATATCTTCCCGTAACAACTAGGCAGAAGCATTCTCAGAAACTTATTTGAGATGTGTGTACTCAACTAAGAGAATTGAACCACCGTTTTGAAGGAGCAGTTTTGAAACACTCTTTTTCTGGAATCTGCAAGAGTATATTTGCCTAGCCTTGAGGATTTCGTTGGAAACGGGATTGTCTTCAGAGAAAATCTAGACAGAAGCATTCTCAGAAACTTCTTTGGGATGTTTGCATTCAAGTCACAGAGTAGAACATTCCCTTTGGTAGAGCAGGTTTGAAACACTCTTTTTTTAGTATATGGAAGTGGACATTTTGATCGTTTTCAGGCCTACGTTGGAAAAGGAAATATCTTCCCATAACAACTAGACAGAAGCATTCTCAGAAACTAGTTTCTGATGTGTGTCCTCAACTAACACAGTTGAACATTTCTTTAGACAGAACAGTTTTGAAACACTCTTTTTGTGGAATCTGCAAGTGGCTATTTGGCTAGATTTGAGGATTTCGTTGGAAACGGGATTACGTATAAAAAGCAGTCAGCAGCATTCTCAGAAAGTTCTTTGTGATGATTGCATTCAAGTCACAGAATTGAACATTCCCTTTCACAGAGCAGGTTTGAAACACTCTTTTTGTAGTGTGTGTAAGTGGACATTTGGAGCACTTACCGGCCTAAGGTGAAAAAGGAAATATCTTCCCATAAAAACTAGACAGAAGCATTCTCAGAAACTTACTCGTGATGTGTGTCCTCAACTAAAGGAGTAGAACCTTTCTTTTCATAGAGAAGTTTTGAAACGCTCTTTTTGTGGAATCTGCAAGTGGATATTTGGCTAGTTTTGAGGATTTCGTTGGAAGCGGGAATTCATACAAATTGCAGACTGCAGCGTTCTGAGAAACATCTTTGTGATGTTTGTATTCAGGACACAGAGTTGAACATTCCCTATCATAGAGCAGGTTGGAATCACTCCTTTTGTAGTATCTGGAAGTGGACATTTGGAGCGCTTTCAGGCCTATGTTGGAAAAGGAAATATCTTCCCATAACAACTAGACAGAAGCATTCTCAGAAACTTATTTGAGATGTGTGTACTCAACTAAGAGAATTGAACCACCGTTTTGAAGGAGCAGTTTTGAAACTCTCTTTTTCTGGAATCTGCAAGTGGATATTTGGCTAGCTTTGGGGATTTCGCTGGAAGCGGGAATACATATAAAAAGCACACAGCAGCGTTCTGAGAAACTGCTTTCTGATGTTTGCATTCAAGTCAAAAGTTGAACACTCCCTTTCATAGAGCAGTCTTGAAACACCCCTTTTGTAGTATCTGGAACTGGACTTTTGGAGCGATTTCAGGGCTAAGGTGAAAAAGGAAATATCTTCCCATAAAAACTGGACAGAAGCATTCTCAGAAACTTGTTTATGCTGTATCTACTCAACTAACAAAGTTGAACCTTTCTTTTGATAGAGCAGTTTTGAAATGGTCTTTTTGTGGAATCTGCAAGTGGATATTTGGCTAGTTTTGAGGATTTCGTTGGAAGCGGGAATTCATACAAATTGCAGACTGCAGCGTTCTGAGAAACATCTTTGTGATGTTTGTATTCAGGACACAGAGTTGAACATTCCCTATCATAGAGCAGGTTGGAATCACTCCTTTTGTAGTATCTGGAAGTGGACATTTGGAGCGCTTTCAGGCCTATTTTGGAAAGGGAAATATCTTCCCGTAACAACTATGCAGAAGCATTCTCAGAAACTTGTTTGTGATGTGTGCCCTCTACTGACAGAGTTGAACCTTTCTTTTCATAGAGCAGTTTTGAAACACTCTTTTTGTAGAATCTGCAAGAGGATATTTGCATAGCTTTGAGGATTTCGTGGGAAACGGGATTGTCTTCAGGTAAAATCTAGACAGAAGCATTCTCAGAAACTTCTTTGGGATGTTTGCATTCAAGTCACAGAGTAGAACATTCCCTTTGGTAGAGCAGGTTTGAAACACTCTTTTTGTAGTATCTGGAAGTGGACATTTGGAGCGCTTTCAGGCCCATGTTGGAAAGGGAAATATCTTCCCGTAACAACTAGGCAGAAGCATTCTCAGAAACTTATTTGAGATGTGTGTACTCAACTAAGAGAATTGAACCACCGTTTTGAAGGAGCAGTTTTGAAACACTCTTTTTCTGGAATCTGCAAGAGGATATTTGCCTAGCCTTGAGGATTTCGTTGGAAACGGGATTGTCTTCAGAGAAAATCTAGACAGAAGCATTCTCAGAAACTTCTTTGGGATGCTTGCATTCAAGTCACAGAGTAGAACATTCCCTTTGGTAGAGCAGGTTTGAAACACTCTTTTTGTAGTATCTGGAAGTGGACATTTGGAGCGCTTTCAGGCCTACGTTGGAAAAGGAAATATCTTCCCATAACAACTAGACAGAAGCATTCTCAGAAACTAGTTTCTGATGTGTGTCCTCAACTAACACAGTTGAACATTTCTTTAGACAGAACAGTTTTGAAACACTCTTTTTGTGGAATCTGCAAGTGGCTATTTGGCTAGATTTGAGGATTTCGTTGGAAACGGGATTACATATAAAAAGCAGTCAGCGGCATTCTCAGAAAGTTCTTTGTGATGATTGCATTCAAGTCACAGAATTGAACATTCCCTTTCACAGAGCAGGTTTGAAACACTCTTTTTGTAGTGTGTGTAAGTGGACATTTGGAGCACTTACCGGCCTAAGGTGAAAAAGGAAATATCTTCCCATAAAAACTAGACAGAAGCATTCTCAGAAACTTACTCGTGATGTGTGTCCTCAACTAAAGGAGTAGAACCTTTCTTTTCATAGAGAAGTTTTGAAACGCTCTTTTTGTGGAATCTGCAAGTGGATATTTGGCTAGTTTTGAGGATTTCGTTGGAAGCGGGAATTCATACAAATTGCAGACTGCAGCGTTCTGAGAAACATCTTTGTGATGTTTGTATTCAGGACACAGAGTTGAACATTCCCTATCATAGAGCAGGTTTGAATCACTCCTTTTGTAGTATCTGGAAGTGGACATTTGGAGCGCTTTCAGGCCTATGTTGGAAAAGGAAATATCTTCCCATAACAACTAGACAGAAGCATTCTCAGAAACTTATTTGAGATGTGTGTACTCAACTAAGAGAATTGAACCACCGTTTTGAAGGAGCAGTTTTGAAACTCTCTTTTTCTGGAATCTGCAAGTGGATATTTGGCTAGCTTTGGGGATTTCGCTGGAAGCGGGAATACATATAAAAAGCACACAGCAGCGTTCTGAGAAACTGCTTTCTGATGTTTGCATTCAAGTCAAAAGTTGAACACTCCCTTTCATAGAGCAGTCCTGAAACACCCCTTTTGTAGTATCTGGAACTGGACTTTTGGAGCGATTTCAGGGCTAAGGTGAAAAAGGAAATATCTTCCCATAAAAACTGGACAGAAGCATTCTCAGAAACTTGTTTATGCTGTATCTACTCAACTAACAAAGTTGAACCTTTCTTTTGATAGAGCAGTTTTGAAATGGTCTTTTTGTGGAATCTGCAAGTGGATATTTGGCTAGTTTTGAGGATTTCGTTGGAAGCGGGAATTCATACAAATTGCAGACTGCAGCGTTCTGAGAAACATCTTTGTGATGTTTGTATTCAGGACACAGAGTTGAACATTCCCTATCATAGAGCAGGTTGGAATCACTCCTTTTGTAGTATCTGGAAGTGGACATTTGGAGCGCTTTCAGGCCTATTTTGGAAAGGGAAATATCTTCCCGTAACAACTATGCAGAAGCATTCTCAGAAACTTGTTTGTGATGTGTGCCCTCTACTGACAGATTTGAACCTTTCTTTTCATAGAGCAGTTTTGAAACACTCTTTTTGTAGAATCTGGAAGAGGATATTTGCATAGCTTTGAGGATTTCGTGGGAAACGGGATTGTCTTCAGGTAAAATCTAGACAGAAGCATTCTCAGAAACTTCTTTGGGATGTTTGCATTCAAGTCACAGAGTAGAACATTCCCTTTGGTAGAGCAGGTTTGAAACACTCTTTTTGTAGTATCTGGAAGTGGACATTTGGAGCGCTTTCAGGCCCATGTTGGAAAAGGAAATATCTTCCTGTAACAACTAGGCAGAAGCATTCTCAGAAACTTATTTGAGATGTGTGTACTCAACTAAGAGAATTGAACCACCGTTTTGAAGGAGCAATTTTGAAACACTCTTTTTCTGGAATCTGCAAGAGTATATTTGCCTAGCCTTGAGGATTTCGTTGGAAACGGGATTGTCTTCAGAGAAAATCTAGACAGAAGCATTCTCAGAAACTTCTTTGGGATGCTTGCATTCAAGTCACAGAGTAGAACATTCCCTTTGGTAGAGCAGGTTTGAAACACTCTTTTTGTAGTATCTGGAAGTGGACATTTGGAGCGCTTTCAGGCCTACGTTGGAAAAGGAAATATCTTCCCATAACAACTAGACAGAAGCATTCTCAGAAACTAGTTTCTGATGTGTGTCCTCAACTAACACAGTTGAACATTTCTTTAGACAGAACAGTTTTGAAACACTCTTTTTGTGGAATCTGCAAGTGGCTATTTGGCTAGATTTGAGGATTTCGTTGGAAACGGGATTACATATAAAAAGCAGTCAGCAGCATTCTCAGAAAGTTCTTTGTGATGATTGCATTCAAGTCACAGAATTGAACATTCCCTTTCACAGAGCAGGTTTGAAACACTCTTTTTGTAGTGTGTGTAAGTGGACATTTGGAGCACTTACCGGCCTAAGGTGAAAAAGGAAATAATCTTCCCATAAAAACTAGACAGAAGCATTCTCAGAAACTTACTCGTGATGTGTGTCCTCAACTAAAGGAGTAGAACCTTTCTTTTCATAGAGAAGTTTTGAAACGCTCTTTTTGTGGAATCTGCAAGTGGATATTTGGCTAGTTTGGAGGATTTCGTTGGAAGCGGGAATTCATACAAATTGCAGACTGCAGCGTTCTGAGAAACATCTTTGTGATGTTTGTATTCAGGACACAGAGTTGAACGTTCCCTATCATAGAGCAGGTTTGAATCACTCCTTTTGTAGTATCTGGAAGTGGACATTTGGAGCGCTTTCCGGCCTCAGGTGAAAAAGGAAATATCTTCCCATAAAAACTAGACAGAAGCATTCTCAGAAACTTATTTGAGATGTGTGTACTCAACTAAGAGAATTGAACCACCGTTTTGAAGGAGCAGTTTTGAAACACTCTTTTTCTGGAATCTGCAAGTGGATATTTGGCTAGCTTTGGGGATTTCGCTGGAAGCGGGAATACATATAAAAAGCACACAGCAGCGTTCTGAGAAACTGCTTTCTGATGTTTGCATTCAAGTCAAAATTTGAACACTCCCTTTCATAGAGCAGTCCTGAAACACTCCTTTTGTTGTATCTGGAACTGGACTTTTGGAGCGCTTTCAGGGCTAAGGTGAAAAAGGAAATATCTTCCCATAAAAACTGGACAGAAGCATTCTCAGAAACTTGTTTATGCTGTATCTACTCAAGTAACAAAGTTGAACCTTTCTTTTGATAGAGCAGTTTTGAAATGCTCTTTTTCTGGAATCTGCAAGTGGATATTTGGCTAGTTGTGAGGATTTCGTTGGAAGCTGGAATTCATACAAATTGCAGACTGCAGCGTTCTGAGAAACATCTTTGTGATGTTTGTATTCAGGACACAGAGTTGAACATTCCCTATCATAGAGCAGGTTGGAATCACTCCTTTTGTAGTATCTGGAAGTGGACATTTGGAGCGCTTTCAGGCCTATTTTGGAAAGGGAAATATCTTCCCGTAACAACTATGCAGAAGCATTCTCAGAAACTTGTTTGTGATGTGTGCCCTCTACTGACAGAGTTGAACCTTTCTTTTCATAGAGCAGTTTTGAAACACTCTTTTTGTAGAATCTGCAAGAGGATATTTGCATAGCTTTGAGGATTTCGTGGGAAACGGGATTGTCTTCAGGTAAAATCTAGACAGAAGCATTCTCAGAAACTTCTTTGGGATGTTTGCATTCAAGTCACAGAGTAGAACATTCCCTTTGGTAGAGCAGGTTTGAAACACTCTTTTTGTAGTATCTGGAAGTGGACATTTGGAGCGCTTTCAGGCCCATGTTGGAAAGGGAAATATCTTCCCGTAACAACTAGGCAGAAGCATTCTCAGAAACTTATTTGAGATGTGTGTACTCAACTAAGAGAATTGAACCACCGTTTTGAAGGAGCAGTTTTGAAACACTCTTTTTCTGGAATCTGCAAGAGGATATTTGCCTAGCCTTGAGGATTTCGTTGGAAACGGGATTGTCTTCAGAGAAAATCTAGACAGAAGCATTCTCAGAAACTTCTTTGGGATGCTTGCATTCAAGTCACAGAGTAGAACATTCCCTTTGGTAGAGCAGGTTTGAAACACTCTTTTTGTAGTATCTGGAAGTGGACATTTGGAGCGCTTTCAGGCCTACGTTGGAAAAGGAAATATCTTCCCATAACAACTAGACAGAAGCATTCTCAGAAACTAGTTTCTGATGTGTGTCCTCAACTAACACAGTTGAACATTTCTTTAGACAGAACAGTTTTGAAACACTCTTTTTGTGGAATCTGCAAGTGGCTATTTGGCTAGATTTGAGGATTTCGTTGGAAACGGGATTACATATAAAAAGCAGTCAGCGGCATTCTCAGAAAGTTCTTTGTGATGATTGCATTCAAGTCACAGAATTGAACATTCCCTTTCACAGAGCAGGTTTGAAACACTCTTTTTGTAGTGTGTGTAAGTGGACATTTGGAGCACTTACCGGCCTAAGGTGAAAAAGGAAATATCTTCCCATAAAAACTAGACAGAAGCATTCTCAGAAACTTACTCGTGATGTGTGTCCTCAACTAAAGGAGTAGAACCTTTCTTTTCATAGAGAAGTTTTGAAACGCTCTTTTTGTGGAATCTGCAAGTGGATATTTGGCTAGTTTTGAGGATTTCGTTGGAAGCGGGAATTCATACAAATTGCAGACTGCAGCGTTCTGAGAAACATCTTTGTGATGTTTGTATTCAGGACACAGAGTTGAACATTCCCTATCATAGAGCAGGTTTGAATCACTCCTTTTCTAGTATCTGGAAGTGGACATTTGGAGCGCTTTCAGGCCTATGTTGGAAAAGGAAATATCTTCCCATAACAAATAGACAGAAGCATTCTCAGAAACTTATTTGAGATGTGTGTACTCAACTAAGAGAATTGAACCACCGTTTTGAAGGAGCAGTTTTGAAACACTCTTTTTCTGGAATCTGCAAGTGGATATTTGGCTAGCTTTGGGGATTTCGCTGGAAGCGGGAATACATATAAAAAGCACACAGCAGCGTTCTGAGAAACTGCTTTCTGATGTTTGCATTCAAGTCAAAAGTTGAACACTCCCTTTCACAGAGCAGTCTTGAAACACCCCTTTTGTAGTATCTGGAACTGGACATTTGGAGCGCTTTCAGGGCTAAGGTGAAAAAGGAAATATCTTCCCATAAAAACTGGACAGAAGCATTCTCAGAAACTTGTTTATGCTGTATCTACTCAACTAACAAAGTTGAACCTTTCTTTTGATAGAGCAGTTTTGAAATCCTCTTTTTGTGGAATCTGCAAGTGCATATTTGGCTAGGTTTGAGGATTTCGTTGGAAGCGGGAATTCATACAAATTGCAGACTGCAGCGTTCTGAGAAACATCTTTGTGATGTTTGTATTCAGGACACAGAGTTGAACATTCCCTATCATAGAGCAGGTTGGAATCACTCCTTTTGTAGTATCTGGAAGTGGACATTTGGAGCGCTTTCAGGCCTATGTTGAAAAAGGAAATATCTTCCCATAACAACTAGACACAAGCATTCTCAGAAACTTGTTTGTGATGTGTGCCATCTACTGACAGAGTTGAACCTTTCTTTTCATAGAGCAGTTTTGAAACACTCTTTTTGTAGAATCTGCAAGAGGATATTTGCATAGCTTTGAGGATTTCGTGGGAAACGGGATTGTCTTCAGGTAAAATCTAGACAGAAGCATTCTCAGAAACTTCTTTGGGATGTTTGCATTCAAGTCACAGAGTAGAACATTCCCTTTGGTAGAGCAGGTTTCAAACACTCTTTTTGTAGTATCTGGAAGTGGACATTTGGAGCGCTTTCAGGCCCATGTTGGAAAGGGAAATATCTTCCCGTAACAACTAGGCAGAAGCATTCTCAGAAACTTATTTGAGATGTGTGTACTCAACTAAGAGAATTGAACCACCGTTTTGAAGGAGCAGTTTTGAAACACTCTTTTTCTGGAATCTGCAAGAGTATATTTGCCTAGCCTTGAGGATTTCGTTGGAAACGGGATTGTCTTCAGAGAAAATCTAGACAGAAGCATTCTCAGAAACTTCTTTGGGATGTTTGCATTCAAGTCACAGAGTAGAATATTCCCTTTGGTAGAGCAGGTTTGAAACAGTCTTTTTTTAGTATATGGAAGTGGACATTTGGAGCGCTTTCAGGCCTACGTTGGAAAAGGAAATATCTTCCCATAACAACTAGACAGAAGCATTCTCAGAAACTAGTTTCTGATGTGTGTCCTCAACTAACACAGTTGAACATTTCTTTAGACAGAACAGTTTTGAAACACTCTTTTTGTGGAATCTGCAAGTGGCTATTTGGCTAGATTTGAGGATTTCGTTGGAAACGGGATTACATATAAAAAGCAGTCAGCGGCATTCTCAGAAAGTTCTTTGTGATGATTGCATTCAAGTCACAGAATTGAACATTCCCTTTCACAGAGCAGGTTTGAAACACTCTTTTTGTAGTGTGTGTAAGTGGACATTTGGAGCACTTACCGGCCTAAGGTGAAAAAGGAAATAATCTTCCCATAAAAACTAGACAGAAGCATTCTCAGAAACTTACTCGTGATGTGTGTCCTCAACTAAAGGAGTAGAACCTTTCTTTTCATAGAGAAGTTTTGAAACGCTCTTTTTGTGGAATCTGCAAGTGGATATTTGGCTAGTTTTGAGGATTTCGTTGGAAGCGGGAATTCATACAAATTGCAGACTGCAGCGTTCTGAGAAACATCTTTGTGATGTTTGTATTCAGGACACAGAGTTGAACATTCCCTATCATAGAGCAGGTTTGAATCACTCCTTTTGTAGTATCTGGAAGTGGACATTTGGAGCGCTTTCAGGCCTATGTTGGAAAAGGAAATATCTTCCCATAACAACTAGACAGAAGCATTCTCAGAAACTTATTTGAGATGTGTGTACTCAACTAAGAGAATTGAACCACCGTTTTGAAGGAGCAGTTTTGAAACTCTCTTTTTCTGGAATCTGCAAGTGGATATTTGGCTAGCTTTGGGGATTTCGCTGGAAGCGGGAATACATATAAAAAGCACACAGCAGCGTTCTGAGAAACTGCTTTCTGATGTTTGCATTCAAGTCAAAAGTTGAACACTCCCTTTCATAGAGCAGTCTTGAAACACCCCTTTTGTAGTATCTGGAACTGGACTTTTGGAGCGATTTCAGGGCTAAGGTGAAAAAGGAAATATCTTCCCATAAAAACTGGACAGAAGCATTCTCAGAAACTTGTTTATGCTGTATCTACTCAACTAACAAAGTTGAACCTTTCTTTTGATAGAGCAGTTTTGAAATGCTCTTTTTGTGGAATCTGCAAGTGGATATTTGGCTAGTTTTGAGGATTTCGTTGGAAGCGGGAATTCATAAAAATTGCAGACTGCAGCGTTCTGAGAATCATCTTTGTGATGTTTGTATTCAGGACACAGAGATGAACATTCCCTATCATAGAGTCAGGTTGGAATCACTCCTTTTGTAGTATCTGGAAGTGGACATTTGGAGCGCTTTCAGTCCTATGTTGAAAAAGGAAATATCTTCCCATAACAACTAGACACAAGCATTCTCAGAAACTTGTTTGTGATGTGTGCCCTCTACTGACAGAGTTGAACCTTTCTTTTCATAGAGCAGTTTTGAAACACTCTTTTTGTAGAATCTGCAAGAGGATATTTGCATAGCTTTGAGGATTTCGTGGGAAACGGGATTGTCTTCAGGTAAAATCTAGACAGAAGCATTCTCAGAAACTTCTTTGGGATGTTTGCATTCAAGTCACAGAGTAGAACATTCCCTTTGGTAGAGTAGGTTTGAAACACTCTTTTTGTAGTATCTGGAAGTGGACATTTGGAGCGCTTTCAGGCCCATGTTGGAAAGGGAAATATCTTCCCGTAACAACTAGGCAGAAGCATTCTCAGAAACTTATTTGAGATGTGTGTACTCAACTAAGAGAATTGAACCACCGTTTTGAAGGAGCAGTTTTGAAACACTCTTTTTCTGGATTCTGCAAGAGTATATTTGCCTAGCCTTGAGGATTTCGTTGGAAACGGGATTGTCTTCAGATAAAATCTAGACAGAAGCATTCTCAGAAACTTCTTTGGGATGTTTGCATTCAAGTCACAGAGTAGAACATTCCCTTTGGTAGAGCAGGTTTGAAACACTCTTTTTTTAGTATATGGAAGTGGACATTTGGAGCGCTTTCAGGCCTACGTTGGAAAAGGAAATATCTTCCCATAACAACTAGACAGAAGCATTCTCAGAAACTAGTTTCTGATGTGTGTCCTCAACTAACACAGTTGTACATTTCTTTAGACAGAACAGTTTTGAAACACTCTTTTTGTGGAATCTGCAAGTGGATACTGGGCTAGATTTGAGGATTTCGTTGGAAACGGGATTACATATAAAAAGCAGTCAGCAAGCATTCTCAGAAAGTTCTTTGTGATGATTGCATTCAAGTCACAGAATTGAACATTCCCTTTCACAGAGCAGGTTTGAAACACTCTTTTTGTAGTGTGTGTAAGTGGACATTTGGAGCACTTACCGGCCTAAGGTGAAAAAGGAAATATCTTCCCATAAAAACTAGACAGAAGCATTCTCAGAAACTTACTCGTGATGTGTGTCCTCAACTAAAGGAGTAGAACCTTTCTTTTCATAGAGAAGTTTTGAAACGCTCTTTTTGTGGAATCTGCAAGTGGATATTTGGCTAGTTTTGAGGATTTCGTTGGAAGCGGGAATTCATACAAATTGCAGACTGCAGCGTTCTGAGAAACATCTTTGTGATGTTTGTATTCAGGACACAGAGTTGAACATTCCCTATCATAGAGCAGGTTGGAATCACTCCTTTTGTAGTATCTGGAAGTGGACATTTGGAGCGCTTTCAGGCCTATGTTGGAAAAGGAAATATCTTCCCATAACAACTAGACAGAAGCATTCTCAGAAACTTATTTGAGATGTGTGTACTCAACTAAGAGAATTGAACCACCGTTTTGAAGGAGCAGTTTTGAAACTCTCTTTTTCTGGAATCTGCAAGTGGATATTTGGCTAGCTTTGGGGATTTCGCTGGAAGCGGGAATACATATAAAAAGCACACAGCAGCGTTCTGAGAAACTGCTTTCTGATGTTTGCATTCAAGTCAAAAGTTGAACACTCCCTTTCATAGAGCAGTCTTGAAACACCCCTGTTGTAGTATCTGGAACTGGACTTTTGGAGCGATTTCAGGGCTAAGGTGAAAAAGGAAACATCTTCCCATAAAAACTGGACAGAAGCATTCTCAGAAACTTGTTTATGCTGTATCTACTCAACTAACAAAGTTGAACCTTTCTTTTGATAGAGCAGTTTTGAAATGGTCTTTTTGTGGAATCTGCAAGTGGATATTTGGCTAGTTTTGAGGATTTCGTTGGAAGCGGGAATTCATACAAATTGCAGACTGCAGCGTTCTGAGAAACATCTTTGTGATGTTTGTATTCAGGACACAGAGTTGAACATTCCCTATCATAGAGCAGGTTGGAATCACTCCTTTTGTAGTATCTGGAAGTGGACATTTGGAGCGCTTTCAGGCCTATTTTGGAAAGGGAAATATCTTCCCGTAACAACTATGCAGAAGCATTCTCAGAAACTTGTTTGTGATGTGTGCCCTCTACTGACAGAGTTGAACCTTTCTTTTCTTAGAGCAGTTTTGAAACACTCTTTTTGTAGAATCTGCAAGAGGATATTTGCATAGCTTTGAGGATTTCGTGGGAAACGGGATTGTCCTTCAGGTAAAATCTAGACAGAAGCATTCTCAGAAACTTCTTTGGGATGTTTGCATTCAAGTCACAGAGTAGAACATTCCCTTTGGTAGAGCAGGTTTGAAACACTCTTTTTGTAGTATCTGGAAGTGGACATTTGGAGCGCTTTCAGGCCTATGTTGGAAAGGGAAATATCTTCCCGTAACAACTAGGCAGAAGCATTCTCAGAAACTTATTTGAGATGTGTGTACTCAACTAAGAGAATTGAACCACCGTTTTGAAGGAGCAGTTTTGAAACACTCTTTTTCTGGAATCTGCAAGGGGATATTTGCCTAGCCTTGAGGATTTCGTTGGAAACGGGATTGTCTTCAGATCAAATCTAGACGGAAGCATTCTCAGAAACTTCTTTGGGATGTTTGCATTCAAGTCACAGAGTAGAACATTCTCTTTGGTAGAGCAGGTTTGAAACACTCTTTTTTTGGTATTTGGAAGTGGACATTTGGAGCGCTTTCAGGCCTACGTTGGAAAAGGAAATATCTTCCCATAACAACTAGACAGAAGCATTCTCAGAAACTAGTTTCTGATGTGTGTCCTCAACTAACACAGTTGTACATTTCTTTAGACAGAACAGTTTTGAAACACTCTTTTTGTGGAATCTGCAAGTGGATATTGGGGTAGATTTGAGGATTTCGTTGGAAACGGGATTACATATAAAAAGCAGTCAGCAGCATTCTCAGAAAATTCTTTGTGATGATTGCATTCAAGTCACAGAATTGAACATTCCCTTTCATAGAGCAGGTTTGAAACACTCTTTTTGTAGTGTGTGTAAGTGGACATTTGGAGCGCTTTCCGGCCTAAGGTGAAAAAGGACATATCTTCCCATAAAAATTAGACAGAAGCATTCTCAGAAACTTACTCGTGATGTGTGTCCTCAACTAAAGGAGTAGAACCTTTCTATTCATAGAGAAGATTTGAAACGCTCTTTTTGTGGAATCTCCAAGTGGATATTTGGCTAGTTTTGAGGATTTCGTTGGAAGCGGGAATTCATACAAATTGCAGACTGCAGCGTTCTGAGAAACATCTTTGTGATGTTTGTATTCAAGACACAGAGATGAACATTCCCTATCATAGAGCATGTTGGAATCACTCCTTTTGTAGTATCTGGAAGTGGACATTTGGAGCGCTTTCAGGCCTATGTTGAAAAAGGAAATATCTTCCCATAACAACTAGACACAAGCATTCTCAGAAACTTGTTTGTGATGTGTGCCCTCTACTGACAGAGTTGAACCTTTCTTTTCATAGAGCAGTTTTGAAACACTCTTTTTGTAGAATCCGCAAGAGGATATTTGCATAGCTTTGAGGATTTCGTGGGAAACGGGATTGTCTTCAGGTAAAATCTAGACAGAAGCATTCTCAGAAACTTCTTTGGTATGTTTGCATTCAAGTCACAGAGTAGAACATTCCCTTTGGTAGAGCAGGTTTGAAACCCTCTTTTTGTAGTATCTGGAAGTGGACATTTGGAGCGCTTTCAGGACCATGTTGGAAAGGGAAATATCTTCCCGTAACAACTAGGCAGAAGCATTCTCAGAAACTTATTTGAGATGTGTGTACTCAACTAAGAGAATTGAACCACCGTTTTGAAGGAGCAGTTTTGAAACCCTCTTTTTCTGGAATCTGCAAGAGTATATTTGCCTAGCCTTGAGGATTTCGTTGGAAACGGGATTGTCTTCAGATAAAATCTAGACAGAAGCATTCTCAGAAACTTCTTTGGGATGTTTGCATTCAAGTCACAGAGTAGAACATTCCCTTTGGTAGAGCAGGTTTGAAACACTCTTTTTTTAGTATATGGAAGTGGACATTTGGAGCGCTTTCAGGCCTACGTTGGAAAAGGAAATATCTTCCCATAACAACTAGACAGAAGCATTCTCAGAAACTAGTTTCTGATGTGTGTCCTCAACTAACACAGTTGTACATTTCTTTAGACAGAACAGTTTTGAAACACTCTTTTTGTGGAATCTGCAAGTGGATATTGGGCTAGATTTGAGGATTTCGTTGGAAACGGGATTACATATAAAAAGCAGTCAGCAGCATTCTCAGAAAGTTCTTTGTGATGATTGCATTCAAGTCACAGAATTGAACATTCCCTTTCACAGAGCAGGTTTGAAACACTCTTTTTGTAGTGTGTGTAAGTGGACATTTGGAGCGCTTTCCGGCCTAAGGTGAAAAAGGACATATCTTCCCATAAAAACTAGACAGAAGCATTCTCAGAAACTTACTCGTGATGTGTGTCCTCAACTAAAGGAGTAGAACCTTTCTTTTCATAGAGAAGTTTTGAAACGCTCTTTTTGTGGAATCTGCAAGTGGATATTTGGCTAGTTTTGAGGATTTCGTTGGAAGCGGGAATTCATACAAATTGCAGACTGCAGCGTTCTGAGAAACATCTTTGTGATGTTTGTATTCAGGACACAGAGATGAACATTCCCTATCATAGAGCAGGTTGGAATCACTCCTTTTGTAGTATCTGGAAGTGGACATTTGGAGCGCTTTCAGGCCTATGTTGAAAAAGGAAATATCTTCCCATAACAACTAGACACAAGCATTCTCAGAAACTTGTTTGTGATGTGTGCCCTCTACTGACAGAGTTGAACCTTTCTTTTCATAGAGCAGTTTTGAAACACTCTTTTTGTAGAATCTGCAAGAGGATATTTGCATAGCTTTGAGGATTTCGTGGGAAACGGGATTGTCTTCAGGTAAAATCTAGACAGAAGCATTCTCAGAAACTTCTTTGGGATGTTTGCATTCAAGTCACAGAGTAGAACATTCCCTTTGGTAGAGCAGGTTTGAAACACTCTTTTTGTAGTATCTGGAAGTGGACATTTGGAGCGCTTTCAGGCCTATGTTGGAAAGGGAAATATCTTCCCGTAACAACTAGGCAGAAGCATTCTCAGAAACTTATTTGAGATGTGTGTCCTCAACTAAGAGAATTGAACCACCGTTTTGAAGGAGCAGTTTTGAAACACTCTTTTTCTGGAATCTGCAAGAGGATATTTGCCTAGCCTTGAGGATTTCGTTGGAAACGGGATTGTCTTCAGATCAAATCTAGACAGAAGCATTCTCAGAAACTTCTTTGGGATGTTTGCATTCAAGTCACAGAGTAGAACATTCCCTTTGGTAGAGCAGGTTTGAAACACTCTTTTTTTAGTATATGGAAGTGGACATTTGGAGCGCTTTCAGGCCTACGTTGGAAAAGGAAATATCTTCCCATAACAACTAGACAGAAGCATTCTCAGAAACTAGTTTCTGATGTGTGTCCTCAACTAACACAGTTGAACATTTCTTTAGACAGAACAGTTTTGAAACACTCTTTTTGTGGAATCTGCAAGTGGCTATTTGGCTAGATTTGAGGATTTCGTTGGAAACGGGATTACATATAAAAAGCAGACAGCAGCATTCTCAGAAAGTTCTTTGTGATGATTGCATTCAAGTCACAGAATTGAACATTCCCTTTCACAGAGCAGTTTTGAAACCACTCTTTTTATAGTGTGTGTAAGTGGACATTTGGAGCACTTTCCGGCCTAAGGTGAAAAAGGAAATATCTTCCCATAAAAACTAGACAGAAGCATTCTCAGAAACTTACTCGTGATGTGTGTCCTCAACTAAAGGAGTAGAACCTTTCTATTCATAGAGAAGTTTTGAAACGCTCTTTTTGTGGAATCTCCAAGTGGATATTTGGCTAGTTTTGAGGATTTCGTTGGAAGCGGGAATTCATACGAATTGCAGACTGCAGCGTTCTGAGAAACATCTTTGTGATGTTTGTATTCAGGACACAGAGTTGAACATTCCCTATCATAGAGCAGGTTGGAATCACTCCTTTTGTAGTATCTGGAAGTGGACATTTGGAGCGCTTTCAGGCCTATGTTGGAAAAGGAAATATCTTCCCATAACAACTAGACAGAAGCATTCTCAGAAACTTATTTGAGATGTGTGTACTCAACTAAGAGAATTGAACCACCGTTTTGAAGGAGCAGTTTTGAAACACTCTTTTTCTGGAATCTGCAAGTGGATATTTGGCTAGCTTTGGGGATTTCGCTGGAAGCGGGAATACATATAAAAAGCACACAGCAGCGTTCTGAGAAACTGCTTTCTGATGTTTGCATTCAAGTCAAAAGTTGAACACTCCCTTTCATAGAGCAGTCTTGAAACACCCCTTTTGTAGTATCTGGAACTGGACTTTTGGAGCGATTTCAGGGCTAAGGTGAAAAAGGAAATATCTTACCATAAAAACTGGACAGAAGCATTCTCAGAAACTTGTTTATGCTGTATCTACTCAACTAACAAAGTTGAACCTTTCTTTTGATAGAGCAGTTTTGAAATGGTCTTTTTGTGGAATCTGCAAGTGGATATTTGGCTAGTTTTGAGGATTTCGTTGGAAGCGGGAATTCATACAAATTGCAGACTGCAGCGTTCTGAGAAACATCTTTGTGATGTTTGTATTCAGGACACAGAGTTGAACATTCCCTATCATAGAGCAGGTTGGAATCACTCCTTTTGTAGTATCTGGAAGTGGACATTTGGAGCGCTTTCAGGCCTATTTTGGAAAGGGAAATATCTTCCCGTAACAACTATGCAGAAGCATTCTCAGAAACTTGTTTGTGATGTGTGTCCTCTACTGACAGAGTTGAACCTTTCTTTTCATAGAGCAGTTTTGAAACACTCTTTTTGTAGAATCTGCAAGAGGATATTTGCATAGCTTTGAGGATTTCGTGGGAAACGGGATTGTCTTCAGGTAAAATCTAGACAGAAGCATTCTCAGAAACTTCTTTGGGATGTTTGCATTCAAGTCACAGAGTAGAACATTCCCTTTGGTAGAGCAGGTTTGAAACACTCTTTTTGTAGTATCTGGAAGTGGACATTTGGAGCGCTTTCAGGCCCATGTTGGAAAGGGAAATATCTTCCCGTAACAACTAGGCAGAAGCATTCTCAGAAACTTATTTGTGATGTGTGTACTCAACTAAGAGAATTGAACCACCGTTTTGAAGGAGCAGTTTTGAAACCCTCTTTTTCTGGAATCTGCAAGAGTATATTTGCCTAGCCTTGAGGATTTCGTTGGAAACGGGATTGTCTTCAGATAAAATCTAGACAGAAGCATTCTCAGAAACTTCTTTGGGATGTTTGCATTCAAGTCACTGAGTAGAACATTCCCTTTGGTAGAGCAGGTTTGAAACACTCTTTTTTTAGTATATGGAAGTGGACATTTGGAGCGCTTTCAGGCCTACGTTGGAAAAGGAAATATCTTCCCATAACAACCAGACAGAAGCATTCTCAGAAACTAGTTTCTGATGTGTGTCCTCAACTAACACAGTTGTACATTTCTTTAGACAGAACAGTTTTGAAACACTCTTTTTGTGGAATCTGCAAGTGGATATTGGGCTAGATTTGAGGATTTCGTTGGAAACGGGATTACATATAAAAAGCAGACAGCAGCATTCTCAGAAAGTTCTTTGTGATGATTGCATTCAAGTCACAGAATTGAACATTCCCTTTCACAGAGCAGGTTTGAAACACTCTTTTTGTAGTGTGTGTAAGTGGACATTTGGAGCGCTTTCCGGCCTAAGGTGAAAAAGGAAATATCTTCCCATAAAAACTAGACAGAAGCATTCTCAGAAACTTACTCGTGATGTGTGTCCTCAACTAAAGGAGTAGAACCTTTCTATTCATAGAGAAGTTTTGAAACGCTCTTTTTGTGGAATCTCCAAGTGGATATTTGGCTAGTCTTGAGGATTTCGTTGGAAGCGGGAATTCATACAAATTGCAGACTGCAGCGTTCTGAGAAACATCTTTGTGATGTTTGTATTCAGGACACAGAGATGAACATTCCCTATCATAGAGCAGGTTGGAATCACTCCTTTTGTAGTATCTGGAAGTGGACATTTGGAGCGCTTTCAGGCCTATGTTGAAAAAGGAAATATCTTCCCATAACAACTAGACACAAGCATTCTCAGAAACTTGTTTGTGATGTGTGCCCTCTACTGACAGAGTTGAACCTTTCTTTTCATAGAGCAGTTTTGAAACACTCTTTTTGTAGAATCCGCAAGAGGATATTTGCATAGCTTTGAGGATTTCGTGGGAAACGGGATTGTCTTCAGGTAAAATCTAGACAGAAGCATTCTCAGAAACTTCTTTGGGATGTTTGCATTCAAGTCACAGAGTAGAACATTCCCTTTGGTAGAGCAGGTTTGAAACACTCTTTTTGTAGTATCTGGAAGTGGACATTTGGAGCGCTTTCAGGCCCATGTTGGAAAGGGAAATATCTTCCCGTAACAACTAGGCAGAAGCATTCTCAGAAACTTATTTGAGATGGGTGTACTCAACTAAGAGAATTGAACCACCGTTTTGAAGGAGCAGTTTTGAAACACTCTTTTTCTGGAATCTGCAAGAGTATATTTGCCTAGCCTTGAGGATTTCGTTGGAAACGGGATTGTCTTCAGATAAAATCTAGACAGAAGCATTCTCAGAAACTTCTTTGGGATGTTTGCATTCAAGTCACAGAGTAGAACATTCCCTTTGGTAGAGCAGGTTTGAAACACTCTTTTTTTAGTATATGGAAGTGGACATTTGGAGCGCTTTCAGGCCTACGTTGGAAAAGGAAATATCTTCCCATAACAACTAGACAGAAGCATTCTCAGAAACTAGTTTCTGATGTGTGTCCTCAACTAACACAGTTGTACATTTCTTTAGACAGAACAGTTTTGAAACACTCTTTTTGTGGAATCTGCAAGTGGATATTAGGCTAGATTTGAGGATTTCGTTGGAAACGGGATTACATATAAAAAGCAGACAGCAGCATTCTCAGAAAGTTCTTTGTGATGATTGCATTCAAGTCACAGAATTGAACATTCCCTTTCACAGAGCAGGTTTGAAACCCTCTTTTTGTAGTGTGTGTAAGTGGACATTTGGAGCGCTTTCCGGCCTAAGGTGAAAAAGGAAATATCTTCCCATAAAAACTAGACAGAAGCATTCTCAGAAACTTACTCGTGATGTGTGTCCTCAACTAAAGGAGTAGAACCTTTCTATTCATAGAGAAGTTTTGAAACGCTCTTTTTGTGGAATCTCCAAGTGGATATTTGGCTAGTTTTGAGGATTTCATTGGAAGCGGGAATTCACACAAATTGCAGACTGCAGCGTTCTGAGAAACATCTTTGTGATGTTTGTATTCAGGACACAGAGATGAACATTCCCTATCATAGAGCAGGTTGGAATCACTCCTTTTGTAGTATCTGGAAGTGGACATTTGGAGCGCTTTCAGGCCTATGTTGAAAAAGGAAATATCTTCCCATAACAACTAGACACAAGCATTCTCAGAAACTTGTTTGTGATGTGTGCCCTCTACTGACAGAGTTGAACCTTTCTTTTCATAGAGCAGTTTTGAAACACTCTTTTTGTAGAATCTGCAAGAGGATATTTGCATAGCTTTGAGGATTTCGTGGGAAACGGGATTGTCTTCAGGTAAAATCTAGACAGAAGCATTCTCAGAAACTTCTTTGGGATGTTTGCATTCAAGTCACAGAGCAGAACATTCCCTTTGGTAGAGCAGGTTTGAAACACTCTTTTTGTAGTATCTGGAAGTGGACATTTGGAGCGCTTTCAGGCCTATGTTGGAAAGGGAAATATCTTCCCGTAACAACTAGGCAGAAGCATTCTCAGAAACTTATTTGAGATGTGTGTACTCAACTAAGAGAATTGAACCACCGTTTTGAAGGAGCAGTTTTGAAACACTCTTTTTCTGGAATCTGCAAGAGGATATTTGCCTAGCCTTGAGGATTTCGTTGGAAACGGGATTGTCTTCAGATCAAATCTAGACAGAAGCATTCTCAGAAACTTCTTTGGGATGTTTGCATTCATGTCACAGAGTAGAACATTCCCTTTGGTAGAGCAAGTTTGAAACACTCTTTTTTAAGTATATGGAAGTGGACATTTGGAGCGCTTTCAGGCCTACGTTGGAAAAGGAAATATCTTCCCATAACAACTAGACAGAAGCATTCTCAGAAACTAGTTTCTGATGTGTGTCCTCAACTAACACAGTTGAACATTTCTTTAGACAGAACAGTTTTGAAACACTCTTTTTGTGGAATCTGCAAGTGGCTATTTGGCTAGATTTGAGGATTTCGTTGGAAACGGGATTACATATAAAAAGCAGACAGCAGCATTCTCAGAAAGTTCTTTGTGATGATTGCATTCAAGTCACAGAATTGAACATTCCCTTTCACAGAGCAGGTTTGAAACACTCTTTTTGTAGTGTGTGTAAGTGGACATTTGGAGCACTTTCCGGCCTAAGGTGAAAAAGGAAATATCTTCCCATAAAAACTAGACAGAAGCATTCTCAGAAACTTACTCGTGATGTGTGTCCTCAACTAAAGGAGTAGAACCTTTCTTTTCATAGAGAAGTTTTGAAACGCTCTTTTTGTGGAATCTGCAAGTGGATATTTGGCTAGTTTTGAGGATTTCGTTGGAAGCGGGAATTCATACAAATTGCAGACTGCAGCGTTCTGAGCAACATCTTTGTGATGTTTGTATTCAGGACACAGAGTTGAACATTCCCTATCATAGAGCAGGTTGGAATCACTCCTTTTGTAGTATCTGGAAGTGGACATTTGGAGCGCTTTCAGGCCTATGTTGGAAAAGGAAATATCTTCCCATAACAACTAGACAGAAGCATTCTCAGAAACTTATTTGAGATGTGTGTACTCAACTAAGAGAATTGAACCACCGTTTTGAAGGAGCAGTTTTGAAACACTCTTTTTCTGGAATCTGCAAGTGGATATTTGGCTAGCTTTGGGGATTTCGCTGGAGGCGGGAATACATATAAAAAGCACACAGCAGCGTTCTGAGAAACTGCTTTCTGATGTTTGCATTCAAGTCAAAAGTTGAACACTCCCTTTCATAGAGCAGTCCTGAAACACTACTTTTGTAGTATCTGGAACTGGACTTTTGGAGCGCTTTCAGGGCTAAGGTGAAAAAGGAAATATCTTCCCATAAAAACTGGACAGAAGCATTCTCAGAAACTTGTTTATGCTGTATCTACTCAACTAACAAAGTTGAACCTTTCTTTTGATAGAGCAGTTTTGAAATGCTCTTTTTGTGGAATCTGCAAGTGGATATTTGGCTAGTTTTGAGGATTTCGTTGGAAGCGGGAATTCATACAAATTGCAGACTGCAGGCGTTCTGAGAAACATCTTTGTGATGTTTGTATTCAGGACACAGAGTTGAACATTCCCTATCATAGAGCAGGTTTGAATCACTCCTTTTGTAGTATCTGGAAGTGGACATTTGGAGCGCTTTCAGGCCTATGTTGGAAAAGGAAATATCTTCCCATAACAACTAGACAGAAGCATTCTCAGAAACTTGTTTGTGATGTGTGCCCTCTACTGACAGAGTTGAACCTTTCTTTTCATAGAGCAGTTTTGAAACACTCTTTTTGTAGAATCTGCAAGAGGATATTTGCATAGCTTTGAGGATTTCGTGGGAAACGGGATTGTCTTCAGGTAAAATCTAGACAGAAGCATTCTCAGAAACTTCTTTGGGATGTTTGCATTCAAGTCACAGAGCAGAACATTCCCTTTGGTAGAGCAGGTTTGAAACACTCTTTTTGTAGTATCTGGAAGTGGACATTTGGAGCGCTTTCAGGCCTATGTTGGAAAGGGAAATATCTTCCCGTAACAACTAGGCAGAAGCACTCTCAGAAACTTATTTGAGATGTGTGTACTCAACTAAGAGAATTGAACCACCGTTTTGAAGGAGCAGTTTTGAAACACTCTTTTTCTGGAATCTGCAAGAGGATATTTGCCTAGCCTTGAGGATTTCGTTGGAAACGGGATTGTCTTCAGATCAAATCTAGACAGAAGCATTCTCAGAAACTTCTTTGGGATGTTTGCATTCATGTCACAGAGTAGAACATTCCCTTTGGTAGAGCAGGTTTGAAACACTCTTTTTTAAGTATATGGAAGTGGACATTTGGAGCGCTTTCAGGCCTACGTTGGAAAAGGAAATATCTTCCCATAACAACTAGACAGAAGCATTCTCAGAAACTAGTTTCTGAGGTGTGTCCTCAACTAACACAGTTGAACATTTCTTTAGACAGAACAGTTTTGAAACACTCTTTTTGTGGAATCTGCAAGTGGCTATTTGGCTAGATTTGAGGATTTCGTTGGAAACGGGATTACATATAAAAAGCAGACAGCAGCATTCTCAGAAAGTTCTTTGTGATGATTGCATTCAAGTCACAGAATTGAACATTCCCTTTCACAGAGCAGGTTTGAAACACTCTTTTTGTAGTGTGTGTAAGTGGACATTTGGAGCACTTTCCGGCCTAAGGTGAAAAAGGAAATATCTTCCCATAAAAACTAGACAGAAGCATTCTCAGAAACTTACTCGTGATGTGTGTCCTCAACTAAAGGAGTAGAACCTTTCTTTTCATAGAGAAGTTTTGAAACGCTCTTTTTGTGGAATCTGCAAGTGGATATTTGGCTAGTTTTGAGGATTTCGTTGGAAGCGGGAATTCATACAAATTGCAGACTGCAGCGTTCTGAGAAACATCTTTGTGATGTTTGTATTCAGGACACAGAGTTGAACATTCCCTATCATAGAGCAGGTTTGAATCACTCCTTTTGTAGTATCTGGAAGTGGACATTTGGAGCGCTTTCAGGCCTATGTTGGAAAAGGAAATATCTTCCCATAACAACTAGACAGAAGCATTCTCAGAAACTTATTTGGGATGTGTGTACTCAACTAAGAGAATTGAACCACCGTTTTGAAGGAGCAGTTTTGAAACACTCTTTTTCTGGAATCTGCAAGTGGATATTTGGCTAGCTTTGGGGATTTCGCTGGAAGCGGGAATACATATAAAAAGCACACAGCAGCATTCTCAGAAAGTTCTTTCTGATGTTCACATTCAAGTCAAAAGTTGAACACTCCCTTTCATAGAGCAGTCTTGAAACTCCCCTTTTGTGGTATCTGGAAGTGGACATTTGGAGTGCTTTCAGGGCTAAGGTGAAAAAGGAAATATCTTCCCATAAAAACTGGACAGAAGCATTCTCAGAAACTTGTTTATGCTGTATCTACTCAGCTAACAAAGTTGAACCTTTCTTTTGATAGAGCAGTTTTGAAATGCTCTTTTTGTGGAGTCTGCAAGTGGATATTTGGTTAGTTTTGAGGATTTCTTTGGAAGCGGGAATTCATACAAATTGCAGACTGCAGCGTTCTGAGAAACATCTTTGTGATGTTTGTATTCAGGACAGAGAGTTGAACATTCCCTATCATAGAGCAGGTTGGAATCACTCCTTTTGTAGTATCTGGAAGTGGACATTTGGAGCGCTTTCAAGCCTATGTTGAAAAAGGAAATATCTTCCCATAACAAGTAGACACAAGCATTCTCAGAAACTTGTTTGTGATGTGTGCCCTCTACTGACAGAGTTGAACCTTTCTTTTCATAGAGCAGTTTTGAAACACTCTTTTTGTAGAATCTGCAAGAGGATATTTGCATAGCTTTGAGGATTTCGTGGGAAACGGGATTGTCTTCAGGTAAAATCTAGACAGAAGCATTCTCAGAAACTTCTTTGGGATGTTTGCATTCAAGTCACAGAGCAGAACATTACCTTTGGTAGAGCAGGTTTGAAACACTCTTTTTGTAGTATCTGGAAGTGGACATTTGGAGCGCTTTCAGGCCTATGTTGGAAAGGGAAATATCTTCCCGTAACAACTAGGCAGAAGCATTCTCAGAAACTTATTTGAGATGTGTGTACTCAACTAAGAGAATTGAACCACCGTTTTGAAGGAGCAGTTTTGAAACACTCTTTTTCTGGAATCTGCAAGAGGATATTTGCCTAGCCTTGAGGATTTCGTTGGAAACGGGATTGTCTTCAGATCAAATCTAGACAGAAGCATTCTCAGAAACTTCTTTGGGATGTTTGCATTCAAGTCACAGAGTAGAACATTCCCTTTGGTAGAGCAGGTTTGAAACACTCTTTTTTTAGTATATGGAAGTGGACATTTGGAGCGCTTTCAGGCCTACGTTGGAAAAGGAAATATCTTCCCATAACAACTAGACAGAAGCATTCTCAGAAACTAGTTTCTGATGTGTGTCCTCAACTAACACAGTTGAACATTTCTTTAGACAGAACAGTTTTGAAACTCTCTTTTTGTGGAATCTGCAAGTGGCTATTTGGCTAGATTTGAGGATTTCGTTGGAAACGGGATTACATATAAAAAGCAGACAGCAGCATTCTCAGAAACTTCTTTGTGATGATTGCATTCAAGTCACAGAATTGAACATTCCCTTTCACAGAGCAGGTTTGAAACACTCTTTTTGTAGTGTGTGTAAGTGGACATTTGGAGCACTTTCCGGCCTAAGGTGAAAAAGGAAATATCTTCCCATAAAAACTAGACAGAAGCATTCTCAGAAACTTACTCGTGATGTGTGTCCTCAACTAAAGGAGTAGAACCTTTCTTTTCATAGAGAAGTTTTGAAACGCTCTTTTTGTGGAATCTGCAAGTGGATATTTGGCTAGTTTTGAGGATTTCGTTGGAAGCGGGAATTCATACAAATTGCAGACTGCAGCGTTCTGAGAAACATCTTTGTGATGTTTGTATTCAGGACACAGAGTTGAACATTCCCTATCATAGAGCAGGTTTGAATCACTCCTTTTGTAGTATCTGGAAGTGGACATTTGGAGCGCTTTCAGGCCTATGTTGGAAAAGGAAATATCTTCCCATAACAACTAGACAGAAGCATTCTCAGAAACTTATTTGAGATGTGTGTACTCAACTAAGAGAATTGAACCACCGTTTTGAAGGAGCAGTTTTGAAACTCTCTTTTTCTGGAATCTGCAAGTGGATATTTGGCTAGCTTTGGGGATTTCGCTGGAAGCGGGAATATATATAAAAAGCACACAGCAGCGTTCTGAGCAAACTGCTTTCTGATGTTTGCATTCAAGTCAAAAGTTGAACACTCCCTTTCATAGAGCAGTCTTGAAACACCCCTTTTGTAGTATCTGGAACTGGACTTTTGGAGCGATTTCAGGGCTAAGGTGAAAAAGGAAATATCTTCCCATAAAAACTGGACAGAAGCATTCTCAGAAACTTGGTTATGCTGTATCTACTCAACTAACAAAGTTGAACCTTTCTTTTGATAGAGCAGTTTTGAAATGGTCTTTTTGTGGAATCTGCAAGTGGATATTTGGCTAGTTTTGAGGATTTCGTTGGAAGCGGGAATTCATACAAATTGCAGACTGCAGCGTTCTGAGAAACATCTTTGTGATGTTTGTATTCAGGACACAGAGTTGAACATTCCCTATCATAGAGCAGGTTGGAATCACTCCTTTTGTAGTATCTGGAAGTGGACATTTGGAGCGCTTTCAGGCCTATTTTGGAAAGGGAAATATCTTCCCGTAACAACTATGCAGAAGCATTCTCAGAAACTTGTTTGTGATGTGTGCCCTCTACTGACAGAGTTGAACCTTTCTTTTCATAGAGCAGTTTTGAAACACTCTTTTTGTAGAATCTGCAAGAGGATATTTGCATAGCTTTGAGGATTTCGTGGGAAACGGGATTGTCTTCAGGTAAAATCTAGACAGAAGCATTCTCAGAAACTTCTTTGGGATGTTTGCATTCAAGTCACAGAGTAGAACATTCCCTTTGGTAGAGCAGGTTTGAAACACTCTTTTTGTAGTATCTGGAAGTGGACATTTGGAGCGCTTTCAGGCCCATGTTGGAAAGGGAAATATCTTCCCGTAACAACTAGGCAGAAGCATTCTCAGAAACTTATTTGAGATGTGTGTACTCAACTAAGAGAATTGAACCACCGTTTTGAAGGAGCAGTTTTGAAACACTCTTTTTCTGGAATCTGCAAGAGTATATTTGCCTAGCCTTGAGGATTTCGTTGGAAACGGGATTGTCTTCAGAGAAAATCTAGACAGAAGCATTCTCAGAAACTTCTTTGGGATGTTTGCATTCAAGTCACAGAGTAGAACATTCCCTTTGGTAGAGCAGGTTTGAAACACTCTTTTTTTAGTATATGGAAGTGGACATTTGGATCGCTTTCAGGCCTACGTTGGAAAAGGAAATATCTTCCCATAACAACTAGACAGAAGCATTCTCAGAAACTAGTTTCTGATGTGTGTCCTCAACTAACACAGTTGAACATTTCTTTAGACAGAACAGTTTTGAAACACTCTTTTTGTGGAATCTGCAAGTGGCTATTTGGCTAGATTTGAGGATTTCGTTGGAAACGGGATTACATATAAAAAGCAGTCAGCAGCATTCTCAGAAAGTTCTTTGTGATGATTGCATTCAAGTCACAGAATTGAACATTCCCTTTCACAGAGCAGGTTTGAAACACTCTTTTTGTAGTGTGTGTAAGTGGACATTTGGAGCACTTACCGGCCTAAGGTGAAAAAGGAAATATCTTCCCATAAAAACTAGACAGAAGCATTCTCAGAAACTTACTCGTGATGTGTGTCCTCAACTAAAGGAGTAGAACCTTTCTTTTCATAGAGAAGTTTTGAAACGCTCTTTTTGTGGAATCTGCAAGTGGATATTTGGCTAGTTTTGAGGATTTCGTTGGAAGCGGGAATTCATACAAATTGCAGACTGCAGCGTTCTGAGAAACATCTTTGTGATGTTTGTATTCAGGACACAGAGTTGAACATTCCCTATCATAGAGCAGGTTGGAATCACTCCTTTTGTAGTATCTGGAAGTGGACATTTGGAGCGCTTTCAGGCCTATGTTGGAAAAGGAAATATCTTCCCATAACAACTAGACAGAAGCATTCTCAGAAACTTATTTGAGATGTGTGTACTCAACTAAGAGAATTGAACCACCGTTTTGAAGGAGCAGTTTTGAAACACTCTTTTTCTGGAATCTGCAAGAGTATATTTGCCTAGCCTTGAGGATTTCGTTGGAAACGGGATTGTCTTCAGAGAAAATCTAGACAGAAGCATTCTCAGAAACTTCTTTGGGATGTTTGCATTCAAGTCACAGAGTAGAACATTCCCTTTGGTAGAGCAGGTTTGAAACACTCTTTTTGTAGTATCTGGAAGTGGACATTTGGAGCGCTTTCAGGCCTACGTTGGAAAAGGAAATATCTTCCCATAACAACTAGACAGAAGCATTCTCAGAAACTAGTTTCTGATGTGTGTCCTCAACTAACACAGTTGAACATTTCTTTAGACAGAACAGTTTTGAAACACTCTTTTTGTGGAATCTGCAAGTGGCTATTTGGCTAGATTTGAGGATTTCGTTGGAAACGGGATTACATATAAAAAGCAGTCAGCAGCATTCTCAGAAAGTTCCTTGTGATGATTGCATTCAAGTCACAGAATTGAACATTCCCTTTCACAGAGCAGGTTTGAAACACTCTTTTTGTAGTGTGTGTAAGTGGACATTTGGAGCACTTACCGGCCTAAGGTGAAAAAGGAAATATCTTCCCATAAAAACTAGACAGAAGCATTCTCAGAAACTTACTCGTGATGTGTGTCCTCAACTAAAGGAGTAGAACCTTTCTTTTCATAGAGAAGTTTTGAAACGCTCTTTTTGTGGAATCTGCAAGTGGATATTTGGCTAGTTTTGAGGATTTCGTTGGAAGCGGGAATTCATACAAATTGCAGACTGCAGCGTTCTGAGAAACATCTTTGTGATGTTTGTATTCAGGACACAGAGTTGAACATTCCCTATCATAGAGCAGGTTGGAATCACTCCTTTTGTAGTATCTGGAAGTGGACATTTGGAGCGCTTTCAGGCCTATTTTGGAAAGGGAAATATCTTCCCGTAACAACTATGCAGAAGCGTTCTGAGAAACATCTTTGTGATGTTTGTATTCAGGACACAGAGTTGAACATTCCCTATCATAGAGCAGGTTGGAATCACTCCTTTTGTAGTATCTTGAAGTGGACATTTGGAGCGCTTTCAGGCCTATGTTGGAAAAGGAAATATCTTCCCATAACAACTAGACAGAAGCATTCTCAGAAACTTATTTCAGATGTGTGTACTCAACTAAGAGAATTGAACCACCGTTTTGAAGGAGTAGTTTTGAAACACTCTTTTTCTGGAATCTGCAAGTGGATATTTGGCTAGATTTGAGGATTTCGTTGGAAACGGGATTACATATAAAAAGCAGACAGCAGCGTTCTGAGAAACTGCTTTCTGATGTTTGCATTCAAGTCAAAAGTTGAACACTCCCTTTCATAGAGCAGTCTTGAAACACCCCTTTTGTAGTATCTGGAACTGGACTTTTGGAGCGATTTCAGGGCTAAGGTGAAAAAGGAAATATCTTCCCATAAAAACTGGACAGAAGCATTCTCAGAAACTTGTTTATGCTGTATCTACTCAACTAACAAAGTTGAACCTTTCTTTTGATAGAGCAGTTTTGAAATGGTCTTTTTGTGGAATCTGCAAGTGGATATTTGGCTAGTTTTGAGGATTTCGTTGGAAGCGGGAATTCATACAAATTGCAGACTGCAGCGTTCTGAGAAACATCTTTGTGATGTTTGTATTCAGGACACAGAGTTGAACATTCCCTATCATAGAGCAGGTTGGAATCACTCCTTTTGTAGTATCTGGAAGTGGACATTTGGAGCGCTTTCAGGCCTATTTTGGAAAGGGAAATATCTTCCCGTAACAACTATGCAGAAGCATTCTCAGAAACTTGTTTGTGATGTGTGCCCTCTACTGACAGAGTTGAACCTTTCTTTTCATAGAGCAGTTTTGAAACACTCTTTTTGTAGAATCTGCAAGAGGATATTTGCATAGCTTTGAGGATTTCGTGGGAAACGGGATTGTCTTCAGGTAAAATCTAGACAGAAGCATTCTCAGAAACTTCTTTGGGATGTTTGCATTCAAGTCACAGAGTAGAACATTCCCTTTGGTAGAGCAGGTTTGAAACACTCTTTTTGTAGTATCTGGAAGTGGACATTTGGAGCGCTTTCAGGCCTATGTTGGAAAGGGAAATATCTTCCCGTAACAACTAGGCAGAAGCATTCTCAGAAACTTATTTGAGATGTGTGTACTCAACTAAGAGAATTGAACCACCGTTTTGAAGGAGCAGTTTTGAAACACTCTTTTTCTGGAATCTGCAAGAGTATATTTGCCTAGCCTTGAGGATTTCGTTGGAAACGGGATTGTCTTCAGAGAAAATCTAGACAGAAACATTCTCAGAAACTTCTTTGGGATGCTTGCATTCCAGTCACAGAGTAGAACATTCCCTTTGGTAGAGCAGGTTTGAAACACTCTTTTTGTAGTATCTGGAAGTGGACATTTGGAGCGCTTTCAGGCCTACGTTGGAAAAGGAAATATCTTCCCATAACAACTAGACAGAAGCATTCTCAGAAACTAGTTTCTGATGTGTGTCCTCAACTAACACAGTTGAACATTTCTTTAGACAGAACAGTTTTGAAACACTCTTTTTGTGGAATCTGCAAGTGGCTATTTGGCTAGATTTGAGGATTTCGTTGGAAACGGGATTACATATAAAAAGCAGTCAGCAGCATTCTCAGAAAGTTCTTTGTGATGATTGCATTCAAGTCACAGAATTGAACATTCCCTTTCACAGAGCAGGTTTGAAAGACTCTTTTTGTAGTGTGTGTAAGTGGACATTTGGAGCACTTACCGGCCTAAGGTGAAAAAGGAAATATCTTCCCATAAAAACTAGACAGAAGCATTCTCAGAAACTTACTCGTGATGTGTGTCCTCAACTAAAGGAGTAGAACCTTTCTTTTCATAGAGAAGTTTTGAAACGCTCTTTTTGTGGAATCTGCAAGTGGATATTTGGCTAGTTTGGAGGATTTCGTTGGAAGCGGGAATTCATACAAATTGCAGACTGCAGCGTTCTGAGAAACATCTTTGTGATGTTTGTATTCAGGACACAGAGTTGAACATTCCCTATCATAGAGCAGGTTTGAATCACTCCTTTTGTAGTATCCGGAAGTGGACATTTGGAGCGCTTTCAGGCCTATGTTGGAAAAGGAAATATCTTCCCATAACAACAACACAGAAGCATTCTCAGAAACTTATTTGAGATGTGTGTACTCAACTAAGAGAATTGAACCACCGTTTTGAAGGAGCAGTTTTGAAACACTCTTTTTCTGGAATCTGCAAGTGGATATTTGGCTAGCTTTGGGGATTTCGCTGGAAGCGGGAATACATATAAAAAGCACACAGCAGCGTTCTGAGAAACTGCTTTCTGATGTTTGCATTCAAGTCAAAAGTTGAACACTCCCTTTCATAGAGCAGTCCTGAAACACTCCTTTTGTAGTATCTGGAACTGGACTTTTGGAGCGCTTTCAGGGCTAAGGTGAAAAAGGAAATATCTTCCCATAAAAACTGGACAGAAGCATTCTCAGAAACTTGTTTATGCTGTATCTACTCAACTAACAAAGTTGAACCTTTCTTTTGATAGAGCAGTTTTGAAATGCTCTTTTTGTGGAATCTGCAAGTGGATATTTGGCTAGTTTTGAGGATTTCGCTGGAAGCGGGAATTCATACAAATTGCAGACTGCAGCGTTCTGAGAAACATCTTTGTGATGTTTGTATTCAGGACACAGAGTTGAACATTCCCTATCATAGAGCAGGTTGGAATCACTCCTTTTGTAGTATCTGGAAGTGGACATTTGGAGCGCTTTCAGGCCTATGTTGGAAAAGGAAATATCTTCCCATAACAACTAGACAGAAGCATTCTCAGAAACTTATTTGAGATGTGTGTACTCAACTAAGAGAATTGAACCACCGTTTTGAAGGAGCAGTTTTGAAACTCTCTTTTTCTGGAATCTGCAAGTGGATATTTGGCTAGCTTTGGGGATTTCGCTGGAAGCGGGAATACATATAAAAAGCACACAGCAGCGTTCTGAGAAACTGCTTTCTGATGTTTGCATTCAAGTCAAAAGTTGAACACTCCCTTTCATAGAGCAGTCCTGAAACACCCCTTTGGTAGTATCTGGAACTGGACTTTTGGAGCGATTTCAGGGCTAAGGTGAAAAAGGAAATATCTTCCCATAAAAACTGGACAGAAGCATTCTCAGAAACTTGTTTATGCTGTATCTACTCAACTAACAAAGTTGAACCTTTCTTTTGATAGAGCAGTTTTGAAATGGTCTTTTTGTGGAATCTGCAAGTGGATATTTGGCTAGTTTTGAGGATTTCGTTGGAAGCGGGAATTCATACAAATTGCAGACTGCAGCGTTCTGAGAAACATCTTTGTGATGTTTGTATTCAGGACACAGAGTTGAACATTCCCTATCATAGAGCAGGTTGGAATCACTCCTTTTGTAGTATCTGGAAGTGGACATTTGGAGCGCTTTCAGGCCTATTTTGGAAAGGGAAATATCTTCCCGTAACAACTATGCAGAAGCATTCTCAGAAACTTGTTTGTGATGTGTGCCCTCTACTGACAGAGTTGAACCTTTCTTTTCATAGAGCAGTTTTGAAACACTCTTTTTGTAGAATCTGCAAGAGGATATTTGCATAGCTTTGAGGATTTCGTGGGAAACGGGATTGTCTTCAGGTAAAATCTAGACAGAAGCATTCTCAGAAACTTCTTTGGGATGTTTGCATTCAAGTCACAGAGTAGAACATTCCCTTTGGTAGAGCAGGTTTGAAACACTCTTTTTGTAGTATCTGGAAGTGGACATTTGGAGCGCTTTCAGGCCCATGTTGGAAAGGGAAATATCTTCCCGTAACAACTAGGCAGAAGCATTCTCAGAAACTTATTTGAGATGTGTGGACTCAACTAAGAGAATTGAACCACCGTTTTGAAGGAGCAGTTTTGAAACACTCTTTTTCTGGAATCTGCAAGAGTATATTTGCCTAGCCTTGAGGATTTCGTTGGAAACGGGATTGTCTTCAGATAAAATCTAGACAGAAGCATTCTCAGAAACTTCTTTGGGATGTTTGCATTCAAGTCACAGAGTAGAACATTCCCTTTGGTAGAGCAGGTTTGAAACACTCTTTTTTTAGTATATGGAAGGACATTTGGAGCGCTTTCAGGCCTACGTTGGAAAAGGAAATATCTTCCCATAACAACTAGACAGAAGCATTCTCAGAAACTAGTTTCTGATGTGTGTCCTCAACTAACACAGTTGAAGTTTTCTTTAGACAGAACAGTTTTGAAACACTCTTTTTGTGGAATCTGCAAGTGGATATTTGGCTAGATTTGAGGATTTCGTTGGAAACGGGATTACATATAAAAAGCAGACAGCAGCATTCTCAGAAAGTTCTTTGTGATGATTGCATTCAAGTCACAGAATTGAACATTCCCTTTCACAGAGCAGGTTTGAAACACTCTTTTTGTAGTGTGTGTAAGTGGACATTTGGAGCGCTTTCCGGCCTAAGGTGAAAAAGGACATATCTTCCCATAAAAACTAGACAGAAGCATTCTCAGAAACTTACTCGTGATGTGTGTCCTCAACTAAAGGAGTAGAACCTTTCTATTCATAGAGAAGTTTTGAAACGCTCTTTTTGTGGAATCTCCAAGTGGATATTTGGTTAGTTTTGAGGATTTCGTTGGAAGCGGGAATTCATACAAATTGCAGACTGCAGCGTTCTGAGAAACATCTTTGTGATGTTTGTATTCAAGACACAGAGATGAACATTCCCTATCATAGAGCATGTTGGAATCACTCCTTTTGTAGTATCTGGAAGTGGACATTTGGAGCGCTTTCAGGCCTATGTTGAAAAAGGAAATATCTTCCCATAACAACTAGACACAAGCATTCTCAGAAACTTGTTTGTGATGTGTGCCCTCTACTGACAGAGTTGAACCTTTCTTTTCATAGAGCAGTTTTGAAACACTCTTTTTGTAGAATCTGCAAGAGGATATTTGCATAGCTTTGAGGATTTCGTGGGAAACGGGATTGTCTTCAGGTAAAATCTAGACAGAAGCATTCTCAGAAACTTCTTTGGGATGTTTGCATTCAAGTCACAGAGTAGAACATTCCCTTTGGTAGAGCAGGTTTGAAACACTCTTTTTGTAGTATCTGGAAGTGGACATTTGGAGCGCTTTCAGGCCCATGTTGGAAAGGGAAATATCTTCCCGTAACAACTAGGCAGAAGCATTCTCAGAAACTTATTTGAGATGTGTGTACTCAACTAAGAGAATTGAACCACCGTTTTGAAGGAGCAGTTTTGAAACACTCTTTTTCTGGAATCTGCAAGAGTATATTTGCCTAGCCTTGAGGATTTCGTTGGAAACGGGATTGTCTTCAGAGAAAATCTAGACAGAAGCATTCTCAGAAACTTCTTTGGGATGTTTGCATTCAAGTCACAGAGTAGAACATTCCCTTTGGTAGAGCAGGTTTGAAACACTCTTTTTTTAGTATATGGAAGTGGACATTTGGAGCGCTTTCAGGCCTACGTTGGAAAAGGAAATATCTTCCCATAACAACTAGACAGAAGCATTCTCAGAAACTAGTTTCTGATGTGTGTCCTCAACTAACACAGTTGAACATTTCTTTAGACAGAACAGTTTTGAAACACTCTTTTTGTGGAATCTGCAAGTGGCTATTTGGCTAGATTTGAGGATTTCGTTGGAAACGGGATTACATATAAAAAGCAGTCAGCAGCATTCTCAGAAAGTTCTTTGTGATGATTGCATTCAAGTCACAGAATTGAACATTCCCTTTCACAGAGCAGGTTTGAAACACTCTTTTTGTAGTGTGTGTAAGTGGACATTTGGAGCACTTACCGGCCTAAGGTGAAAAAGGAAATATCTTCCCATAAAAACTAGACAGAAGCATTCTCAGAAACTTACTCGTGATGTGTGTCCTCAACTAAAGGAGTAGAACCTTTCTTTTCATAGAGAAGTTTTGAAACGCTCTTTTTGTGGAATCTGCAAGTGGATATTTGGCTAGTTTGGAGGATTTCGTTGGAAGCGGGAATTCATACAAATTGCAGACTGCAGCGTTCTGAGAAACATCTTTGTGATGTTTGTATTCAGGACACAGATTTGAACATTCCCTATCATAGAGCAGGTTTGAATCACTCCTTTTGTAGTATCTGGAAGTGGACATTTGGAGCGCTTTCAGGCCTATGTTGGAAAAGGAAATATCTTCCCATAACAACTAGACAGAAGCATTCTCAGAAACTTATTTGAGATGTGTGTACTCAACTAAGAGAATTGAACCACCGTTTTGAAGGAGCAGTTTTGAAACACTCTTTTTCTGGAATCTGCAAGTGGATATTTGGCTAGCTTTGGGGATTTCGCTGGAAGCCGGAATACATATAAAAAGCATACAGCAGCGTTCTGAGAAACTGCTTTCTGATGTTTGCATTCAAGTCAAAAGTTGAACACTCCCTTTCATAGAGCAGTCCTGAAACACTCCTTTTGTAGTATCTGGAACTGGACTTTTGGAGCGCTTTCAGGGCTAAGGTGAAAAAGGAAATATCTTCCCATAAAAACTGGACAGAAGCATTCTCAGAAACTTGTTTATGCTGTATCTACTCTACTAACAAAGTTGAACCTTTCTTTTGATAGAGCAGTTTTGAAATGCTCTTTTTGTGGAATCTGCAAGTGGATATTTGGCTAGATTTGAGGATTTCGTTGGAAGCTGGAATTCATACAAATTGCAGACTGCAGCGTTCTGAGAAACATCTTTGTGATGTTTGTATTCAGGACAGAGAGTTGAACATTCCCTATCATAGAGCAGGTTGGAATCACTCCTTTTGTAGTATCTGGAAGTGGACATTTGGAGCGCTTTCAGGCCTATGTTGAAAAAGGAAATATCTTCCCATAACAACTAGACACAAGCATTCTCAGAAACTTGTTTGTGATGTGTGCCCTCTACTGACAGAGTTGAACCTTTCTTTTCATAGAGCAGTTTTGAAACACTCTTTTTGTAGAATCTGCAAGAGGATATTTGCATAGCTTTGAGGATTTCGTGGGAAACGGGATTGTCTTCAGGTAAAATCTAGACAGAAGCATTCTCAGAAACTTCTTTGGGATGTTTGCATTCAAGTCACAGAGTAGAACATTCCCTTTGGTAGAGCAGGTTTGAAACACTCTTTTTTTAGTATATGGAAGTGGACATTTGGAGCGCTTTCAGGCCTACGTTGGAAAAGGAAATATCTTCCCATAACAACTAGACAGAAGCATTCTCAGAAACTAGTTTCTGATGTGTGTCCTCAACTAACACAGTTGTACATTTCTTTAGACAGAACAGTTTTGAAACACTCTTTTTGTGGAATCTGCAAGTGGATATTGGGCTAGATTTGAGGATTTCGTTGGAAACGGGATTACATATAAATAGCAGTCAGCAGCATTCTCAGAAAGTTCTTTGTGATGATTGCATTCAAGTCACAGAATTGAACATTCCCTTTCACAGAGCAGGTTTGAAACACTCTTTTTGTAGTGTGTGTAAGTGGACATTTGGAGCGCTTTCCGGCCTAAGGTGAAAAAGGACATATCTTCCCATAAAAACTAGACAGAAGCATTCTCAGAAACTTACTCGTGATGTGTGTCCTCAACTAAAGGAGTAGAACCTTTCTCTTCATAGAGAAGTTTTGAAACGCTCTTTTTGTGGAATCTCCAAGTGGATATTTGGCTAGTTTTGAGGATTTCGTTGGAAGCGGGAATTCATACAAATTGCAGACTGCAGCGTTATGAGAAACAACTTTGTGATGTTTGTATTCAGGACACAGAGATGAACATTCCCTATCATAGAGCATGTTGGAATCACTCCTTTTGTAGTATCTGGAAATGGACATTTGGAGCGCTTTCAGGCCTATGTTGAAAAAGGAAATATCTTCCCATAACAACTAGACACAAGCATTCTCAGAAACTTGTTTGTGATGTGTGCCCTCTACTGACAGAGTTGAACCTTTCTTTTCATAGAGCAGTTTTGAAACACTCTTTTTGTAGAATCTGCAAGAGGATATTTGCATAGGTTTGAGGATTTCGTTGGAAACGGGATTACATATAAAAAGCAGACAGCAGCATTCTCAGAAACTTCTTTGGGATGTTTGCATTCAAGTCACAGAGCAGAACATTCCCTTTGGTAGAGCAGGTTTGAAACACTCTTTTTGTAGTATCTGGAAGTGGACATTTGGAGCGCTTTCAGGCCTATGTTGGAAAGGGAAATATCTTCCCGTAACAACTAGGCAGAAGCATTCTCAGAAACTTATTTGAGATGTGTGTACTCAACTAAGAGAATTGAACCACCGTTTTGAAGGAGCAGTTTTGAAACACTCTTTTTCTGGAATCTGCAAGAGGATATTTGCCTAGCCTTGAGGATTTCGTTGGAAACGGGATTGTCTTCAGATCAAATCTAGACAGAAGCATTCTCAGAAACTTCTTTGGGATGTTTGCATTCAAGTCACAGAGTAGAACATTCCCTTTGGTAGAGCAGGTTTGAAACACTCTTTTTTTAGTATATGGAAGTGGACATTTGGAGTGCTTTCAGGCCTACGTTGGAAAAGGAAATATCTTCCCATAACAACTAGACAGAAGCATTCTCAGAAACTAGTTTCTGATGTGTGTCCTCAACTAACACAGTTGAACATTTCCTTAGACAGAACAGTTTTGAAACACTCTTTTTGTGGAATCTGCAAGTGGCTTTCTGGCTAGATTTGAGGATTTCGTTGGAAACGGGATTACATATAAAAAGCAGTCAGCAGCGTTATGAGAAACTTCTTTCTGATGTTCGCATTCAAGTCAAAATTTGAACACTCCCTTTCGTAGAGCAGTCTTGAAACTCCCCTTTTGTGGTATCTGGAAGTGGACATTTGGAGTGCTTTCAGGGCTAGGGTGAAAAAGGAAATATCTTCCCATAAAAACTGGACAGAAGCATTCTCAGAAACTTGTTTATGCTGTATCTACTCAGCTAACAAAGTTGAACCTTTCTTTTGATAGAGCAGTTTTGAAATGCTCTTTTTGTGGAGTCTACAAGTGGATATTTGGCTAGTTTTGAGGATTTCGTTGGAAGCGGGAATTCATACAAATTGCAGACTGCAGCGTTCTGAGAAACATCTTTGTGATGTTTGTATTCAGGACACAGAGTTGAACATTCCCTATCATAGAGCAGGTTTGAATCACTCCTTTTGTAGTATCTGGAAGTGGACATTTGGAGCGCTTTCAGGCCTATGTTGGAAAAGGAAATATCTTCCCATAACAACTAGACAGAAGCATTCTCAGAAACTTATTTGAGATGTGTGTACTCAACTAAGAGAATTGAACCACCGTTTTGAAGGAGCAGTTTTGAAACTCTCTTTTTCTGGAATCTGCAAGTGGATATTTGGCTAGCTTTGGGGATTTCGCTGGAAGCGGGAATACATATAAAAAGCACACAGCAGCGTTCTGAGAAACTGCTTTCTGATGTTTGCATTCAAGTCAAAAGTTGAACACTCCCTTTCATAGAGCAGTCTTGAAACACCCCTTTTGTAGTATCTGGAACTGGACTTTTGGAGCGATTTCAGGGCTAAGGTGAAAAAGGAAATATCTTCCCATAAAAACTGGACAGAAGCATTCTCAGAAACTTGTTTATGCTGTATCTACTCAACTAACAAAGTTGAACCTTTCTTTTGATAGAGCAGTTTTGAAATGGTCTTTTTGTGGAATCTGCAAGTGGATATTTGGCTAGTTTTGAGGATTTCGTTGGAAGCGGGAATTCATACAAATTGCAGACTGCAGCGTTCTGAGAAACATCTTTGTGATGTTTGTATTCAGGACACAGAGTTGAACATTCCCTATCATAGAGCAGGTTGGAATCACTCCTTTTGTAGTATCTGGAAGTGGACATTTGGAGCGCTTTCAGGCCTATGTTGGAAAAGGAAATATCTTCCCATAACAACTAGACAGAAGCATTCTCAGAAACTTATTTGAGATGTGTGTACTCAACTAAGAGAATTGAACCACCGTTTTGAAGGAGCAGTTTTGAAACACTCTTTTTCTGGAATCTGCAAGTGGATATTTGGCTAGCTTTGGGGATTTCGCTGGAGGCGGGAATACATATAAAAAGCACACAGCAGCGTTCTGAGAAACTGCTTTCTGATGTTTGCATTCAAGTCAAAAGTTGAACACTCCCTTTCATAGAGCAGTCCTGAAACACTCCTTTTGTAGTATCTGGAACTGGACTTTTGGAGCGCTTTCAGGGCTAAGGTGAAAAAGGAAATATCTTCCCATAAAAACTGGACAGAAGCATTCTCAGAAACTTGTTTATGCTGTATCTACTCAACTAACAAAGTTGAACCTTTCTTTTGATAGAGCAGTTTTGAAATGCTCTTTTTGTGGAATCTGCAAGTGGATATTTGGCTAGTTTTGAGGATTTCGTTGGAAGCGGGAATTCATACAAATTGCAGACTGCAGCGTTCTGAGAAACATCTTTGTGATGTTTGTATTCAGGACAGAGAGTTGAACATTCCCTATCATAGAGCACGTTGGAATCACTCCTTTTGTAGTATCTGGAAGTGGACATTTGGAGCGCTTTCTGGCCTATGTTGAAAAAGGAAATATCTTCCCATAACAACTAGACACAAGCATTCTCAGAAACTTGTTTGTGATGTGTGCCCTCTACTGACAGAGTTGAACCTTTCTTTTCATAGAGCACTTTTGAAACACTCTTTTTGTAGAATCTGCAAGAGGATATTTGCATAGCTTTGAGGATTTCGTGGGAAACGGGATTGTCTTCAGGTAAAATCTAGACAGAAGCATTCTCAGAAACTTCTTTGGGATGTTTGCATTCAAGTCACAGAGTAGAACATTCCCTTTGGTAGAGCAGGTTTGAAACACTCTTTTTGTAGTATCTGGAAGTGGACATTTGGAGCGCTTTCAGGCCCATGTTGGAAAGGGAAATATCTTCCCGTAACAACTAGGCAGAAGCATTCTCAGAAACTTATTTGAGATGTGTGTACTCAACTAAGAGAATTGAACCACCGTTTTGAAGGAGCAGTTTTGAAACACTCTTTTTCTGCAATCTGCAAGAGTATATTTGCCTAGCCTTGAGGATTTCGTTGGAAACGGGATTGTCTTCAGAGAAAATCTAGACAGAAGCATTCTCAGAAACTTCTTTGGGATGCTTGCATTCAAGTCACAGAGTAGAACATTCCCTTTGGTAGAGCAGGTTTGAAACACTCTTTTTGTAGTATCTGGAAGTGGACATTTGGAGCGCTTTCAGGCCTACGTTGGAAAAGGAAATATCTTCCCATAACAACTAGACAGAAGCATTCTCAGAAACTAGTTTCTGATGTGTGTCCTCAACTAACACAGTTGAACATTTCTTTAGACAGAACAGTTTTGAAACACTCTTTTTGTGGAATCTGCAAGTGGCTATTTGGCTAGATTTGAGGATTTCGTTGGAAACGGGATTACATATAAAAAGCAGCCAGCAGCATTCTCAGAAAGTTCTTTGTGATGATTGCATTCAAGTCACAGAATTGAACATTCCCTTTCACAGAGCAGGTTTGAAACACTCTTTTTGTAGTGTGTGTAAGTGGACATTTGGAGCACTTACCGGCCTAAGGTGAAAAAGGAAATAATCTTCCCATAAAAACTAGACAGAAGCATTCTCAGAAACTTACTCGTGATGTGTGTCCTCAACTAAAGGAGTAGAACCTTTCTTTTCATAGAGAAGTTTTGAAACGCTCTTTTTGTGGAATCTGCAAGTGGATATTTGGCTAGTTTTGAGGATTTCGTTGGAAGCGGGAATTCATACAAATTGCAGACTGCAGCGTTCTGAGAAACATCTTTGTGATGTTTGTATTCAGGACACAGAGTTGAACATTCCCTATCATAGAGCAGGTTTGAATCACTCCTTTTGTAGTATCTGGAAGTGGACATTTGGAGCGCTTTCAGGCCTATGTTGGAAAAGGAAATATCTTCCCATAACAACTAGACAGAAGCATTCTCAGAAACTTATTTGAGATGTGTGTACTCAACTAAGAGAATTGAACCACCGTTTTGAAGGAGCAGTTTTGAAACTCTCTTTTTCTGGAATCTGCAAGTGGATATTTGGCTAGCTTTGGGGATTTCGCTGGAAGCGGGAATACATATAAAAAGCACACAGCAGCGTTCTGAGAAACTGCTTTCTGATGTTTGCATTCAAGTCAAAAGTTGAACACTCCCTTTCATAGAGCAGTCTTGAAACACCCCTTTTGTAGTATCTGGAACTGGACTTTTGGAGCGATTTCAGGGCTAAGGTGAAAAAGGAAATATCTTCCCATAAAAACTGGACAGAAGCATTCTCAGAAACTTGTTTATGCTGTATCTACTCAACTAACAAAGTTGAACCTTTCTTTTGATAGAGCAGTTTTGAAATGGTCTTTTTGTGGAATCTGCAAGTGGATATTTGGCTAGTTTTGAGGATTTCGTTGGAAGCGGGAATTCATACAAATTGCAGACTGCAGCGTTCTGAGAAACATCTTTGTGATGTTTGTATTCAGGACACAGAGTTGAACATTCCCTATCATAGAGCAGGTTGGAATCACTCCTTTTGTAGTATCTGGAAGTGGACATTTGGAGCGCTTTCAGGCCTATTTTGGAAAGGGAAATATCTTCCCGTAACAACTATGCAGAAGCATTCTCAGAAACTTGTTTGTGATGTGTGCCCTCTACTGACAGAGTTGAACCTTTCTTTTCATAGAGCAGTTTTGAAACACTCTTTTTGTAGAATCTGCAAGAGGATATTTGCATAGCTTTGAGGATTTCGTGGGAAACGGGATTGTCTTCAGGTAAAATCTAGACAGAAGCATTCTCAGAAACTTCTTTGGGATGTTTGCATTCAAGTCACAGAGTAGAACATTCCCTTTGGTAGAGCAGGTTTGAAACACTCTTTTTGTAGTATCTGGAAGTGGACATTTGGAGCGCTTTCAGGCCCATGTTGGAAAGGGAAATATCTTCCCGTAACAACTAGGCAGAAGCATTCTCAGAAACTTATTTGAGATGTGTGTACTCAACTAAGAGAATTGAACCACCGTTTTGAAGGAGCAGTTTTGAAACACTCTTTTTCTGGAATCTGCAAGAGTATATTTGCCTAGCCTTGAGGATTTCGTTGGAAACGGGATTGTCTTCAGAGAAAATCTAGACAGAAGCATTCTCAGAAACTTCTTTGGGATGCTTGCATTCAAGTCACAGAGTAGAACATTCCCTTTGGTAGAGCAGGTTTGAAACACTCTTTTTGTAGTATCTGGAAGTGGACATTTGGAGCGCTTTCAGGCCTACGTTGGAAAAGGAAATATCTTCCCATAACAACTAGACAGAAGCATTCTCAGAAACTAGTTTCTGATGTGTGTCCTCAACTAACACAGTTGAACATTTCTTTAGACAGAACAGTTTTGAAACACTCTTTTTGTGGAATCTGCAAGTGGCTATTTGGCTAGATTTGAGGATTTCGTTGGAAACGGGATTACATATAAAAAGCAGTCAGCAGCATTCTCAGAAAGTTCTTTGTGATGATTGCATTCAAGTCACAGAATTGAACATTCCCTTTCACAGAGCAGGTTTGAAACACTCTTTTTGTAGTGTGTGTAAGTGGACATTTGGAGCACTTACCGGCCTAAGGTGAAAAAGGAAATAATCTTCCCATAAAAACTAGACAGAAGCATTCTCAGAAACTTACTCGTGATGTGTGTCCTCAACTAAAGGAGTAGAACCTTTCTTTTCATAGAGAAGTTTTGAAACGCTCTTTTTGTGGAATCTGCAAGTGGATATTTGGCTAGTTTGGAGGATTTCGTTGGAAGCGGGAATTCATACAAATTGCAGACTGCAGCGTTCTGAGAAACATCTTTGTGATGTTTGTATTCAGGACACAGAGTTGAACATTCCCTATCATAGAGCAGGTTGGAATCACTCCTTTTGTAGTATCTGGAAGTGGACATTTGGAGCGCTTTCAGGCCTATGTTGGAAAAGGAAATATCTTCCCATAACAACTAGACAGAAGCATTCTCAGAAACTTATTTGAGATGTGTGTACTCAACTAAGAGAATTGAACCACCGTTTTGAAGGAGCAGTTTTGAAACACTCTTTTTCTGGAATCTGCAAGTGGATATTTGGCTAGCTTTGGGGATTTCGCTGGAGGCGGGAATACATATAAAAAGCACACAGCAGCGTTCTGAGAAACTGCTTTCTGATGTTTGCATTCAAGTCAAAAGTTGAACACTCCCTTTCATAGTGCAGTCTGAAACACTCCTTTTGTAGTATCTGGAACTGGACTTTTGGAGCGCTTTCAGGGCTAAGGTGAAAAAGGAAATATCTTCCCATAAAAACTGGACAGAAGCATTCTCAGAAACTTGTTTATGCTGTATCTACTCAACTAACAAAGTTGAACCTTTCTTTTGATAGAGCAGTTTTGAAATGCTCTTTTTGTGGAATCTGCAAGTGGATATTTGGCTAGTTTTGAGGATTTCGTTGGAAGCGGGAATTCATACAAATTGCAGACTGCAGCGTTCTGAGAAACATCTTTGTGATGTTTGTATTCAGGACAGAGAGTTGAACATTCCCTATCATAGAGCAGGTTGGAATCACTCCTTTTGTAGTATCTGGAAGTGGACATTTGGAGCGCTTTCTGGCCTATGTTGAAAAAGGAAATATCTTCCCATAACAACTAGACACAAGCATTCTCAGAAACTTGTTTGTGATGTGTGCCCTCTACTGACAGAGTTGAACCTTTCTTTTCATAGAGCAGTTTTGAAACACTCTTTTTGTAGAATCTGCAAGAGGATATTTGCATAGCTTTGAGGATTTCGTGGGAAACGGGATTGTCTTCAGGTAAAATCTAGACAGAAGCATTCTCAGAAACTTCTTTGGGATGTTTGCATTCAAGTCACAGACTAGAACATTCCCTTTGGTAGAGCAGGTTTGAAACACTCTTTTTGTAGTATCTGGAAGTGGACATTTGGAGCGCTTTCAGGCCCATGTTGGAAAGGGAAATATCTTCCCGTAACAACTAGGCAGAAGCATTCTCAGAAACTTATTTGAGATGTGTGTACTCAAGTAAGAGAACTGAACCACCGTTTTGAAGGAGCAGTTTTGAAACACTCTTTTTCTGGAATCTGCAAGAGTATATTTGCCTAGCCTTGAGGATTTCGTTGGAAACGGGATTGTCTTCAGATAAAATCTAGACAGAAGCATTCTCAGAAACTTCTTTGGGATGTTTGCATTCAAGTCACAGAGTAGAACATTCCCTTTGGTAGAGCAGGTTTGAAACACTCTTTTTTTAGTATATGGAAGTGGACATTTGGAGCGCTTTCAGGCCTACGTTGGAAAAGGAAATATCTTCCCATAACAACTAGACAGAAGCATTCTCAGAAACTAGTTTCTGATGTGTGTCCTCAACTAACACAGTTGTACATTTCTTTATACAGAACAGTTTTGAAACACTCTTTTTGTGGAATCTGCAAGTGGATATTGGGCTAGATTTGAGGATTTCGTTGGAAACGGGATTACATATAAAAAGCAGTCAGCAGCATTCTCAGAAAGTTCTTTGTGATGATTGCATTCAAGTCACAGAATTGAACATTCCCTTTCATAGAGCAGGTTTGAAACACTCTTTTTGTAGTGTGTGTAAGTGGACATTTGGAGCGCTTTCCGGCCTAAGGTGAAAAAGGACATATCTTCCCATAATAACTAGACAGAAGCATTCTCAGAAACTTACTCGTGATGTGTGTCCTCAACTAAAGGAGTAGAACCTTTCTATTCATAGAGAAGTTTTGAAACGCTCTTTTTGTGGAATCTCCAAGTGGATATTTGGCTAGTGTTGAGGATTTCGTTGGAAGCGGGAATTCATACAAATTGCAGACTGCAGCGTTCTGAGAAACATCTTTGTGATGTTTGTATTCAGGACACAGAGTTGAACATTCCCTATCATAGAGCAGGTTGGAATCACTCCTTTTGTAGTATCTGGAAGTGGACATTTGGAGCGCTTTCAGGCCTATGTTGGAAAAGGAAATATCTTCCCATAACAACTAGACAGAAGCATTCTCAGAAACTTATTTGAGATGTGTGTACTCAACTAAGAGAATTGAACCACCGTTTTGAAGGAGCAGTTTTGAAACTCTCTTTTTCTGGAATCTGCAAGTGGATATTTGGCTAGCTTTGGGGATTTCACTGGAAGCGGGAATACATATAAAAAGCACACAGCAGCGTTCTGAGAAACTGCTTTCTGATGTTTGCATTCAAGTCAAAAGTTGAACACTCCCTTTCATAGAGCAGTCTTGAAACACCCCTTTTGTAGTATCTGGAACTGGACTTTTGGAGCGATTTCAGGGCTAAGGTGAAAAAGGAAATATCTTCCCATAAAAACTGGACAGAAGCATTCTCAGAAACTTGTTTATGCTGTATCTACTCAACTAACAAAGTTGAACCTTTCTTTTGATAGAGCAGTTTTGAAATGGTCTTTTTGTGGAATCTGCAAGTGGATATTTGGCTAGTTTTGAGGATTTCGTTGGAAGCGGGAATTCATACAAATTGCAGACTGCAGCGTTCTGAGAAACATCTTTGTGATGTTTGTATTCAGGACACAGAGTTGAACATTCCCTATCATAGAGCAGGTTGGAATCACTCCTTTTGTAGTATCTGGAAGTGGACATTTGGAGCGCTTTCAGGCCTATTTTGGAAAGGGAAATATCTTCCCCTAACAACTATGCAGAAGCATTCTCAGAAACTTGTTTGTGATGTGTGCCCTCTACTGACAGAGTTGAACCTTTCTTTTCATAGAGCAGTTTTGAAACACTCTTTTTGTAGAATCTGCAAGAGGATATTTGCATAGCTTTGAGGATTTCGTGGGAAACGGGATTGTCTTCAGGTAAAATCTAGACAGAAGCATTCTCAGAAACTTCTTTGGGATGTTTGCATTCAAGTCACAGAGTAGAACATTCCCTTTGGTAGAGCAGGTTTGAAACACTCTTTTTGTAGTATCTGGAAGTGGACATTTGGAGCGCTTTCAGGCCTATGTTGGAAAGGGAAATATCTTCCCGTAACAACTAGGCAGAAGCATTCTCAGAAACTTATTTGAGATGTGTGTACTCAACTAAGAGAATTGAACCACCGTTTTGAAGGAGCAGTTTTGAAACACTCTTTTTCTGGAATCTGCAAGAGGATATTTGCCTAGCCTTGAGGATTTCGTTGGAAACGGGATTGTCTTCAGATCAAATCTAGACAGAAGCATTCTCAGAAACTTCTTTGGGATGTTTGCATTGAAGTCACAGAGTAGAACATTCCCTTTGGTAGAGCAGGTTTGAAACACTCTTTTTTTAGTATATGGAAGTGGACATTTGGAGCGCTTTCAGGCCTACGTTGGAAAAGGAAATATCTTCCCATAACAACTAGACAGAAGCATTCTCAGAAACTAGTTTCTGATGTGTGTCCTCAACTAACACAGTTGAACTTTTCTTTAGACAGAACAGTTTTGAAACACTCTTTTTGTGGAATCTGCAAGTGGATATTTGGCTAGATTTGAGGATTTCGGTGGAAACGGGATTACATATAAAAAGCAGTCAGCAGCATTCTCAGAAAGATCTTTGTGATGATTGCATTCAAGTCACAGAATTGAACATTCCCTTTCACAGAGTAGGTTTGAAACACTCTTTTTGTAGTGTGTGTAAGTGGACATTTGGAGCACTTTCCGGCCTAAGGTGAAAAAGGAAATATCTTCCCATAAAAACTAGACAGAAGCATTCTCAGAAACTTACTCGTGATGTGTGTCCTCAACTAAAGGAGTAGAACCTTTCTATTCATAGAGAAGTTTTGAAACGCTCTTTTTGTGGAATCTCCAAGTGGATATTTGGCTAGTGTTGAGGATTTCGTTGGAAGCGGGAATTCATACAAATTGCAGACTGCAGCGTTCTGAGAAACATCTTTGTGATGTTTGTATTCAGGACACAGAGATGAACATTCCCTGTCATAGTGCAGGTTGGAATCACTCCTTTTGTAGTATCTGGAAGTGGACATTTGGAGCGCTTTCAGGCCTATGTTGAAAAAGGAAATATCTTCCCATAACAACTAGACACAAGCATTCTCAGAAACTTGTTTGTGATGTGTGCCCTCTACTGACAGAGTTGAACCTTTCTTTTCATAGAGCAGTTTTGAAACACTCTTTTTGTAGAATCCGCAAGAGGATATTTGCATAGCTTTGAGGATTTCGTGGGAAACGGGATTGTCTTCAGGTAAAATCTAGAAAGAAGCATTCTCAGAAACTTCTTTGGGATGTTTGCATTCAAGTCACAGAGTAGAACATTCCCTTTGGTAGAGCAGGTTTGAAACACTCTTTTTGTAGTATCTGGAAGTGGACATTTGGAGCGCTTTCAGGCCCATGTTGGAAAGGGAAATATCTTCCCGTAACAACTAGGCAGAAGCATTCTCAGAAACTTATTTGAGATGTGTGTACTCAACTAAGAGAATTGAACCACCGTTTTGAAGGAGCAGTTTTGAAACACTCTTTTTTCTGGAATCTGCAAGAGGATATTTGCCTAGCTTTGAGGATTTCGTTGGAAACGGGATTGTCTTCAGATAAAATCTAGACAGAAGCATTCTCAGAAACTTCTTTGGGATGTTTGCATTCAAGTCACAGAGTAGAACATTCCCTTTGGTAGAGCAGGTTTGAAACACTCTTTTTTTAGTATATGGAAGTGGACATTTGGAGCGCTTTCAGGCCTACGTTGGAAAAGGAAATATCTTCCCATAACAGCTAGACAGAAGCATTCTCAGAAACTAGTTTCTGATGTGTGTCCTCAACTAACACAGTTGAACATTTCTTTAGACAGAACAGTTTTGAAACACTCTTTTTGTGGAATCTGCAAGTGGCTATTTGGCTAGATTTGAGGATTTCGTTGGAAACGGGATTACATATAAAAAGCAGACAGCAGCATTCTCAGAAAGTTCTTTGTGATGATTGCATTCAAGTCACAGAATTGAACATTCCCTTTCACAGAGCAGGTTTGAAAGACTCTTTTTGTAGTGTGTGTAAGTGGACATTTGGAGCACTTACCGGCCTAAGGTGAAAAAGGAAATATCTTCCCATAAAAACTAGACAGAAGCATTCTCAGAAACTTACTCGTGATGTGTGTCCTCAACTAAAGGAGTAGAACCTTTCTTTCATAGAGAAGTTTTGAAACGCTCTTTTTGTGGAATCTGCAAGTGGATATTTGGCTAGTTTGGAGGATTTCGTTGGAAGCGGGAATTCATACAAATTGCAGACTGCAGCGTTCTGAGAAACATCTTTGTGATGTTTGTATTCAGGACACAGAGTTGAACATTCCCTATCATAGAGCAGGTTGGAATCACTCCTTTTGTAGTATCTGGAAGTGGACATTTGGAGCGATTTCAGGCCTACGTTGGAAAAGGAAATATCTTCCCATAACAACTAGACAGATAAGCATTCTCAGAAACTAGTTTCTGATGTGTGTCCTCAACTAACACAGTTGAACTTTTCTTTAGACAGAACAGTTTTGAAACACTCTTTTTGTGGAATCTGCAAGTGGATATTTGGCTAGATTTGAGGATTTCGTTGGAAACGGGATTACATATAAAAAGCAGACAGCAGCATTCTCAGAAAGTTCTTTGTGATGATTGCATTCAAGTCACAGAATTGAACATTCCCTTTCACAGAGCAGGTTTGAAACACTCTTTTTGTAGTGTGTGTAAGTGGACATTTGGAGCACTTTCCGGCCTAAGGTGAAAAAGGAAATATCTTCCCATAAAAACTAGACAGAAGCATTCTCAGAAACTTACTCGTGATGTGTGTCCTCAACTAAAGGAGTAGAACCTTTGTTTTCATAGAGAAGTTTTGAAACGCTCTTTTTGTGGAATCTGCAAGTGGATATTTGGCTAGTTTTGAGGATTTCGTTGGAAGCGGGAATTCATACAAATTGCAGACTGCAGCGTTCTGAGAAACATCTTTGTGATGTTTGTATTCAGGACACAGAGTTGAACATTCCCTATCATAGAGCAGGTTTGAATCACTCCTTTTGTAGTATCTGGAAGTGGACATTTGGAGCGCTTTCAGGCCTATGTTGGAAAAGGAAATATCTTCCCATAACAACTAGACAGAAGCATTCTCAGAAACTTATTTGAGATGTGTGTACTCAACTTAGAGAATTGAACCACCGTTTTGAAGGAGCAGTTTTGAAACACTCTTTTTCTGGAATCTGCAAGTGGATATTTGGCTAGCTTTGGGGATTTCGCTGGAAGCGGGAATACATATAAAAAGCACACAGCAGCGTTCTGAGAAACTGCTTTCTGATGTTTGCATTCAAGTCAAAAGTTGAACACTCCCTTTCATAGAGCAGTCCTGAAACACTCCTTTTGTAGTATCTGGAACTGGACTTTTGGAGCGCTTTCAGGGCTAAGGTGAAAAAGGAAATATCTTCCCATAAAAACTGGACAGAAGCATTCTCAGAAACTTGTTTATGCTGTATCTACTCAACTAACAAAGTTGAACCTTTCTTTTGATAGAGCAGTTTTGAAATGCTCTTTTTGTGGAATCTGCAAGTGGATATTTGGCTAGTTTTGAGGATTTCGTTGGAAGCGGGAATTCATACAAATTGCAGACTGCAGCGTTCTGAGAAACATCTTTGTGATGTTTGTATTCAGGACAGAGAGTTGAACATTCCCTATCATAGAGCAGGTTGGAATCACTCCTTTTGTAGTATCTGGAAGTGGACATTTGAAGCGCTTTCAGGCCTATGTTGGAAAGGGAAATATCTTCCCGTAACAACTAGGCAGAAGCATTCTCAGAAACTTGTTTGTGATGTGTGCCCTCTACTGACAGAGTTGAACCTTTCTTTTCATAGAGCAGTTTTGAAACACTCTTTTTGTAGAATCTGCAAGAGGATATTTGCATAGCTTTGAGGATTTCGTGGGAAACGGGATTGTCTTCAGGTAAAATCTAGACAGAAGCATTCTCAGAAACTTCTTTGGGATGTTTGCATTCAAGTCACAGAGTAGAACATTCCCTTTGGTAGAGCAGGTTTGAAATCCTCTTTTTGTAGTATCTGGAAGTGGACATTTGGATCGCTTTCAGGCCCATGTTGGAAAGGGAAATATCTTCCCGTAACAACTAGGCAGAAGCATTCTCAGAAACTTATTTGAGATGTGTGTACTCAACTAAGAGAATTGAACCACCGTTTTGAAGGAGCAGTTTTGAAACACTCTTTTTCTGGAATCTGCAAGATTATATTTGCCTAGCCTTGAGGATTTCGTTGGAAACGGGATTGTCTTCAGATAAAATCTAGACAGAAGCATTCTCAGAAACTTCTTTGGGATGTTTGCATTCAAGTCACAGAGTAGAACATTCCCTTTGGTAGAGCAGTTTTGAAACACTCTTTTTTTAGTATATGGAAGTGGACATTTGGAGCGCTTTCAGGCCTACGTTGGAAAAGGAAATATCTTCCCATAACAACTAGACAGAAGCATTCTCAGAAACTAGTTTCTGATGTGTGTCCTCAACTAACACAGTTGAACTTTTCTTTAGACAGAACAGTTTTGAAACACTCTTTTTGTGGAATCAGCAAGTGGATATTTGGCTAGATTTGAGGATTTCGTTGGAAACGGGATTACATATAAAAAGCAGACAGCAACATTCTCAGAAAGTTCTTTGTGATGATTGCATTCAAGTCACAGAATTGAACATTCCCTTTCACAGAGCAGGTTTGAAACACTCTTTTTGTAGTGTGTGTAAGTGGACATTTGGAGCGCTTTCCGGCCTAAGGTGAAAAAGGGCATATCTTCCCATAAAAACTAGACAGAAGCATTCTCAGAAACTTACTCGTGATGTGTGTCCTCAACTAAAGGAGTAGAACCTTTCTTTTCATAGAGAAGTTTTGAAACGCTCTTTTTGTGGAATCTGCAAGTGGATATTTGGCTAGTTTTGAGGATTTCGTTGGAAGCGGGGAATTCATACAAATTGCAGACTGCAGCGTTCTGAGAAACATCTTTGTGATGTTTGTATTCAGGACACAGAGTTGAACATTCCCTATCATAGAGCAGGTTTGAATCACTCCTTTTGTAGTATCTGGAAGTGGACATTTGGAGCGCTTTCAGGCCTATGTTGGAAAAGGAAATATCTTCCCATAACAACTAGACAGAAGCATTCTCAGAAACTTATTTGAGATGTGTGTACTCAACTAAGAGAATTGAACCACCGTTTTGAAGGAGCAGTTTTGAAACTCTCTTTTTCTGGAATCTGCAAGTGGATATTTGGCTAGCTTTGGGGATTTCGCTGGAAGCGGGAATACATATAAAAAGCACACAGCAGCGTTCTGAGAAACTGCTTTCTGATGTTTGCATTCAAGTCAAAAGTTGAACACTCCCTTTCATAGAGCAGTCTTGAAACACCCCTTTTGTAGTATCTGGAACTGGACTTTTGGAGCGATTTCAGGGCTAAGGTGAAAAAGGAAATATCTTCCCATAAAAACTGGACAGAAGCATTCTCAGAAACTTGTTTATGCTGTATCTACTCAACTAACAAAGTTGAACCTTTCTTTTGATAGAGCAGTTTTGAAATGGTCTTTTTGTGGAATCTGCAAGTGGATATTTGGCTAGTTTTGAGGATTTCGTTGGAAGCGGGAATTCATACAAATTGCAGACTGCAGCGTTCTGAGAAACATCTTTGTGATGTTTGTATTCAGGACACAGAGTTGAACATTCCCTATCATAGAGCAGGTTGGAATCACTCCTTTTGTAGTATCTGGAAGTGGACATTTGGAGCGCTTTCAGGCCTATTTTGGAAAGGGAAATATCTTCCCGTAACAACTATGCAGAAGCATTCTCAGAAACTTGTTTGTGATGTGTGCCCTCTACTGACAGAGTTGAACCTTTCTTTTCATAGAGCAGTTTTGAAACACTCTTTTTGTAGAATCTGCAAGAGGATATTTGCATAGCTTTGAGGATTTCGTGGGAAACGGGATTGTCTTCAGGTAAAATCTAGACAGAAGCATTCTCAGAAACTTCTTTGGGATGTTTGCATTCAAGTCACAGAGTAGAACATTCCCTTTGGTAGAGCAGGTTTGAAACACTCTTTTTGTAGTATCTGGAAGTGGACATTTGGAGCGCTTTCAGGCCCATGTTGGAAAGGGAAATATCTTCCCGTAACAACTAGGCAGAAGCATTCTCAGAAACTTATTTGAGATGTGTGTACTCAACTAAGAGAATTGAACCACCGTTTTGAAGGAGCAGTTTTGAAACACTCTTTTTCTGGAATCTGCAAGAGTATATTTGCCTAGCCTTGAGGATTTCGTTGGAAACGGGATTGTCTTCAGAGAAAATCTAGACAGAAGCATTCTCAGAAACTTCTTTGGGATGCTTGCATTCAAGTCACAGAGTAGAACATTCCCTTTGGTAGAGCAGGTTTGAAACACTCTTTTTGTAGTATCTGGAAGTGGACATTTGGAGCGCTTTCAGGCCTACGTTGGAAAAGGAAATATCTTCCCATAACAACTAGACAGAAGCATTCTCAGAAACTAGTTTCTGATGTGTGTCCTCAACTAACACAGTTGAACATTTCTTTAGACAGAACAGTTTTGAAACACTCTTTTTGTGGAATCTGCAAGTGGATATTTGGCTAGATTTGAGGATTTCGTTGGAAACGGGATTACATATAAAAAGCAGACGGCAGCATTCTCAGAAACTTCTTTGTGATGATTGCATTCAAGTCACAGAATTGAACATTCCCTTTCACAGAGCAGGTTTGAAACACTCTTTTTGTAGTGTGTGTAAGTGGACATTTGGAGCACTTTCCGGCCTAAGGTGAAAAAGGAAATATCTTCCCATAAAAACTAGACAGTAGCATTCTCAGAAACTTACTCGTGATGTGTGTCCTCAACTAAAGGAGTAGAACCTTTCTTTTCATAGAGAAGTTTTGAAACGCTCTTTTTGTGGAATCTGCAAGTGGATATTTGGCTAGTTTTGAGGATTTCGTTGGAAGCGGGAATTCATACAAATTGCAGACTGCAGCGTTCTGAGAAACATCTTTGTGATGTTTGTATTCAGGACACAGAGTTGAACGTTCCCTATCATAGAGCAGGTTTGAATCACTCCTTTTGTAGTATCTGGAAGTGGACATTTGGAGCGCTTTCCGGCCTCAGGTGAAAAAGGAAATATCTTCCCATAAAAACTAGACAGAAGCATTCTCAGAAACTTACTCGTGATGTGTGTCCTCAACTAAAGGGGTAGAACCTTTCTTTTGATAGAGCAGTTTTGAAACACTCTTTTTGTAGAATCTGCAAGTGGATATTTTGATAGCTTTGTGGATTTCGTTGGAAACGGGAATATCTTCATATAAAATCTAGAGAGAAGCGTTCTGAGAAACATCTTTGTGATGTTTGTATTCAGGACACAGAGTTGAACATTCCCTATCATAGAGCAGGTTGGAATCACTCCTTTTGTAGTATCTGGAAGTGGACATTTGGAGCGCTTTCAGGCCTATGTTGGAAAAGGAAATATCTTCCCATAACAACTAGACAGAAGCATTCTCAGAAACTTATTTGAGATGTGTGTACTCAACTAAGAGAATTGAACCACCGTTTTGAAGGAGCAGTTTTGAAACACTCTTTTTCTGGAATCTGCAAGTGGATATTTGGCTAGCTTTGGGGATTTCGCTGGAAGCGGGAATACATATAAAAAGCACACAGCAGCGTTCTGAGAAACTGCTTTCTGATGTTTGCATTCAAGTCAAAAGTTGAACACTCCCTTTCATAGAGCAGTCTTGAAACACCCCTTTTGTAGTATCGGGAACTGGACATTTGGAGCGCTTTCAGGGCTAAGGTGAAAAAGGAAATATCTTCCCATAAAAACTGGACAGAAGCATTCTCAGAAACTTGTCCATGCTGTATCTACTCAACTAACAAAGTTGAACCTTTCTTTTGATAGAGCAGTTTTGAAATGCTCTTTTTCTGGAATCTGCAAGTGGATATTTGGCTAGTTTTGAGGATTTCGTTGGAAGCGGGAATTCATACAAATTGCAGACTGCAGCGTTCTGAGAAACAACTTGGTGATGTTTGTATTCAGGACACAGAGTTGGACATTCCCTATCGTAGAGCAGGTTGGAATCACTCCTTTTGTAGTATCTGGAAGTGGACATTTGGAGCGCCTTCAGGCCTATGTTGAAAAAGGAAATATCTTCCCAAAACAACTAGACAGAAGCATTCTCAGAAACTTGTTTGTGATGTGTGCCCTCTACTGACAGAGTTGAACCTTTCTTTTCATAGAGCAGTTTTGAAACACTCTTTTTGTAGAATCTGCAAGAGGATATTTGCATAGCTTTGAGGATTTCGTGGGAAACGGGATTGTCTTCAGGTAAAATCTAGACAGAAGCATTCTCAGAAACTTCTTTGGGATGTTTGCATTCAAGTCACAGAGTAGAACATTCCCTTTGGTAGAGTAGGTTTGAAACACTCTTTTTGTAGTATCTGGAAGTGGACATTTGGAGCGCTTTCAGGCCTATGTTGGAAAGGGAAATATCTTCCCGTAACAACTAGGCAGAAGCATTCTCAGAAACTTATTTGAGATGTGTGTATTCAACTAAGAGAATTGAACCACCGTTTTGAAGGAGCAGTTTTGAAACACTCTTTTTCTGGAATCTGAAAGAGGATATTTGCCTAGCCTTGAGGATTTCGTTGGAAACGGGATTGTCTTCAGATCAAATCTATACAGAAGCATTCTCAGAAACTTCTTTGGGATGTTTGCATTCAAGTCACAGAGTAGAACATTCCCTTTGGTAGAGCAGGTTTGAAACACTCTTTTTTTAGTATATGGAAGTGGACATTTGGAGCGCATTCAGGCCTACGTTGGAAAAGGAAATATCTTCCCATAACAACTAGACAGAAGCATTCTCAGAAACTAGTTTCTGATGTGTGTCCTCAACTAACACAGTTGCACATTTCTTTAGACAGAACAGTTTTGAAACACTCTTTTTGTGGAATCTGCAAGTGGCTATTTGGCTAGATTTGAGGATTTCGTTGGAAACGGGATTACATATAAAAAGCAGTCAGCAGCATTCTCAAAAAGTTCTTTGTGATGATTGCATTCAAGTCACAGAATTGAACATTCCCTTTCACAGAGCAGGTTTGAAATACTCTTTTTTAGTGTGTGTAATTGGACATTTGGAGCACTTTCCGGCCTAAGGTGAAAAAGGAAATATCTTCCCATAAAAACTAGACAGAAGCATTCTCAGAAACTTACTCGTGATGTGTGTCCTCAACTAAAGGAGTAGAACCTTTCTATTCATAGAGAAGTTTTGAAACGCTCTTTTTGTGGAATCTCCAAGTGGATATTTGGCTAGTTTTGAGGATTTCGTTGGAAGCGGGAATTCATCCAAATTGCAGACTGCAGCGTTCTGAGAAACATCTTTGTGATGTTTGTATTCAGGACACAGAGATGAACATTCCCTATCATAGAGCAGGTTGGAATCACTCCTTTTGTAGTATCTGGAAGTGGACATTTGGAGCGCTTTCAGGCCTATGTTGAAAAAGGAAATATCTTCCCATAACAACTAGACACAAGCATTCTCAGAAACTTGTTTGTGATGTGTGCCCTCTGCTGACAGAGTTGAACCTTTCTTTTCATAGAGCAGTTTTGAAACACTCTTTTTGTAGAATCTGCAAGAGGATATTTGCATAGCTTTGAGGATTTCGTGGGAAACGGGATTGTCTTCAGGTAAAATCTAGACAGAAGCATTCTCAGAAACTTCTTTGGGATGTTTTCATTCAAGTCACAGAGTAGAACATTCCCTTTGGTAGAGCAGGTTTGAAACCCTCTTTTTGTAGTATCTGGAAGTGGACATTTGGAGCGCTTTCAGGCCCATGTTGGAAAGGGAAATATCTTCCCGTAACAACTAGGCAGAAGCATTCTCAGAAACTTATTTGAGATGTGTGTACTCAACTAAGAGAATTGAACCACCGTTTTGAAGGAGCAGATTTGAAACACTCTTTTTCTGGAATCTGCAAGAGTATATTTGCCTAGCCTTGAAGATTTCGTTGGAAACGGGATTGTCTTCAGATAAAATCTAGACAGAAGCATTCTCAGAAACTTCTTTGGGATGTTTGCATTCAAGTCACAGAGTAGAACATTCCCTTTGGTAGAGCAGGTTTGAAACACTCTTTTTTTAGTATATGGAAGTGGACATTTGGAGCGCTTTCAGGCCTACGTTGGAAAAGGAAATATCTTCCCATAACAACTAGACAGAAGCATTCTCAGAAACTAGTTTCTGATGTGTGTCCTCAACTAACACAGTTGAACTTTTCTTTAGACAGAACAGTTTTGAAACACTCTTTTTGTGGAATCTGCAAGTGGATATTTGGCTAGATTTGAGGATTTCGTTGGAAACGGGATTACATATAAAAAGCAGACAGCAGCATTCTCAGAAAGTTCTTTGTGATGATTGCATTCAAGTCACAGAATTGAACATTCCCTTTCACAGAGCAGGTTTGAAACACTCTTTTTGTAGTGTGTGTAAGTGGACATTTGGAGCGCTTTCCGGCCTAAGGTGAAAAAGGACATATCTTCCCATAAAAACTAGACAGAAGCATTCTCAGAAACTTACTCGTGATGTGTGTCCTCAACTAAAGGAGTAGAACCTTTCTATTCATAGAGAAGTTTTGAAACGCTCTTTTTGTGGAATCTCCAAGTGGATATTTGGCTAGTTTTGAGGATTTCGTTGGAAGCGGGAATTCATACAAATTGCAGACTGCAGCGTTCTGAGAAACATCTTTGTGATGTTTGTATTCAAGACACAGAGATGAACATTCCCTATCATAGAGCAGGTTGGAATCACTCCTTTTGTAGTATCTGGAAGTGGACATTTGGAGCGCTTTCAGGCCTATGTTGAAAAAGGAAATATCTTCCCATAACAACTAGACACAAGCATTCTCAGAAACTTGTTTGTGATGTGTGCCCTCTACTGACAGAGTTGAACCTTTCTTTTCATAGAGCAGTTTTGAAACACTCTTTTTGTAGAATCCGCAAGAGGATATTTGCATAGCTTTGAGGATTTCGTGGGAAACGGGATTGTCTTCAGGTAAAATCTAGACAGAAGCATTCTCAGAAACTTCTTTGGGATGTTTGCATTCAAGTCACAGAGTAGAACATTCCCTTTGGTAGAGTAGGTTTGAAACACTCTTTTTGTAGTATCTGGAAGTGGACATTTGGAGCGCTTTCAGGCCCATGTTGGAAAGGGAAATATCTTCCCGTAACAACTAGGCAGAAGCATTCTCAGAAACTTCTTTGAGATGTGTGGACTCAACTAAGAGAATTGAACCACCGTTTTGAAGGAGCAGTTTTGAAACCCTCTTTTTCTGGAATCTGCAAGAGTATATTTGCCTAGCCTTGAGGATTTCGTTGGAAACGGGATTGTCTTCAGATAAAATCTAGACAGAAGCATTCTCAGAAACTTCTTTGGGATGTTTGCATTCAAGTCACAGAGTAGAACATTCCCTTTGGTAGAGCAGGTTTGAAACACTCTTTTTTTAGTATATGGAAGTGGACATTTGGAGCGCTTTCAGGCCTACGTTGGAAAAGGAAATATCTTCCCATAACAACTAGACAGAAGCATTCTCAGAAACTAGTTTCTGATGTGTGTCCTCAACTAACACAGTTGTACATTTCTTTAGACAGAACAGTTTTGAAACACTCTTTTTGTGGAATCTGCAAGTGGATATTGGGGTAGATTTGAGGATTTCGTTGGAAACGGGATTACATATAAAAAGCAGTCAGCAACATTCTCAGAAAGTTCTTTGTGATGATTGCATTCAAGTCACAGAATTGAACATTCCCTTTCACAGAGCAGGTTTGAAACACTCTTTTTGTAGTGTGTGTAAGTGGACATTTGGAGCGCTTTCCGGCCTAAGGTGAAAAAGGACATATCTTACCATAAAAACCAGACAGAAGCATTCTCAGAAACTTACTCGTGATGTGTGTCCTCAACTAAAGGAGTAGAACCTTTCTATTCATAGAGAAGTTTTGAAACGCTCTTTTTGTGGAATCTCCAAGTGGATATTTGGCTAGTTTTGAGGATTTCGTTGGAAGCGGGAATTCATACAAATTGCAGACTGCAGCGTTCTGAGAAACATCTTTGTGATGTTTGTATTCAGGACACAGAGTTGAACATTCCCTATCATAGAGCAGGTTGGAATCACTCCTTTTGTAGTATCTGGAAGTGGACATTTGGAGCGCTTTCAGGCCTATGTTGGAAAAGGAAATATCTTCCCATAACAACTAGACAGAAGCATTCTCAGAAACTTATTTGAGATGTGTGTACTCAACTAAGAGAATTGAACCACCGTTTTGAAGGAGCAGTTTTGAAACACTCTTTTTCTGGAATCTGCAAGTGGATATTTGGCTAGCTTTGGGGATTTCGCTGGAAGCGGGAATACATATAAAAAGCACACAGCAGCGTTCTGAGAAACTGCTTTCTGATGTTTCCATTCAAGTCAAAAGTTGAACACTCCCTTTCATAGAGCAGTCTTGAAACACCCCTTTTGTAGTATCTGCAACTGGACATTTGGAGCGCTTTCAGGGCTAAGGTGAAAAAGGAAATATCTTCCCATAAAAACTGGACAGAAGCATTCTCAGAAACTTGTTTATGCTGTATCTACTCAACCAGCAAAGTTGAACCTTTCTTTTGATAGAGCAGTTTTGAAATGGTCTTTTTGTGGAATCTGCAAGTGGATATTTGGCTAGTTTTGAGGATTTCGTTGGAAGCGGGAATTCATACAAATTGCAGACTGCAGCGTTCTGAGAAACATCTTTGTGATGTTTGTATTCAGGACACAGAGTTGAACATTCCCTATCATAGAGCAGGTTGGAATCACTCCTTTTGTAGTATCTGGAAGTGGACATTTGGAGCGCTTTCAGGCCTATTTTGGAAAGGGAAATATCTTCCCGTAACAACTATGCAGAAGCATTCTCAGAAACTTGTTTGTGATGTGTGCCCTCTACTGACAGAGTTGAACCTTTCTTTTCATAGAGCAGTTTTGAAACACTCTTTTTGTAGAATCTGCAAGAGGATATTTGCATAGCTTTGAGGATTTCGTGGGAAACGGGATTGTCTTCAGGTAAAATCTAGACAGAAGCATTCTCAGAAACTTCTTTGGGATGTTTGCATTCAAGTCACAGAGTAGAACATTCCCTTTGGTAGAGCAGGTTTGAAACACTCTTTTTGTAGTATCTGGAAGTGGACATTTGGAGCGCTTTCAGGCCCATGTTGGAAAGGGAAATATCTTCCCGTAACAACTAGGCAGAAGCATTCTCAGAAACTTATTTGAGATGTGTGTACTCAACTAAGAGAATTGAACCACCGTTTTGAAGGAGCAGTTTTGAAACACTCTTTTTCTGGAATCTGCAAGAGTATATTTGCCTAGCCTTGAGGATTTCGTTGGAAACGGGATTGTCTTCAGAGAAAATCTAGACAGAAGCATTCTCAGAAACTTCTTTGGGATGTTTGCATTCAAGTCACAGAGTAGAACATTCCCTTTGGTAGAGCAGGTTTGAAACACTCTTTTTGTAGTATCTGGAAGTGGACATTTGGAGCGCTTTCAGGCCTACGTTGGAAAAGGAAATATCTTCCCATAACAACTAGACAGAAGCATTCTCAGAAACTAGTTTCTGATGTGTGTCCTCAACTAACACAGTTGAACATTTCTTTAGACAGAACAGTTTTGAAACACTCTTTTTGTGGAATCTGCAAGTGGCTATTTGGCTAGATTTGAGGATTTCGTTGGAAACGGGATTACATATAAAAAGCAGTCAGCAGCATTCTCAGAAAGTTATTTGTGATGATTGCATTCAAGTCACAGAATTGAACATTCCCTTTCACAGAGCAGGTTTGAAACACTCTTTTTGTAGTGTGTGTAAGTGGACATTTGGAGCACTTACCGGCCTAAGGTGAAAAAGGAAATATCTTCCCATAAAAACTAGACAGAAGCATTCTCAGAAACTTACTCGTGATGTGTGTCCTCAACTAAAGGAGTAGAACCTTTCTTTTCATAGAGAAGTTTTGAAACGCTCTTTTTGTGGAATCTGCAAGTGGATATTTGGCTAGTTTTGAGGATTTCGTTGGAAGCGGGAATTCATACAAATTGCAGACTGCAGCGTTCTGAGAAACTGCTTTCTGATGTTTGCATTCAAGTCAAAAGTTGAACACTCCCTTTCATAGAGCAGTCTTGAAACACCCGTATTGTAGTATCTGGAACTGGACTTTTGGAGCGATTTCAGGGCTAAGGTGAAAAAGGAAATATCTTCCCATAAAAACTGGACAGAAGCATTCTCAGAAACTTATTTGAGATGTGTGTACTCAACTAAGAGAATTGAACCACCGTTTTGAAGGAGCAGTTTTGAAACACTCTTTTTCTGGAATCTGCAAGTGGATATTTGGCTAGCTTTGGGGATTTCGCTGGAAGCGGGAATACATATAAAAAGCACACAGCAGCGTTCTGAGAAACTGCTTTCTGATGTTTGCATTCAAGTCAAAAGTTGAACACTCCCTTTCATAGAGCAGTCCTGAAATACTCCTTTTGTAGTATCTGGAACTGGAATTTTGGAGCGCTTTCAGGGCTAAGGTGAAAAAGGAAATATCTTCCCATAAAAACTGGACAGAAGCATTCTCAGAAACTTACTCGTGATGTGTGTCCTCAACTAAAGGAGTAGAACCTTTCTATTCATAGAGAAGTTTTGAAACGCTCTTTTTGTGGAATCTCCAAGTGGATATTTGGCTAGTTTTGAGGATTTCGTTAGAAGCGGGAATTCATACAAATTGCAGACTGCAGCGTTCTGAGAAACATCTTTGTGATGTTTGTATTCAGGACAGAGAGTTGAACATTCCCTATCATAGAGCAGGTTGGAATCACTCCTTTTGTAGTATCTGGAAGTGGACATTTGGAGCGCTTTCAGGCCTATGTTGAAAAAGGAAATATCTTCCCATAACAACTAGACACAAGCATTCTCAGAAACTTGTTTGTGATGTGTGCCCTCTACTGACAGAGTTGAACCTTTCTTTTCATAGAGCAGTTTTGAAACACTCTTTTTGTAGAATCTGCAAGAGGATATTTGCATAGTTTTGAGGATTTCGTGAGAAACGGGATTGTCTTCAGGTAAAATCTAGACAGAAAGCATTCTCAGAAACTTCTTTGGGATGTTTGCATTCAAGTCACAGAGCAGAACATTCCCTTTGGTAGAGCAGGTTTGAAACACTCTTTTTGTAGTATCTGGAAGTGGACATTTGGAGTGCTTTCAGGCCTATGTTGGAAAGGGAAATATCTTCCCGTAACAACTACGCAGAAGCATTCTCAGAAACTTATTTGAGATGTGTGTACTCAACTAAGAGAATTGAACCACCGTTTTGAAGGAGCAGTTTTGAAACACTCTTTTTCTGGAATCTGCAAGAGGATATTTGCCTAGCCTTGAGGATTTCGTTGGAAACGGGATTGTCTTCAGATCAAATCTAGACAGAAGCATTCTCAGAAACTTCTTTGGGATGTTTGCATTCAAGTCACGGAGTAGAACATTCCCTTTGGTAGAGCAGGTTTGAAACACTCTTTTTTTAGTATATGGAAGTGGACATTTGGAGCGCTTTCAGGCCTACGTTGGAAAAGGAAATATCTTCCCATAACAACTAGACAGAAGCATTCTCAGAAACTAGTTTCTGATGTGTGTCCTCAACTAACACAGTTGAACATTTCTTTAGACAGAACAGTTTTGAAACACTCTTTTTGTGGAATCTGCAAGTGGCTATTTGGCTAGATTTGAGGATTTCGTTGGAAACGGGATTACATATAAAAAGCAGACAGCAGCATTCTCAGAAAGTTCTTTGTGATGATTGCATTCAAGTCACAGTATTGAACATTCCCTTTCACAGAGCAGGTTTGAAACACTCTTTTTGTAGTGTGTGTAAGTGGACATTTGGAGCACTTTCCGGCCTAAGGTGAAGAAGGGAATATCTTCCCATAAAAACTAGACAGAAGCATTCTCAGAAACTTACTCGTGATGTGTGTCCTCCACTAAAGGAGTAGAACCTTTCTTTTCATAGAGAAGTTTTGAAACGCTCTTTTTGTGGAATCTGCAAGTGGATATTTGGCTAGTTTGGAAGATTTCGTTGGAAGCGGGAATTCATACAAATTGCAGACTGCAGCGTTCTGAGAAACATCTTTGTGATGTTTGTATTCAGGACACAGAGTTGAACATTCCCTATCATAGAGCAGGTTTGAATCACTCCTTTTGTAGTATCTGGAAGTGGACATTTGGAGCGCTTTCAGGCCTATGTTGGAAAAGGAAATATCTTCCCATAACAACTAGACAGAAGCATTCTCAGAAACTTATTTGAGATGTGTGTACTCAACTAAGAGAATTGAACCACCGTTTTGAAGGAGCAGTTTTGAAACTCTCTTTTTCTGGAATCTGCAAGTGGATATTTGGCTAGCTTGGGGATTTCGCTGGAAGCGGGAATACATATAAAAAGCACACAGCAGCGTTCTGAGCAAACTGCTTTCTGATGTTTGCATTCAAGTCAAAAGTTGAACACTCCCTTTCATAGAGCAGTCTTGAAACACCCCTTTTGTAGTATCTGGAACTGGACTTTTGGAGCGATTTCAGGGCTAAGGTGAAAAAGGAAATATCTTCCCATAAAAACTGGACAGAAGCATTCTCAGAAACTTGTTTATGCTGTATCTACTCAACTAACAAAGTTGAACCTTTCTTTTGATAGAGCAGTTTTGAAATGGTCTTTTTGTGGAATCTGCAAGTGGATATTTGGCTAGTTTTGAGGATTTCGTTGGAAGCGGGAATTCATACAAATTGCAGACTGCAGCGTTCTGAGAAACATCTTTGTGATGTTTGTATTCAGGACACAGAGATGAACATTCCCTATCATAGAGCATGTTGGAATCACTCCTTTTGTAGTATCTGGAAGTGGACATTTGGAGCGCTTTCAGGCCTATGTTGAAAAAGGAAATATCTTCCCATAGCAACTAGACACAAGCATTCTCAGAAACTTGTTTGTGATGTGTGCCCTCTACTGACAGAGTTGAACCTTTCTTTTCATAGAGCAGTTTTGAAACACTCTTTTTGTAGAATCTGCAAGAGGATATTTGCATAGCTTTGAGGATTTCGTGGGAAACGGGATTGTCTTCAGGTAAAATCTAGACAGAAGCATTCTCAGAAACTTCTTTGGGATGTTTGCATTCAAGTCACAGAGTAGAACATTCCCTTTGGTAGAGCAGGTTTGAAACACTCTTTTTGTAGTATCTGGAAGTGGACATTTGGAGCGCTTTCAGGCCCATGTTGGAAAGGGAAATATCTTCCCGTAACAACTAGGCAGAAGCATTCTCAGAAACTTATTTGAGATGTGTGTACTCAACTAAGAGAATTGAACCACCGTTTTGAAGGAGCAGTTTTGAAACACTCTTTTTCTGGAATCTGCAAGAGGATATTTGCCTAGCCTTGAGGATTTCGTTGGAAACGGGATTGTCTTCAGAGAAAATCTAGACAGAAGCATTCTCAGAAACTTCTTTGGGATGTTTGCATTCAAGTCACAGAGTAGAACATTCCCTTTGGTAGAGCAGGTTTGAAACACTCTTTTTTTAGTATATGGAAGTGGACATTTGGATCGCTTTCAGGCCTACGTTGGAAAAGGAAATATCTTCCCATAACAACTAGACAGAAGCATTCTCAGAAACTAGTTTCTGATGTGTGTCCTCAACTAACACAGTTGAACATTTCTTTAGACAGAACAGTTTTGAAACACTCTTTTTGTGGAATCTGCAAGTGGCTATTTGGCTAGATTTGAGGATTTCGTTAGAAACGGGATTACATATAAAAAGCAGTCAGCAGCATTCTCAGAAACTTCTTTGTGATGATTGCATTCAAGTCACAGAATTGAACATTCCCTTTCACAGAGCAGGTTTGAAACACTCTTTTTGTAGTGTGTGTAAGTGGACATTTGGAGCACTTTCCGGCCTAAGGTGAAAAAGGAAATATCTTCCCATAAAAACTAGACAGAAGCATTCTCAGAAACTTACTCGTGATGTGTGTCCTCAACTAAAGGAGTAGAACCTTTCTTTTCATAGAGAAGTTTTGAAACGCTCTTTTTGTGGAATCTGCAAGTGGATATTTGGCTAGTTTGGAGGATTTCGTTGGAAGCGGGAATTCATACAAATTGCAGACTGCAGCGTTCTGAGAAACATCTTTGTGATGTTTGTATTCAGGACACAGAGTTGAACATTCCCTATCATAGAGCAGGTTTGAATCACTCCTTTTGTAGTATCTGGAAGTGGACATTTGGAGCGCTTTCAGGCCTATGTTGGAAAAGGAAATATCTTCCCATAACAACTAGACAGAAGCATTCTCAGAAACTTATTTGAGATGTGTGTACTCAACTAAGAGAATTGAACCACCGTTTTGAAGGAGCAGTTTTGAAACACTCTTTTTCTGGAATCTGCAAGTGGACATTTGGCTAGCTTTGGGGATTTCGCTGGAAGCGGGAATACATATAAAAAGCACACAGCAGCGTTCTGAGAAACTGCTTTCTGATGTTTGCATTCAAGTCAAAAGTTGAACACTCCCTTTCATAGAGCAGTCCTGAAACACTCCTTTTGTAGTATCTGGAACTGGACTTTTGGAGCGCTTTCAGGGCTAAGGTGGAAAAGGAAATATCTTCCCATAAAAACTGGACAGAAGCATTCTCAGAAACTTGTTTATGCTGTATCTACTCTACTAACAAAGTTGAACCTTTCTTTTGATAGAGCAGTTTTGAAATGCTCTTTTTGTGGAATCTGCAAGTGGATATTTGGCTAGATTTGAGGATTTCGTTGGAAGCTGGAATTCATGCAAATTGCAGACTGCAGCGTTCTGAGAAACATCTTTGTGATGTTTGTATTCAGGACACAGAGTTGAACATTCCCTATCATAGAGCAGGTTGGAATCACTCCTTTTGTAGTATCTGGAAGTGGACATTTGGAGCGCTTTCAGGCCTATTTTGGAAAGGGAAATATCTTCCCGTAACAACTATGCAGAAGCATTCTCAGAAACTTGTTTGTGATGTGTGCCCTCTACTGACAGAGTTGAACCTTTCTTTTCATAGAGCAGTTTTGAAACACTCTTTTTGTAGAATCTGCAAGAGGATATTTGCATAGCTTTGAGGATTTCGTGGGAAACGGGATTGTCTTCAGGTAAAATCTAGACAGAAGCATTCTCAGAAACTTCTTTGGGATGTTTGCATTCAAGTCACAGAGTAGAACATTCCCTTTGGTAGAGCAGGTTTGAAACACTCTTTTTGTAGTATCTGGAAGTGGACATTTGGAGCGCTTTCAGGCCTATGTTGGAAAGGGAAATATCTTCCCGTAACAACTAGGCAGAAGCATTCTCAGAAACTTATTTGAGATGTGTGTACTCAACTAAGAGAATTGAACCACCGTTTTGAAGGAGCAGTTTTGAAACACTCTTTTTCTGGAATCTGCAAGAGGATATTTGCCTAGCCTTGAGGATTTCGTTGGAAACGGGATTGTCTTCAGATCAAATCTAGACAGAAGCATTCTCAGAAACTTCTTTGGGATGTTTGCATTCAAGTCGCAGAGTAGAACATTCCCTTTGGTAGAGCAGGTTTGAAACACTCTTTTTTTAGTATATGGAAGTGGACATTTGGAGCGCTTTCAGGCCTACGTTGGAAAAGGAAATATCTTCCCATAACAACTAGACAGAAGCATTCTCAGAAACTAGTTTCTGATGTGTGTCCTCAACTAACACAGTTGAACATTTCTTTAGACAGAACAGTTTTGAAACTCTCTTTTTGTGGAATCTGCAAGTGGCTATTTGGCTAGATTTGAGGATTTCATTGGAAACGGGATTACATATAAAAAGCAGACAGCGGCATTCTCAGAAAGTTCTTTGTGATGATTGCATTCAAGTCACAGAATTGAACATTCCCTTTCACAGAGCAGATTTGAAACACTCTTTTTGTAGTGTGTGTAAGTGGACATTTGGAGCGCTTTCCGGCCTAAGGTGAAAAAGGAAATATCTTCCCATAAAAACTAGACAGAAGCATTCTCAGAAACTTACTCGTGATGTGTGTACTCAAGTAAAGGAGTAGAAACTTTCTTTTCATAGAGAAGTTTTGAAACGCTCTTTTTGTGGAATCTGCAAGTGGATATTTGGCTAGTTTTGAGGATTTCGTTGGAAGCGGGAATTCATACAAATTGCAGACTGCAGCGTTCTGAGAAACATCTTTGTGATGTTTGTATTCAGGACACAGAGTTGAACGTTCCCTATCATAGAGCAGGTTTGAATCACTCCTTTTGTAGTATCTGGAAGTGGACATTTGGAGCGCTTTCAGGCCTATGTTGGAAAAGGAAATATCTTCCCATAACAAATAGACAGAAGCATTCTCAGAAACTTATTTGAGATGTGTGTACTCAACTAAGAGAATTGAACCACCGTTTTGAAGGAGCAGTTTTGAAACACTCTTTTTCTGGAATCTGCAAGTGGATATCTGGCTAGCTTTGGGGATTTCGCTGGAAGCGGGAATACATATAAAAAGCACACAGCAGCGTTCTGAGAAACTTCTTTCTGATGTTCGCATTCAAGTCAAAAGTTGAACACTCCCTTTCATAGAGCAGTCTTGAAACTCCCCTTTTGTGGTATCTGGAAGTGGACATTTGGAGTGCTTTCAGGGCTAAGGTGAAAAAGGAAATATCTTCCCATAAAAACTGGACAGAAGCATTCTCAGAAACTTGTTTATGCTGTATCTACTCAGCTAACAAAGTTGAACCTTTCTTTTGATAGAGCAGTTTTGAAATGCTCTTTTTGTGGAGTCTGCAAGTGGATATTTGGTTAGTTTTGAGGATTTCTTTGGAAGCGGGAATTCATACAAATTGCAGACTGCAGCGTTCTGAGAAACATCTTTGTGATGTTTGTATTCAGGACACAGAGTTGAACATTCCCTATCATAGAGCAGGTTGGAATCACTCCTTTTGTAGTATCTGGAAGTGGACATTTGGAGCGCTTTCAGGCCTATTTTGGACAGGGAAATATCTTCCCATAACAACTATGCAGAAGCATTCTCAGAAACTTGTTTGTGATGTGTGCCCTCTACTGACAGAGTTGAACCGTTCTTTTCATAGAGCAGTTTCGAAACACTCTTTGTCTGGAATCTGCAAGAGGATATTTGCATAGCTTTGAGGATTTCGTTGGAAACGGGATTGTCTTCAGATCAAATCTAGACAGAAGCATTCTAAGAATCTTCTTTGGGATGTTTGCATTCAAGTCACAGAGTAGAACATTCCCTTTGGTAGAGCAGGTTTGAAGCACTCTTTTTGTAGTATCTGGAAGTGGACATTTGGAGCGCTTTCAGGCCTACGTTGGAAAAGGAAATATCTTCCCATAACAACTAGACAGAAGCATTCTCAGAAACTAGTTTCTGATGTGTGTCCTCAACTAACAGAGATGAACATTTCTTTTGACAGAACAGTTTTGAAACACTCTTTTTGTGGAATCTGCAAGTGGATATTTGGCTATATTTGAGGATTTCGTTGGAAACGGGATTACATATAAAAAGCAGACAGCAGCATTCTCAGAAACTTACTCGTGATGTGTGTCCTCAACTAAAGGAGTAGAACCTTTCTTTTCATAGAGAAGTTTTGAAACGCTCTTTTTGTGGAATCTGCAAGTGGATATTTGGCTAGTTTTGAGGATTTCGTTGGAAGCGGGAATTAATACAAATTGCAGACTGTAGCGTTCTGAGAAACATCTTTGTGATGTTTGTATTCAGGACACAGAGTTGAATATTCCCTATCATAGAGCAGGTTGGAATCACTCCTTTTGTCGTATCTGGAAGTGGACGTTTGGAGCATTTTCAGGCCTATGTTGGAAAAGGAAATATCCTCCCATAACAGCTAGACAGAAGCATTCTCAGAAACTTATTTGAGATGTGTGTACTCAACTAAGAGAATTGAACCACCGTTTTGAAGGAGCAGTTTTGAAACACTCTTTTTCTGGAATCTGCAAGTGGATATTTGGCTAGCTTTGGGGATTTCGCTGGAAGCGGGAATACATATAAAAAGCACACAGCAGCGTTCTGAGAAACTGCTTTCTGATGTTTGCATTCAAGTCAAAAGTTGAACACTCCCTTTCATAGAGCAGTCCTGAAACACTCCTTTTGTAGTATCTGGAACTGGACTTTTGGAGCGCTTTCAGGGCTAAGGTGAAAAAGGAAATATCTTCCCATAAAAACTGGACAGAAGCATTCTCAGAAACTTGTTTATGCTGTATCTACTCAACTAACAAAGTTGAACTTTTCTTTTGATAGAGCAGTTTTGAAATGCTCTTTTTGTGGAATCTGCAAGTGGATATTTGGCTAGTTTTGAGGATTTCGTTGGAAGCGGGAATTCATACAAATTGCAGACTGCAGCGTTCTGAGAAACATCTTTGTGATGTTTGTATTCAGGACAGAGAGTTGAACATTCCCTATCATAGAGCAGGTTGGAATCACTCCTTTTGTAGTACCTGGAAGTGGACATTTGGAGCGCTTTCTGGCCTATGTTGAAAAAGGAAATATCTTCCCATAACAACTAGACACAAGCATTCTCAGAAACTTGTTTGTGATGTGTGCCCTCTACTGACAGAGTTGAACCTTTCTTTTCATAGAGCAGTTTTGAAACACTCTTTTTGTAGGATCTGCAAGAGGATATTTGCATAGCTTTGAGGATTTCGTGGGAAACGGGATTGTCTTCAGGTAAAATCTAGACAGAAGCATTCTCAGAAACTTCTTTGTGATGTTTGCATTCAAGTCACAGAGTAGAACATTCCCTTTGGTAGAGCAGGATTGAAACACTCTTTTTGTAGTATCTGGAAGTGGACATTTGGAGCGCTTTCTGGCCCATGTTGGAAAGGGAAATATCTTCCCGTAACAACTAGGCAGAAGCATTCTCAGAAACTTATTTGAGATGTGTGTACTCAACTAAGAGAATTGAACCACCGTTTTGAAGGAGCAGTTTTGAAACACTCTTTTTCTGGAAACTGCAACAGTATATTTGCCTAGCCTTGAGGATTTCGTTGGAAACGGGATTGTCTTCAGATCAAATCTAGACAGAAGCATTCTCAGAAACTTCTTTGGGATGTTTGCATTCAAGTCACAGAGTAGAACATTCCCTTTGGTAGAGCAGGTTTGAAACACTCTTTTTTTAGTATATGGAAGTGGACATTTGGAGCGCTTTCAGGCCTACGTTGGAAAACGAAATATCTTCCCATAACAACTAGACAGAAGTATTCTCAGAAACTAGTTTCTGATGTGTGTCCTCAACTAACACAGTTGTACATTTCTTTAGACAGAACAGTTTTGAAACACTCTTTTTGTGGAATCTGCAAGTGGATATTTGGCTAGATTTGAGGATTTCGTTGGAAACGGGATTACATATAAAAAGCAGTCAGCAGCATTCTCAGAAAGTTCTTTGTGATGATTGTATTCAAGTCACAGAATTGAACATTCCCTTTCACAGAGCAGGTTTGAAACACACTTTTTGTAGTATGTGTAAGTGGACATTTGGAGCGCTTTCCGGCCTAAGGTGAAAAAGGAAATATCTTCCCATAAAAACTAGACAGAAGCATTCTCAGAAACTTACTCGTGATGTGTGTCCTCAACTAAAGGAGTAGAACCTTTCTTTTCATAGAGAAGTTTTGAAACGCTCTTTTTGTGGAATCTGCAAGTGGATATTTGGCTAGTTTTGAGGATTTCGTTGGAAGCGGGAATTCATACAAATTGCAGACTGCAGCGTTCTGAGAAACATCTTTGTGATGTTTGTATTCAGGACACAGAGTTGAACATTCCCTATCATAGAGCAGGTTTGAATCACTCCTTTTGTAGTATCTGGAAGTGGAAATTTGGAGCGCTTTCAGGCCTATGTTGGAAAAGGAAATATCTTCCCATAACAACTAGACAGAAGCATTCTCAGAAACTTATTTGAGATGTGTGTACTCAACTAAGAGAATTGAACCACCGTTTTGAAGGAGCAGTTTTGAAACACTCTTTTTCTGGAATCTGCAAGTGGATATTTGGCTAGCTTTGGGGATTTCGCTGGAAGCGGGAATACATATAAAAAGCACACAGCAGCGTTCTGAGAAACTGCTTTCTGATGTTTGCATTCAAGTCAAAAGTTGAACACTCCCTTTCATAGAGCAGTCTTGAAACACCCCTTTTGTAGTATCTGGAACTGGACTTTTGGAGCGATTTCAGGGCTAAGGTGAAAAAGGAAATATCTTCCCATAAAAACTGGACAGAAGCATTCTCAGAAACTTGTTTATGCTGTATCTACTCAACTAACAAAGTTGAACCTTTCTTTTGATAGAGCAGTTTTGAAATGGTCTTTTTGTGGAATCTGCAAGTGGATATTTGGCTAGTTTTGAGGATTTCGTTGGAAGCGGGAATTCATACAAATTGCAGACTGCAGCGTTCTGAGAAACATCTTTGTGATGTTTGTATTCAGGACACAGAGTTGAACATTCCCTATCATAGAGCAGGTTGGAATCACTCCTTTTGTAGTATCTGGAAGTGGACATTTGGAGCGCTTTCAGGCCTATTTTGGAAAGGGAAATATCTTCCCGTAACAACTATGCAGAAGCATTCTCAGAAACTTGTTTGTGATGTGTGCCCTCTACTGACAGAGTTGAACCTTTCTTTTCATAGAGCAGTTTTGAAACACTCTTTTTGTAGAATCCGCAAGAGGATATTTGCATAGCTTTGAGGATTTCGTGGGAAACGGGATTGTCTTCAGGTAAAATACTAGACAGAAGCATTCTCAGAAACTTCTTTGTTATGTTTGCATTCAAGTCACAGAGTAGAACATTCCCTTTGGTAGAGCAGGTTTGAAACCCTCTTTTTGTAGTATCTGGAAGTGGACATTTGGAGCGCATTCAGGCCCATGTTGGAAAGGGAAATATCTTCCCGTAACAACTATGCAGAAGCATTCTCAGAAACTTATTTGAGATGTGTGTACTCAACTAAGAGAATTGAACCAACGTTTTGAAGGAGCAGTTTTGAAACACTCTTTTTTCTGGAATCTGCAAAAGGATATTTGCCTAGCTTTGAGGATTTCGTTGGAAACGGGATTGTCTTCAGATAAAATCTAGACAGAAGCATTCTCAGAAACTTCTTTGGGATGTTTGCATTCAAGTCACAGAGTAGAACATTCCCTTTGGTAGAGCAGGTTTGAAACACTCTTTTTTTAGTATATGGAAGTGGACATTTGGAGCGCTTTCAGGCCTACGTTGGAAAAGGAAATATCTTCCCATAACAACTAGACAGAAGCATTCTCAGAAACTAGTTTCTGATGTGTGTCCTCAACTAACACAGTTGAACTTTTCTTTAGACAGAACAGTGTTGAAACACTCTTTTTGTGGAATCTGCAAGTGGATATTTGGCTAGATTTGAGGATTTCGTTGGAAACGGGATTACATATAAAAAGCAGACAGCAGCATTCTCAGAAAGTTCTTTTTGATGATTGCATTCAAGTCACAGAATTGAACATTCCCTTTCACAGAGCAGGTTTGAAACACTCTTTTTGTAGTGTGTGTAAGTGGACATTTGGAGCGCTTTCCGGCCTAAGGTGAAAAAGGAAATATCTTCCCATAAAAACTAGACAGAAGCATTCTCAGAAACTTACTCGTGATGTGTGTCCTCAACTAAAGGAGTAGAACCTTTCTATTCATAGAGAAGTTTTGAAACGCTCTTTTTGTGGAATCTCCAAGTGGATATTTGGCTAGTTTTGAGGATTTCGTTGGAAGCGGGAATTCATACAAATTGCAGACTGCAGCGTTCTGAGAATCATCTTTGTGATGTTTGTATTCAGGACACAGAGATGAACATTCCCTATCATAGAGCAGGTTGGAATCACTCCTTTTGTAGTATCTGGAAGTGGACATTTGGAGCGCTTTCAGGCCTATGTTGAAAAAGGAAATATCTTCCCATAACAACTAGACACAAGCATTCTCAGAAAGTTGTTTGTGATGTGTGCCCTCTACTGACAGAGTTGAACCTTTCTTTTCATAGAGCAGTTTTGAAACACTCTTTTTGTAGAATCTGCAAGAGGATATTTGCATAGCTTTGAGGATTTCGTGGGAAACGGGATTGTCTTCAGGTAAAATCTAGACAGAAGCATTCTCAGAAACTTCTTTGGGATGTTTGCATTCAAGTCACAGAGTAGAACATTCCCTTTGGTAGAGCAGGTTTGAAACACTCTTTTTGTAGTATCTGGAAGTGGACATTTGGAGCACTTTCAGGCCCATGTTGGAAAGGGAAATATCTTCCCGTAACAACTAGGCAGAAGCATTCTCAGAAACTTATTTGAGATGTGTGTACTCAACTAAGAGAATTGAACCACCGTTTTGAAGGAGCAGTTTTGAAACACTCTTTTTCTGGAATCTGCAAGAGTATATTTGCCTAGCCTTGACGATTTCGTTGGAAACGGGATTGTCTTCAGATAAAATCTAGACAGAAGCGTTCTGAGAAACATCTTTGTGATGTTTGTATTCAGGACACAGAGATGAACATTCCCTATCATAGAGCAGGTTGGAATCACTCCTTTTGTAGTATCTGGAAGTGGACATTTGGAGCGCTTTCAGGCCTACGTTGGAAAAGGAAATATCTTCCCATAACAACTAGACAGAAGCATTCTCAGAAACTAGTTTCTGATGTGTGTCCTCAACTAACACAGTTGAACTTTTCTTTAGACAGAACAGTTTTGAAACACTCTTTTTGTGGAATCTGCAAGTGGATATTTTGCTAGATTTGAGGATTTCGTTGGAAACGGGATTACATATAAAAAGCAGACAGCAGCATTCTCAGAAAGTTCTTTGTGATGATTGCATTCAAGTCACAGAATTGAACATTCCCTTTCACAGAGCAGGTTTGAAACACTCTTTTTGTAGTGTGTGTAAGTGGACATTTGGAGCGCTTTCCGGACTAAGGTGAAAAAGGAAATATCTTCCCATAAAAACTTGACAGAAGCATTCTCAGAAACTTACTCGTGATGTGTGTCCTCAACTAAAGGAGTAGAACCTTTCTATTCATAGAGAAGTTTTGAAACGCTCTTTTTGTGGAATCTCCAAGTGGATATTTGGCTAGTTTTGAGGATTTCGTTGGAAGCGGGAATTCATACAAATTGCAGACTGCAGCGTTCTGAGAAACATCTTTGTGATGTTTGTATTCAGGACACAGAGATGAACATTCCCTATCATAGAGCAGGTTGGAATCACTCCTTTTGTAGTATCTGGAAGTGGACATTTGGAGCGCTTTCAGGCCTATGTTGAAAAAGGAAATATCTTCCCATAACAACTAGACACAAGCATTCTCAGAAACTTGTTTGTGATGTGTGCCCTCTGCTGACAGAGTTGAACCTTTCTTTTCATAGAGCAGTTTTGAAACACTCTTTTTGTAGAATCTGCAAGAGGATATTTGCATAGCTTTGAGGATTTCGTGGGAAACGGGATTGTCTTCAGGTAAAATCTAGACAGAAGCATTCTCAGAAACTTCTTTGGGATGTTTGCATTCAAGTCACAGAGTAGAACATTCCCTTTGGTAGAGCAGGTTTGAAACCCTCTTTTTGTAGTATCTGGAAGTGGACATTTGGAGCGCTTTCAGGCCCATGTTGGAAAGGGAAATATCTTCCCGTAACAACTAGGCAGAATCATTCTCAGAAACTTATTTGAGATGTGTGTACTCAACTAAGAGAATTGAACCACCGTTTTGAAGGAGCAGTTTTGAAACACTCTTTTTCTGGAATCTGCAAGAGTATATTTGCCTAGCCTTGAGGATTTCGTTGGAAACGGGATTGTCTTCAGATCAAATCTAGACAGAAGCATTCTCAGAAACTTCTTTGGGATGTTTGCATTCAAGTCACAGAGTAGAACATTCCCTTTGGTAGAGCAGGTTTGAAACACTCTTTTTTTAGTATATGGAAGTGGACATTTGGAGCGCTTTCAGGCCTACGTTGGAAAAGGAAATATCTTCCCATAACAACTAGACAGAAGCATTCTCAGAAACTAGTTTCTGATGTGTGTCCTCAACTAACACAGTTGTACATTTCTTTAGACAGAACAGTTTTGAAACACTCTTTTTGTGGAATCTGCAAGTGGATATTGGGCTAGATTTGAGGATTTCGTTGGAAACGGGATTACATATAAAAAGCAGTCAGCAGCATTCTCAGAAAGTTCTTTGTGATGATTGCATTCAAGTCACAGAATTGAACATTCCCTTTCACAGAGCAGGTTTGAAACACTCTTTTTGTAGTGTGTGTAAGTGGACATTTGGAGTGCTTTCCGGCCTAAGGTGAAAAAGGACATATCTTCCCATAAAAACTAGACAGAAGCATTCTCAGAAACTTACTCGTGATGTGTGTCCTCAACTAAAGGAGTAGAACCTTTCTATTCATAGAGAAGTTTTGAAACGCTCTTTTTGTGGAATCTCCAAGTGGATATTTGGTTAGTTTTGAGGATTTCGTTGGAAGCGGGAATTCATACAAATTGCAGACTGCAGCGTTCTGAGAAACATCTTTGTGATGTTTGTATTCAAGACACAGAGATGAACATTCCCTATCATAGAGCATGTTGGAATCACTCCTTTTGTAGTATCTGGAAGTGGACATTTGGAGCGCTTTCAGGCCTATGTTGAAAAAGGAAATATCGTCCCATGCCAACTAGACACAAGCGTTCTCAGAAACTTGTTTGTGATGTGTGCCCTCCACTGACAGAGTTGAACCTTTCTTTTCATAGAGCAGTTTTGAAACACTCTTTTTGTAGAATCTGCAAGAGGATATTTGCATAGCTTTGAGGATTTCGTGGGAAACGGGATTGTCTTCAGGTAAAATCTAGACAGAAGCATTCTCAGAAACTTCTTTGGGATGTTTGCATTCAAGTCACAGAGTAGAACATTCCCTTTGGTAGAGCAGGTTTGAAACACTCTTTTTGTAGTATCTGGAAGTGGACATTTGGAGCGCTTTCAGGCCTATGTTGGAAAGGGAAATATCTTCCCGTAACAACTAGGCAGAAGCATTCTCAGAAACTTATTTGAGATGTGTGTACTCAACTAAGAGAATTGAACCACCGTTTTGAAGGAGCAGTTTTGAAACACTCTTTTTCTGGAATCTGCAAGAGGATATTTGCCTAGCCTTGAGGATTTCGTTGGAAACGGGATTGTCTTCAGATCAAATCTAGACAGAAGCATTCTCAGAAACTTCTTTGGGATGTTTGCATTCAAGTCACAGAGTAGAACATTCCCTTTGGTAGAGCAGGTTTGAAACACTCTTTTTTTAGTATATGGAAGTGGACATTTGGAGCGCTTTCAGGCCTACGTTGGAAAAGGAAATATCTTCCCATAACAACTAGACAGAAGCATTCTCAGAAACTAGTTTCTGATGTGTGTCCTCAACTAACACAGTTGAACATTTCCTTAGACAGAACAGTTTTGAAACACTCTTTTTGTGGAATCTGCAAGTGGCTATTTGGCTAGATTTGAGGATTTCGTTGGAAACGGGATTACATATAAAAAGCAGTCAGCAGCATTCTCAGAAAGTTTTTTGTGATGATTGCATTCAAGTCACAGAATTGAACATTCCCTTTCACAGAGCAGGTTTGAAACACTCTTTTTGTAGTGTGTGTAAGTGGACATTTGGAGCACTTACCGGCCTAAGGTGAAAAAGGAAATATCTTCCCATAAAAACTAGACAGAAGCATTCTCAGAAACTTACTCGTGATGTGTGTCCTCAACTAAAGGAGTAGAACCTTTCTTTTCATAGAGAAGTTTTGAAACGCTCTTTTTGTGGAATCTGCAAGTGGATATTTGGCTAGTTTTGAGGATTTCGTTGGAAGCGGGAATTCATACAAATTGCAGACTGCAGCGTTCTGAGAAACATCTTTGTGATGTTTGTATTCAGGACACAGAGTTGAACATTCCCTATCATAGAGCAGGTTTGAATCACTCCTTTTGTAGTATCTGGAAGTGGACATTTGGAGCGCTTTCAGGCCTATGTTGGAAAAGGAAATATCTTCCCATAACAACTAGACAGAAGCATTCTCAGAAACTTATTTGAGATGTGTGTACTCAACTAAGAGAATTGAACCACCGTTTTGAAGGAGCAGTTTTGAAACTCTCTTTTTCTGGAATCTGCAAGTGGATATTTGGCTAGCTTTGGGGATTTCGCTGGAAGCGGGAATACATATAAAAAGCACACAGCAGCGTTCTGAGAAACTGCTTTCTGATGTTTGCATTCAAGTCAAAAGTTGAACACTCCCTTTCATAGAGCAGTCTTGAAACACCCCTTTTGTAGTATCTGGAACTGGACTTTTGGAGCGATTTCAGGGCTAAGGTGAAAAAGGAAATATCTTCCCATAAAAACTGGACAGAAGCATTCTCAGAAACTTGTTTATGCTGTATCTACTCAACTAACAAAGTTGAACCTTTCTTTTGATAGAGCAGTTTTGAAATGGTCTTTTTGTGGAATCTGCAAGTGGATATTTGGCTAGTTTTGAGGATTTCGTTGGAAGCGGGAATTCATACAAATTGCAGACTGCAGCGTTCTGAGAAACATCTTTGTGATGTTTGTATTCAGGACACAGAGTTGAACATTCCCTATCATAGAGCAGGTTGGAATCACTCCTTTTGTAGTATCTGGAAGTGGACATTTGGAGCGCTTTCAGGCCTATTTTGGAAAGGGAAATATCTTCCCGTAACAACTATGCAGAAGCATTCTCAGAAACTTGTTTGTGATGTGTGCCCTCTACTGACAGAGTTGAACCTTTCTTTTCATAGAGCAGTTTTGAAACACTCTTTTTGTAGAATCTGCAAGAGGATATTTGCATAGCTTTGAGGATTTCGTGGGAAACGGGATTGTCTTCAGGTAAAATCTAGACAGAAGCATTCTCAGAAACTTCTTTGGGATGTTTGCATTCAAGTCACAGAGTAGAACATTCCCTTTGGTAGAGCAGGTTTGAAACACTCTTTTTGTAGTATCTGGAAGTGGACATTTGGAGCGCTTTCAGGCCCATGTTGGAAAGGGAAATATCTTCCCGTAACAACTAGGCAGAAGCATTCTCAGAAACTTATTTGAGATGTGTGTACTCAACTAAGAGAATTGAACCACCGTTTTGAAGGAGCAGTTTTGAAACACTCTTTTTCTGGAATCTGCAAGAGGATATTTGCCTAGCCTTGAGGATTTCGTTGGAAACGGGATTGTCTTCAGAGAAAATCTAGACAGAAGCATTCTCAGCAAACTTCTTTGGGATGCTTGCATTCAAGTCACAGCAGTAGAACATTCCCTTTGGTAGAGCAGGTTTGAAACACTCTTTTTTTAGTATCTGGAAGTGGACATTTGGAGCGCTTTCAGGCCTACGTTGGAAAAGGAAATATCTTCCCATAACAACTAGACAGAAGCATTCTCAGAAACTAGTTTCTGATGTGTGTCCTCAACTAACACAGTTGAACATTTCTTTAGACAGAACAGTTTTGAAACACTCTTTTTGTGGAATCTGCAAGTGGCTATTTGGCTAGATTTGAGGATTTCGTTGGAAACGGGATTACATATAAAAAGCAGTCAGCAGCATTCTCAGAAACTTCTTTGTGATGATTGCATTCAAGTCACAGAATTGAACATTCCCTTTCACAGAGCAGGTTTGAAACACTCTTTTTGTAGTGTGTGTAAGTGGACATTTGGAGCGCTTTCCGGCCTAAGGTGAACAAGGAAATATCTTCCCATAAAAACTAGACAGAAGCATTCTCAGAAACTTACTCGTGATGTGTGTCCTCAACTAAAGGAGTAGAACCTTTCTTTTCATAGAGAAGTTTTGAAACGCTCTTTTTGTGGAATCTGCAAGTGGATATTTGGCTAGTTTGGAGGATTTCGTTGGAAGCGGGAATTCATACAAATTGCAGACTGCAGCGTTCTGAGAAACATCTTTGTGATGTTTGTATTCAGGACACAGAGTTGAACGTTCCCTATCATAGAGCAGGTTTGAATCACTCCTTTTGTAGTATCTGGAAGTGGACATTTGGAGCGCTTTCCGGCCTCAGGTGAAAAAGGAAATATCTTCCCATAAAAACTAGACAGAAGCATTCTCAGAAACTAGTTTCTGATGTGTGTCCTCAACTAACACAGTTGAACATTTCTTTAGACAGAACAGTTTTGAAACACTCTTTTTGTGGAATCTGCAAGTGGATATTTGGCTAGATTTGAGGGTTTCGTTGGAAAAGGGATTACATATAAAAAGCAGACAGCAGCATTCTCAGAAACTTCTTTGTGATGATTGCATTCAAGTCACAGAATTGAACATTCCCTTTCACAGAGCAGGTTTGAAACACTCTTTTTGTAGTGTGTGTAAGTGGACATTTGGAGCGCTTTTCGGCCTAAGGTGAACAAGGAAATATCTTCCCATAAAAACTAGACAGAAGCATTCTCAGAAACTTACTCGTGATGTGTGTCCTCAACTAAAGGAGTAGAACCTTTCTTTTCATAGAGAAGTTTTGAAACGCTCTTTTTGTGGAATCTGCAAGTGGATATTTGGCTAGTTTGGAGGATTTCGTTGGAAGCGGGAATTCATACAAATTGCAGACTGCAGCGTTCTGAGAAACATCTTTGTGATGTTTGTATTCAGGACACAGAGTTGAACATTCCCTATCATAGAGCAGGTTGGAATCACTCCTTTTGTAGTATCTGGAAGTGGACATTTGGAGCGCTTTCAGGCCTATGTTGGAAAAGGAAATATCTTCCCATAACAACAACACAGAAGCATTCTCAGAAACTTATTTGAGATGTGTGTACTCAACTAAGAGAATTGAACCACCGTTTTGAAGGAGCAGTTTTGAAACACTCTTTTTCTGGAATCTGCAAGTGGATATTTGGCTAGCTTTGGGGATTTCGCTGGAAGCGGGAATACATATAAAAAGCACACAGCAGCGTTCTGAGAAACTGCTTTCTGATGTTTGCATTCAAGTCAAAAGTTGAACACTCCCTTTCATAGAGCAGTCTTGAAACACCCCTTTTGTAGTATCTGGAACTGGACTTTTGGAGCGATTTCAGGGCTAAGGTGAAAAAGGAAATATCTTCCCATAAAAACTGGACAGAAGCATTCTCAGAAACTTGTTTATGCTGTATCTACTCAACTAACAAAGTTGAACCTTTCTTTTGATAGAGCAGTTTTGAAATGGTCTTTTTGTGGAATCTGCAAGTGGATATTTGGCTAGTTTTGAGGATTTCGTTGGAAGCGGGAATTCATACAAATTGCAGACTGCAGCGTTCTGAGAAACATCTTTGTGATGTTTGTATTCAGGACACAGAGTTGAACATTCCCTATCATAGAGCAGGTTGGAATCACTCCTTTTGTAGTATCTGGAAGTGGACATTTGGAGCGCTTTCAGGCCTATTTTGGAAAGGGAAATATCTTCCCGTAACAACTATGCAGAAGCATTCTCAGAAACTTGTTTGTGATGTGTGCCCTCTACTGACAGAGTTGAACCTTTCTTTTCATAGAGCACTTTTGAAACACTCTTTTTGTAGAATCTGCAAGAGGATATTTGCATAGCTTTGAGGATTTCGTGGGAAACGGGATTGTCTTCAGGTAAAATCTAGACAGAAGCATTCTCAGAAACTTCTTTGGGATGTTTGCATTCAAGTCACAGAGTAGAACATTCCCTTTGGTAGAGCAGGTTTGAAACACTCTTTTTGTAGTATCTGGAAGTGGACATTTGGAGCGCTTTCAGGCCCATGTTGGAAAGGGAAATATCTTCCCGTAACAACTAGGCAGAAGCATTCTCAGAAACTTATTTGAGATGTGTGTACTCAACTAAGAGAATTGAACCACCGTTTTGAAGGAGCAGTTTTGAAACACTCTTTTTCTGGAATCTGCAAGAGTATATTTGCCTAGCCTTGAGGATTTCGTTGGAAACGGGATTGTCTTCAGAGAAAATCTAGACAGAAGCATTCTCAGAAACTTCTTTGGGATGTTTGCATTCAAGTCACAGAGTAGAACATTCCCTTTGGTAGAGCAGGTTTGAAACACTCTTTTTGTAGTATCTGGAAGTGGACATTTGGAGCGCTTTCAGGCCTACGTTGGAAAAGGAAATATCTTCCCATAACAACTAGACAGAAGCATTCTCAGAAACTAGTTTCTGATGTGTGTCCTCAACTAACACAGTTGAACATTTCTTTAGACAGAACAGTTTTGAAACACTCTTTTTGTGGAATCTGCAAGTGGCTATTTGGCTAGATTTGAGGATTTCGTTGGAAACGGGATTACATATAAAAAGCAGTCAGCAGCATTCTCAGAAAGTTCTTTGTGATGATTGCATTCAAGTCACAGAATTGAACATTCCCTTTCACAGAGCAGGTTTGAAACACTCTTTTTGTAGTGTGTGTAAGTGGACATTTGGAGCACTTACCGGCCTAAGGTGAACAAGGAAATATCTTCCCATAAAAACTAGACAGAAGCATTCTCAGAAACTTACTCGTGATGTGTGTCCTCAACTAAAGGAGTAGAACCTTTCTTTTCATAGAGAAGTTTTGAAACGCTCTTTTTGTGGAATCTGCAAGTGGATATTTGGCTAGTTTGGAGGATTTCGTTGGAAGCGGGAATTCATACAAATTGCAGACTGCAGCGTTCTGAGAAACATCTTTGTGATGTTTGTATTCAGGACACAGAGTTGAACATTCCCTATCATAGAGCAGGTTTGAATCACTTCTTTTGTAGTATCTGGAAGTGGACATTTGGAGCGCTTTCAGGCCTATGTTGGAAAAGGAAATATCTTCCCATAACAACTAGACAGAAGCATTCTCAGAAACTTATTTGAGATGTGTGTACTCAACTAAGAGAATTGAACCACCGTTTTGAAGGAGCAGTTTTGAAACACTCTTTTTCTGGAATCTGCAATTGGATATTTGGCTAGCTTTGGGGATTTCGCTGGAAGCGGGAATACATATAAAAAGCACACAGCAGCGTTCTGAGAAACTTCTTTCTGATGTTCGCATTCAAGTCAAAAGTTGAACACTCCCTTTCATAGAGCAGTCTTGAAACTCCCCTTTTGTGGTATCTGGAAGTGGACATTTGGAGTGCTTTCAGGGCTAAGGTGAAAAAGGAAATATCTTCCCATAAAAACTGGACAGAAGCATTCTCAGAAACTTGTTTATGCTGTATCTACTCAACTAACAAAGTTGAACCTTTCTTTTGATAGAGCAGTTTTGAAATGCTCTTTTTGTGGAGTCTGCAAGTGGATATTTGGTTAGTTTTGAGGATTTCTTTGGAAGCGGGAATTCATACAAATTGCAGACTGCAGCGTTCTGAGAAACATCTTTGTGATGTTTGTATTCAGGACACAGAGTTGAACATTCCCTATCATAGAGGAGGTTGGAATCACTCCTTTTGTAGTATCTGGAAGTGGACATTTGGAGCGCTTTCAGGCCTATGTTGAAAAAGGAAATATCTTCCCATAACAAGTAGACACAAGCATTCTCAGAAACTTATTTGAGATGTGTGTACTCAACTAAGAGAATTGAACCACCGTTTTGAAGGAGCAGTTTTGAAACACTCTTTTTCTGGAATCTGCAAGTGGATATTTGGCTAGCTTTGGGGATTTCGCTGGAAGCGGGAATACATATAAAAAGCACACAGCAGCGTTCTGAGAAACTGCTTTCTGATGTTTGCATTCAAGTCAAAAGTTGAACACTCCCTTTCATAGAGCAGTCCTGAAACACTCCTTTTGTAGTATCTGGAACTGGACTTTTGGAGCGCTTTCAGGGCTAAGGTGAAAAAGGAAATATCTTCCCATAAAAACTGGACAGAAGCATTCTCAGAAACTTGCTTATGCTGTATCTACTCAACTAACAAAGTTGAACCTTTCTTTTGATAGAGCAGTTTTGAAATGCTCTTTTTGTGGAATCTGCAAGTGGATATTTGGCTAGTTTTGAGGATTTCGTTGGAAGCGGGAATTCATACAAATTGCAGACTGCAGCGTTCAGAGAAACATCTTTGTGATGTTTGTATTCAGGACAGAGAGTTGAACATTCCCTATCATAGAGCAGGTTGGAATCACTCCTTTTGTAGTATCTGGAAGTGGACATTTGGAGCACTTTCCGGCCTAAGGTGAAAAAGGAAATATCTTCCCATAAAAACTAGACAGAAGCATTCTCAGAAACTTACTCGTGATGTGTGTCCTCCACTAAATGAGTAGAACCTTTCTTTTCATAGAGAAGTTTTGAAACGCTCTTTTTGTAGAATCTGCAAGAGGATATTTGCATAGCTTTGAGGATTTCGTGGGAAACGGGATTGTCTTCAGGTAAAATCTAGACAGAAGCATTCGGAGAAACTTCTTTGGGATGTTTGCATTCAAGTCACAGAGTAGAACATTCCCTTTGGTAGAGCAGGTTTGAAACACTCTTTTTGTATTATCTGGAAGTGGACATTTGGAGCGCTTTCAGGCCTATGTTGGAAAGGGAAATATCTTCCCGTAACAACTAGGCAGAAGCATTCTCAGAAACTTATTTGAGATGTGTGTACTCAACTAAGAGAATTGAATCACCGTTTTGAAGGAGCAGTTTTGAAACACTCTTTTTCTGGAATCTGCAAGTGGATATTTGGCTAGCTTTGGGGATTTCGCTGGAAGCGGGAATACATATAAAAAGCACACAGCAGCGTTCTGAGAAACTGCTTTCTGATGTTTGCATTCAAGTCAAAAGTTGAACACTCCCTTTCATAGAGCAGTCCTGAAACACTCCTTTTGTAGTATCTGGAACTGGACTTTTGGAGCGCTTTCAGGGCTAAGGTGAAAAAGGAAATATCTTCCCATAAAAACTGGACAGAAGCATTCTCAGAAACTTGTTTATGCTGTATCTACTCTACTAACAAAGTTGAACCTTTCTTTTGATAGAGCAGTTTTGAAATGCTCTTTTTGTGGAATCTGCAAGTGGATATTTGGCTAGATTTGAGGATTTCGTTGGAAGCTGGAATTCATACAAATTGCAGACTGCAGCGTTCTGAGAAACATCTTTGTGATGTTTGTATTCAGGACACAGAGTTGAACATTCCCTATCATAGAGCAGGTTGGAATCACTCCTTTTGTAGTATCTGGAAGTGGACATTTGGAGCGCTTTCAGGCCTATTTTGGAAAGGGAAATATCTTCCCGTAACAACTATGCAGAAGCATTCTCAGAAACTTGTTTGTGATGTGTGCCCTCTACTGACAGAGTTGAACCTTTCTTTTCATAGAGCAGTTTTGAAACACTCTTTTTGTAGAATCTGCAAGAGGATATTTGCATAGCTTTGAGGATTTCGTGGGAAACGGGATTGTCTTCAGGTAAAATCTAGACAGAAGCATTCTCAGAAACTTCTTTGGGATCTTTGCATTCAAGTCACAGAGTAGAACATTCCCTTTGGTAGAGCAGGTTTGAAACACTCTTTTTGTAGTATCTGGAAGTGGACATTTGGAGCGCTTTCAGGCCCATGTTGGAAAGGGAAATATCTTCCCGTAACAACTAGGCAGAAGCATTCTCAGAAACTTATTTGAGATGTGTGTACTCAACTAAGAGAATTGAACCACCGTTTTGAAGGAGCAGTTTTGAAACACTCTTTTTCTGGAATCTGCAAGAGTATATTTGCCTAGCCTTGAGGATTTCGTTGGAAACGGGATTGTCTTCAGAGAAAATCTAGACAGAAGCATTCTCAGAAACTTCTTTGGGATGTTTGCATTCAAGTCACAGAGTAGAACATTCCCTTTGGTAGAGCAGGTTTGAAACACTCTTTTTTTAGTATCTGGAAGTGGACATTTGGAGCGCTTTCAGGCCTACGTTGGAAAAGGAAATATCTTCCCATAACAACTAGACAGAAGCATTCTCAGAAACTAGTTTCTGATGTGTGTCCTCAACTAACACAGTTGAACATTTCTTTAGACAGAACAGTTTTGAAACACTCTTTTTGTGGAATCTGCAAGTGGCTATTTGGCTAGATTTGAGGATTTCGTTGGAAACGGGATTACATATAAAAAGCAGTCAGCAGCATTCTCAGAAAGTTCTTTGTGATGATTGCATTCAAGTCACAGAATTGAACATTCCCTTTCACAGAGCAGGTTTGAAACACTCTTTTTGTAGTGTGTGTAAGTGGACATTTGGAGCACTTACCGGCCTAAGGTGAAAAAGGAAATATCTTCCCATAAAAACTAGACAGAAGCATTCTCAGAAACTTACTCGTGATGTGTGTCCTCAACTAAAGTAGTAGAACCTTTCTTTTCATAGAGAAGTTTTGAAACGCTCTTTTTGTGGAATCTGCAAGTGGATATTTGGCTAGTTTTGAGGATTTCGTTGGAAGCGGGAATTCATACAAATTGCAGACTGCAGCGTTCTGAGAAACATCTTTGTGATGTTTGTATTCAGGACACAGAGTTGAACATTCCCTATCATAGAGCAGGTTTGAATCACTCCTTTTGTAGTATCTGGAAGTGGTCATTTGGAGCGCTTTCAGGCCTATGTTGGAAAAGGAAATATCTTCCCATAACAACTAGACAGAAGCATTCTCAGAAACTTATTTGAGATGTGTGTACTCAACTAAGAGAATTGAACCACCGTTTTGAAGGAGCAGTTTTGAAACTCTCTTTTTCTGGAATCTGCAAGTGGATATTTGGCTAGCTTTGGGGATTTCGCTGGAAGCGGGAATACATATAAAAAGCACACAGCAGCGTTCTGAGAAACTGCTTTCTGATGTTTGCATTCAAGTCAAAAGTTGAACACTCCCTTTCATAGAGCAGTCTTGAAACACCCCTTTTGTAGTATCTGGAACTGGACTTTTGGAGCGATTTCAGGGCTAAGGTGAAAAAGGAAATATCTTCCCATAAAAACTGGACAGAAGCATTCTCAGAAACTTGGTTATGCTGTATCTACTCAACTAACAAAGTTGAACCTTTCTTTTGATAGAGCAGTTTTGAAATGGTCTTTTTGTGGAATCTGCAAGTGGATATTTGGCTAGTTTTGAGGATTTCGTTGGAAGCGGGAATTCATACAAATTGCAGACTGCAGCGTTCTGAGAAACATCTTTGTGATGTTTGTATTCAGGACAGAGAGTTGAACATTCCCTATCATAGAGCAGGTTGGAATCACTCCTTTTGTAGTATCTGGAAGTGGACATTTGGAGCGCTTTCAGGCCTATTTTGGAAAGGGAAATATCTTCCCGTAACAACTATGCAGAAGCATTCTCAGAAACTTGTTTGTGATGTGTGCCCTCTACTGACAGAGTTGAACCTTTCTTTTCATAGAGCAGTTTTGAAACACTCTTTTTGTAGAATCTGCAAGAGGATATTTGCATAGCTTTGAGGATTTCGTGGGAAACGGGATTGTCTTCAGGTAAAATCTAGACAGAAGCATTCTCAGAAACTTCTTTGGGATGTTTGCATTCAAGTCACAGAGTAGAACATTCCCTTTGGTAGAGCAGGTTTGAAACACTCTTTTTGTAGTATCTGGAAGTGGACATTTGGAGCGCTTTCAGGCCCATGTTGGAAAGGGAAATATCTTCCCGTAACAACTAGGCAGAAGCATTCTCAGAAACTTATTTGAGATGTGTGTACTCAACTAAGAGAATTGAACCACCGTTTTGAAGGAGCAAGTTTTGAAACACTCTTTTTCTGGAATCTGCAAGAGGATATTTGCCTAGCCTTGAGGATTTCGTTGGAAACGGGATTGTCTTCAGATCAAATCTAGACAGAAGCATTCTCAGAAACTTCTTTGGGATGTTTGCATTCAAGTCACAGAGTAGAACATTCCCTTTGGTAGAGCAGGTTTGAAACACTCTTTTTTTAGTATATGGAAGTGGACATTTGGAGCGCTTTCAGGCCTACGTTGGAAAAGGAAATATCTTCCCATAACAACTAGACAGAAGCATTCTCAGAAACTAGTTTGTGATGTGTGTCCTCAACTAACACAGTTGTACATTTCTTTAGACAGAACAGTTTTGAAACACTCTTTTTGTGGAATCTGCAAGTGGATATTGGGCTAGATTTGAGTATTTCGTTGGAAACGGGATTACATATAAAAAGCAGTCAGCAGCATTCTCAGAAAGTTCTTTGTGATGATTGCATTCAAGTCACAGAATTGAACATTCCCTTTCACAGAGCAGGTTTGAAACACTCTTTTTGTAGTGTGTGTAAGTGGACATTTGGAGCGCTTTCCGGCCTAAGGTGAAAAAGGACATATCTTCCCATAAAAACTAGACAGAAGCATTCTCAGAAACTTACTCGTGATGTGTGTCCTCAACTAAAGGAGTAGAACCTTTCTATTCATAGAGAAGTTTTGAAACGCTCTTTTTGTGGAATCTCCAAGTGGATATTTGGCTAGTGTTGAGGATTTCGTTGGAAGCGGGAATTCATACAAATTGCAGACTGCAGCGTTCTGAGAAACATCTTTGTGATGTTTGTATTCAGGACACAGAGATGAACATTCCCTATCATAGAGCAGGTTGGAATCACTCCTTTTGTAGTATCTGGAAGTGGACATTTGGAGCGCTTTCAGGCCTATGTTGAAAAAGGAAATATCTTCCCATAACAACTAGACACAAGCATTCTCAGAAACTTGTTTGTGATGTGTGCCCTCTACTGACAGAGTTGAACCTTTCTTTTCATAGAGCAGTTTTGAAACACTCTTTTTGTAGAATCCGCAAGAGGATATTTGCATAGCTTTGAGGATTTCGTGGGAAACGGGATTGTCTTCAGGTAAAATGTAGACAGAAGCATTCTCAGAAACTTCTTTGGGATGTTTGCATTCAAGTCACAGAGTAGAACATTCCGTTTGGTAGAGCAGGTTTGAAACACTCTTTTTGTAGTATCTGGAAGTGGACATTTGGAGCGCTTTCAGGCCTATGTTGGAAAGGGAAATATCTTCCCTTAACAACTAGGCAGAAGCATTCTCAGAAACTTATTTGAGATGTGTGTACTCAACTAAGAGAATTGAACCACCCTTTTGAAGGAGCAGTTTTGAAACACTCTTTTTCTGGAATCTGCAAGAGTATATTTGCCTAGCTTTGAGGATTTCGTTGGAAACGGGATTGTCTTCAGATCAAATCTAGACAGAAGCATTCTCAGAAACTTCTTTGGGATGTTTGTATTCAAGTCACAGAGTAGAACATTCCCTTTGGTAGAGCAGGTTTGAAACACTCCTTTTTTAGTATATGGAAATGGACATTTGGAGCGCTTTCAGGCCTACGTTGGAAAAGGAAATATCTTCCCATAACAACTAGACAGAAGCATTCTCAGAAACTAGTTTCTGATGTGTGTCCTCAACTAACACAGTTGAACTTTTCTTTAGACAGAACAGTTTTGAAACACTCTTTTTGTGGAATCTGCAAGTGGATATTTGGCTAGATTTGAGGATTTCGTTGGAAACGGGATTACATATAAAAAGCAGACAGCAGCATTCTCAGAAAGTTCTTTGTGATGATTGCATTCAAGTCACAGAATTGAACATTCCCTTTCACAGAGCAGGTTTGAAACACTCTTTTTGTAGTGTGTGTAAGTGGACATTTGGAGCGCTTTCCGGCCTAAGGTGAAAAAGGAAATATCTTCCCATAAAAACTAGACAGAAGCATTCTCAGAAACTTACTCGTGATGTGTGCCCTCAACTAAAGGAGTAGAACCTTTCTATTCATAGAGAAGTTTTGAAACGCTCTTTTTGTGGAATCTCCAAGTGGATATTTGGGTAGTTTTGAGGATTCCGTTGGAAGCGGGAATTCATACAAATTGCAGACTGCAGCGTTATGAGAAACATCTTTGTGATGTTTGTATTCAGGACACAGAGATGAACATTCCCTATCATAGAGCAGGTTGGAATCACTCCTTTTGTAGTATCTGGAAGTGGACATTTGGAGCGCTTTCAGGCCTATGTTGAAAAAGGAAATATCTTCCCATAACAACTAGACACAAGCATTCTCAGAAACTTGTTTGTGATGTGTGACCTCTACTGACAGAGTTGAACCTTTCTTTTCATAGAGCAGTTTTGAAACACTCTTTTTGTAGAATCTGCAAGAGGATATTTGCATAGCTTTGAGGATTTCGTGGGAAACGGGATTGTCTTCAGGTAAAATCTAGACAGAAGCATTCTCAGAAACTTCTTTGGGATGTTTGCATTCAAGTCACAGAGTAGAACATTCCCTTTGGTAGAGCAGGTTTGAAACACTCTTTTTGTAGTATCTGGAAGTGGACATTTGGAGCGCTTTCAGGCCTATGTTGGAAAGGGAAATATCTTCCCGTAACAACTAGGCAGAAGCATTCTCAGAAACTTATTTGAGATGTGTGTACTCAACTAAGAGAATTGAACCACCGTTTTGAAGGAGCAGTTTTGAAACACTCTTTTTCTGGAATCTGCAAGAGTATATTTGCCTAGCCTTGAGGATTTCGTTGGAAACGGGATTGTATTCAGATAAAATCTAGACAGAAGCATTCTCAGAAACTTCTTTGGGATGTTTGCATTCAAGTCACAGAGTAGAACATTCCCTTTGGTAGAGCAGGTTTGAAACACTCTTTTTTTAGTATATGGAAGTGGAGATTTTGATCGCTTTCAGGCCTACGTTGGAAAAGGAAATATCTTCCCATAACAACTAGACAGAAGCATTCTCAGAAACTAGTTTCTGATGTGTGTCCTCAACTAACACAGTTGAACATTTCTTTAGACAGAACAGTTTTGAAACACTCTTTTTGTGGAATCTGCAAGTGGATATTTGGCTAGATTTGAGGATTTCGTTGGAAACGGGATTACATATAAAAAGCAGACAGCAGCATTCTCAGAAACTTCTTTGTGATGATTGCATTCAAGTCACAGAATTGAACATTCCCTTTCACAGAGCAGGTTTGAAACACTCTTTTTGTAGTGTGTGTAAGTGGACATTTGGAGCACTTTCCGGCCTAAGGTGAACAAGGAAATATCTTCCCATAAAAACTAGACAGAAGCATTCTCAGAAACTTACTCGTGATGTGTGTCCTCAACTAAAGGAGTAGAACCTTTCTTTTCATAGAGAAGTTTTGAAACGCTCTTTTTGTGGAATCTGCAAGTGGATATTTGGCTAGTTTTGAGGATTTCGTTGGAAGCGGGAATTCATACAAATTGCAGACTGCAGCGTTCTGAGAAACATCTTTGTGATGTTTGTATTCAGGAAACAGAGTTGAACATTCCCTATCATAGAGCAGGTTGGAATCACTCCTTTTGTGGTATCTGGAAGTGGACATTTGGAGCGCTTTCAGGCCTATGTTGGAAAAGGAAATATCTTCCCATAACAACTAGACAGAAGCATTCTCAGAAACTTATTTGAGATGTGTGTACTCAACTAAGAGAATTGAACCACCGTTTTGAAGGAGCAGTTTTGAAACACTCTTTTTCTGGAATCTGCAAGTGGATATTTGGCTAGCTTTGGGGATTTCGCTGGAAGCGGGAATACATATAAAAAGCACACAGCAGCGTTCTGAGAAACTGCTTTCTGATGTTTGCATTCAAGTCAAAAGTTGAACACTCCCTTTCATAGAGCAGTCCTGAAACACTCCTTTTGTAGTATCTGGAACTGGACTTTTGGAGCGCTTTCAGGGCTAAGGTGAAAAAGGAAATATCTTCCCATAAAAACTGGACAGAAGCATTCTCAGAAACTTGTTTATGCTGTATCTACTCAACTAACAAAGTTGAACCTTTCTTTTGATAGAGCAGTTTTGAAATGCTCTTTTTGTGGAATCTGCAAGTGGATATTTGGCTAGTTTTGAGGATTTCGTTGGAAGCGGGAATTCATACAAATTGCAGACTGCAGCGTTCTGAGAAACATCTTTGTGATGTTTGTATTCAGGACAGAGAGTTGAACATTCCCTATCATAGAGCAGGTTGGAATCACTCCTTTTGTAGTATCTGGAAGTGGACATTTGGAGCGCTTTCAGGCCTATGTTGAAAAAGGAAATATCTTCCCATAACAACTAGACACAAGCATTCTCAGAAACTTGTTTGTGATGTGTGCCCTCTACTGACAGAGTTGAACCTTTCTTTTCATAGAGCAGTTTTGAAACACTCTTTTTGTAGAATCTGCAAGAGGATATTTGCATAGTTTTGAGGATTTCGTGAGAAACGGGATTGTCTTCAGGTAAAATCTAGACAGAAGCATTCTCAGAAACTTCTTTGGGTATGTTTGCATTCAAGTCACAGAGTAGAACATTCCCTTTGGTAGAGCAGGTTTGAAACCCTCTTTTTGTAGTATCTGGAAGTGGACATTTGGAGCGCTTTCAGGCCCATGTTGGAAAGGGAAATATCTTCCCGTAACAACTAGGCAGAAGCATTCTCAGAAACTTATTTGAGATGTGTGTACTCAACTAAGAGAATTGAACCACCGTTTTGAAGGAGCAGTTTTGAAACACTCTTTTTCTGGAATCTGCAAGAGTATATTTGCCTAGCCTTGAGGATTTCGTTGGAAACGGGATTGTCTTCAGATCAAATCTAGACAGAAGCATTCTCAGAAACTTCTTTGGGATGTTTGCATTCAAGTCACAGAGTAGAACATTCCCTTTGGTAGAGCAGGTTTGAAACACTCTTTTTGTAGTATCTGGAAGTGGACATTTGGAGCGCTTTCAGGCCCATGTTGGAAAGGGAAATATCTTCCCGTAACAACTAGGCAGAAGCATTCTCAGAAACTTATTTGAGATGTGTGTACTCAACTAAGAGAATTGAACCACCGTTTTGAAGGAGCAGTTTTGAAACACTCTTTTTCTGGAATCTGCAAGAGTATATTTGCCTAGCCTTGAGGATTTCGTTGGAAACGGGATTGTCTTCAGATCAAATCTAGACAGAAGCATTCTCAGAAACTTCTTTGGGATGTTTGCATTCAAGTCACAGAGTAGAACATTCCCTTTGGTAGAGCAGGTTTGAAACACTCTTTTTTTAGTATATGGAAGTGGACATTTGGAGCGCTTTCAGGCCTACGTTGGAAAAGGAAATATCTTCCCATAACAACTAGACAGAAGCATTCTCAGAAACTAGTTTCTGATGTGTGTCCTCAACTAACACAGTTGAACATTTCTTTAGACAGAACAGTTTTGAAACTCTCTTTTTGTGGAATCTGCAAGTGGCTATTTGGCTAGATTTGAGGATTTCGTTGGAAACGGGATTACATATAAAAAGCAGACAGCAGCATTCTCAGAAAGTTCTTTGTGATGATTGCATTCAAGTCACAGAATTGAACATTCCCTTTCACAGAGCAGGTTTGAAACACTCTTTTTATAGTGTGTGTAAGTGGACATTTGGAGCACTTTCCGGCCTAAGGTGAAAAAGGAAATATCTTCCCATAAAAACTAGACAGAAGCATTCTCAGAAACTTACTCGTGATGTGTGTCCTCAACTAAAGGAGTAGAACCTTTGTTTTCATAGAGAAGTTTTGAAACGCTCTTTTTGTGGAATCTGCAAGTGGATATTTGTCTAGTTTTGAGGATTTCGTTGGAAGCGGGAATTCATACAAATTGCAGACTGCAGCGTTCTGAGAAACATCTTTGTGATGTTTGTATTCAGGACACAGAGTTGAACATTCCCTATCATAGAGCAGGTTTGAATCACTCCTTTTGTAGTATCTGGAAGTGGACATTTGGAGCGCTTTCAGGCCTATGTTGGAAAAGGAAATATCTTCCCATAACAACTAGACAGAAGCATTCTCAGAAACTTATTTGAGATGTGTGTACTCAACTAAGAGAATTGAACCACCGTTTTGAAGGAGCAGTTTTGAAACACTCTTTTTCTGGAATCTGCAAGTGGATATTTGGCTAGCTTTGGGGATTTCGCTGGAGGCGGGAATACATATAAAAAGCACACAGCAGCGTTCTGAGAAACTGCTTTCTGATGTTTGCATTCAAGTCAAAAGTTGAACACTCCCTTTCATAGAGCAGTCCTGAAACACTCCTTTTGTAGTATCTGGAACTGGACTTTTGGAGCGCTTTCAGGGCTAAGGTGAAAAAGGAAATATCTTCCCATAAAAACTGGACAGAATCATTCTCAGAAACTTGTTTATGCTGTATCTACTCAACTAACAAAGTTGAACCTTTCTTTTGATAGAGCAGTTTTGAAATGCTCTTTTTGTGGAATCTGCAAGTGGATATTTGGCTAGTTTTGAGGATTTCGTTGGAAGCGGGAATTCATACAAATTGCAGACTGCAGCGTTCTGAGAAACATCTTTGTGATGTTTGTATTCAGGACAGAGAGTTGAACATTCCCTATCATAGAGCAGGTTGCAATCACTCCTTTTGTAGTATCTGGAAGTGGACATTTGGAGCGCTTTCAGGCCTATGTTGAAAAAGGAAATATCTTCCCATAACAACTAGACACAAGCATTCTCAGAAACTTGTTTGTGATGTTGTGCCCTCTACTGACAGAGTTGAACCTTTCTTTTCATAGAGCAGTTTTGAAACACACTTTTTGTAGAATCTGCAAGAGGATATTTGCATAGCTTTGAGGATTTCGTGGGAAACGGGATTGTCTTCAGGTAAAATCTAGACAGAAGCATTCTCAGAAACTTCTTTGGGATGTTTGCATTCAAGTCACAGAGTAGAACATTCCCTTTGGTAGAGCAGGTTTGAAACACTCTTTTTGTAGTATCTGGAAGTGGACATTTGGAGCGCTTTCAGGCCCATGTTGGAAAGGGAAATATCTTCCCGTAACAACTAGGCAGAAGCATTCTCAGAAACTTATTTGAGATGTGTGTACTCAACTAAGAGAATTGAACCACCGTTTTGAAGGAGCAGTTTTGAAACACTCTTTTTCTGGAATCTGCAAGAGTATATTTGCCTAGCCTTGAGGATTTCGTTGGAAACGGGATTGTCTTCAGAGAAAATCTAGACAGAAGCATTCTCAGAAACTTCTTTGGGATGCTTGCATTCAAGTCACAGAGTAGAACATTCCCTTTGGTAGAGCAGGTTTGAAACACTCTTTTTGTAGTATCTGGAAGTGGACATTTGGAGCACTTTCAGGCCTACGTTGGAAAAGGAAATATCTTCCCATAACAACTAGACAGAAGCATTCTCAGAAACTAGTTTCTGATGTGTGTCCTCAACTAACACAGTTGAACATTTCTTTAGACAGAACAGTTTTGAAACACTCTTTTTGTGGAATCTGCAAGTGGCTATTTGGCTAGATTTGAGGATTTCGTTGGAAACGGGATTACATATAAAAAGCAGTCAGCAGCATTCTCAGAAAGTTCTTTGTGATGATTGCATTCAAGTCACAGAATTGAACATTCCCTTTCACAGAGCAGGTTTGAAACACTCTTTTTGTAGTGTGTGTAAGTGGACATTTGGAGCACTTTACCGGCCTAAGGTGAAAAAGGAAATATCTTCCCATAAAAACTAGACAGAAGCATTCTCAGAAACTTACTCGTGATGTGTGTCCTCAACTAAAGGAGTAGAACCTTTCTTTTCATAGAGAAGTTTTGAAACGCTCTTTTTGTGGAATCTGCAAGTGGATATTTGGCTAGTTTTGAGGATTTCGTTGGAAGCGGGAATTCATACAAATTGCAGACTGCAGCGTTCTGAGAAACATCTTTGTGATGTTTGTATTCAGGACACAGAGTTGAACATTCCCTATCGTAGAGCAGGTTTGAATCACTCCTTTTGTAGTATCTGGAAGTGGACATTTGGAGCGCTTTCAGGCCTATGTTGGAAAAGGAAATATCTTCCCATAACAACTAGACAGAAGCATTCTCAGAAACTTATTTGAGATGTGTGTACTCAACTAAGAGAATTGAACCACCGTTTTGAAGGAGCAGTTTTGAAACACTCTTTTTCTGGAATCTGCAAGTGGATATTTGGCTAGCTTTGGGGATTTCGCTGGAAGCGGGAATACATATAAAAAGCACACAGCAGCGTTCTGAGAAACTGCTTTCTGATGTTTGCATTCAAGTCAAAAGTTGAACACTCCCTTTCATAGAGCAGTCCTGAAACACTCCTTTTGTAGTATCTGGAACTGGACTTTTGGAGCGCTTTCAGGGCTAAGGTGAAAAAGGAAATATCTTCCCATAAAAACTGGACAGAAGCATTCTCAGAAACTTGTTTATGCTGTATCTACTCAACTAACAAAGTTGAACCTTTCTTTTGATAGAGCAGTTTTGAAATGCTCTTTTTGTGGAATCTGCAAGTGGATATTTGGCTAGTTTTGAGGATTTCGTTGGAAGCGGGAATTCATACAAATTGCAGACTGCAGCGTTCTGAGAAACATCTTTGTGATGTTTGTATTCAGGACACAGAGTTGAACATTCCCTATCATAGAGCAGGTTTGAATCACTCCTTTTGTAGTATCTGGAAGTGGACATTTGGAGCGCTTTCAGGCCTATGTTGGAAAAGGAAATATCTTCCCATAACAACTAGACAGAAGCATTCTCAGAAACTTATTTGAGATGTGTGTACTCAACTAAGAGAATTGAACCACCGTTTTGAAGGAGCAGTTTTGAAACTCTCTTTTTCTGGAATCTGCAAGTGGATATTTGGCTAGCTTTGGGGATTTCGCTGGAAGCGGGAATACATATAAAAAGCACACAGCAGCGTTCTGAGAAACTGCTTTCTGATGTTTGCATTCAAGTCAAAAGTTGAACACTCCCTTTCATAGAGCAGTCCTGAAACACCCCTTTTGTAGTATCTGGAACTGGACTTTTGGAGCGATTTCAGGGCTAAGGTGAAAAAGGAAATATCTTCCCATAAAAACTGGACAGAAGCATTCTCAGAAACTTGTTTATGCTGTATCTACTCAACTAACAAAGTTGAACCTTTCTTTTGATAGAGCAGTTTTGAAATGGTCTTTTTGTGGAATCTGCAAGTGGATATTTGGCTAGTTTTGAGGATTTCGTTGGAAGCGGGAATTCATACAAATTGCAGACTGCAGCGTTCTGAGAAACATCTTTGTGATGTTTGTATTCAGGACACAGAGTTGAACATTCCCTATCATAGAGCAGGTTGGAATCACTCCTTTTGTAGTATCTGGAAGTGGACATTTGGAGCGCTTTCAGGCCTATTTTGGAAAGGGAAATATCTTCCCGTAACAACTATGCAGAAGCATTCTCAGAAACTTGTTTGTGATGTGTGCCCTCTACTGACAGAGTTGAACCTTTCTTTTCATAGAGCAGTTTTGAAACACTCTTTTTGTAGAATCTGCAAGAGGATATTTGCATAGCTTTGAGGATTTCGTGGGAAACGGGATTGTCTTCAGGTAAAATCTAGACAGAAGCATTCTCAGAAACTTCTTTGGGATGTTTGCATTCAAGTCACAGAGTAGAACATTCCCTTTGGTAGAGCAGGTTTGAAACACTCTTTTTGTAGTATCTGGAAGTGGACATTTGGAGCGCTTTCAGGCCTATGTTGGAAAGGGAAATATCTTCCCGTAACAACTAGGCAGAAGCATTCTCAGAAAGTTATTTGAGATGTGTGTACTCAACTAAGAGAATTGAACCACCGTTTTGAAGGAGCAGTTTTGAAACACTCTTTTTCTGGAATCTGCAAGAGGATATTTGCCTAGCCTTGAGGATTTCGTTGGAAACGGGATTGTCTTCAGATCAAATCTAGACAGAAGCATTCTCAGAAACTTCTTTGGGATGTTTGCATTCAAGTCACAGAGTAGAACATTCCCTTTGGTAGAGCAGGTTTGAAACACTCTTTTTTTAGTATATGGAAGTGGACATTTGGAGCGCTTTCAGGCCTACGTTGGAAAAGGAAATATCTTCCCATAACAACTAGACAGAAGCATTCTCAGAAACTAGTTTCTGATGTGTGTCCTCAACTAACACAGTTGAACATTTCTTTAGACAGAACAGTTTTGAAACACTCTTTTTGTGGAATCTGCAAGTGGCTATTTGGCTAGATTTGAGGATTTCGTTGGAAACGGGATTACATATAAAAAGCAGACAGCAGCATTCTCAGAAAGTTCTTTGTGATGATTGCATTCAAGTCACAGAATTGAACATTCCCTTTCACAGAGCAGGTTTGAAACACTCTTTTTGTAGTGTGTGTAAGTGGACATTTGGAGCGCTTTCCGGCCTAAGGTGAAAAAGGAAATATCTTCCCATAAAAACTAGACAGAAGCATTCTCAGAAACTTACTCGTGATGTGTGTCCTCAACTAAAGGAGTAGAACCTTTCTATTCATAGAGAAGGTTTGAAACGCTCTTTTTGTGGAATCTCCAAGTGGATATTTGGCTAGTTTTGAGGATTTCGTTGGAAGCGGGAATTCATACAAATTGCAGACTGCAGCGTTCTGAGAAACATCTTTGTGATGTTTGTATTCAGGACACAGAGATGAACATTCCCTATCATAGAGCAGGTTGGAATCACTCCTTTTGTAGTATCTGGAAGTGGACATTTGGAGCGCTTTCAGGCCTATGTTGAAAAAGGAAATATCTTCCCATAACAACTAGACACAAGCATTCTCAGAAACTTGTTTGTGATGTGTGTACTCAACTAAGAGAATTGAACCACCGTTTTGAAGGAGCAGTTTTGAAACACTCTTTTTCTGGAATCTGCAAGTGGATATTTGGTTAGATTTGAGGATTTCGTTGGAAACGGGATTACATATAAAAAGCAGACAGCAGCAGTCTCAGAAAGTTCTTTGTGATGATTGCATTCAAGTCACAGAATTGAACATTCCCTTTCACAGAGCAGGTTTGAAACACTCTTTTTGTAGTGTGTGTAAGTGGACATTTGGAGCGCTTTCCGGCCTAAGGTGAAAAAGGAAATATCTTCCCATAAAAACTTGACAGAACCATTCTCAGAAACTTACTCGTGATGTGTGTCCTCAACTAAAGGAGTAGAACCTTTCTATTCATAGAGAAGTTTTGAAACGCTCTTTTTGTGGAATCTCCAAGTGGATATTTGGCTAGTTTTCAGGATTTCGTTGGAAGCGGGAATTCATACAAATTGCAGACTGCAGCGTTCTGAGAAACATCTTTGTGATGTTTGTATTCAGGACACAGAGAGGAACATTTCCTATCATAGAGCAGGTTCGAATCACTCCTTTTGTAGTATCTGGAAGTGGACATTTGGAGCGCTTTCAGGCCTATGTTGAAAAAGGAAATATCTTCCCATAACAACTAGACACAAGCATTCTCAGAAACTTATTTGAGATGTGTGTACTCAACTAAGAGAATTGAACCACCGTTTTGAAGGAGCAGTTTTGAAACTCTCTTTTTCTGGAATCTGCAAGTGGATATTTGGCTAGCTTTGGGGATTTCGCTGGAAGCGGGAATACATATAAAAAGCACACAGCAGCGTTCTGAGAAACTGCTTTCTGATGTTTGCATTCAAGTCAAAAGTTGAACACTCCCTTTCATAGAGCAGTCTTGAAACACCCCTTTTGTAGTATCTGGAACTGGACTTTTGGAGCGATTTCAGGGCTAAGGTGAAAAAGGAAATATCTTCCCATAAAAACTGGACAGAAGCATTCTCAGAAACTTGGTTATGCTGTATCTACTCAACTAACAAAGTTGAACCTTTCTTTTGATAGAGCAGTTTTGAAATGGTCTTTTTGTGGAATCTGCAAGTGGATATTTGGCTAGTTTTGAGGATTTCGTTGGAAGCGGGAATTCATACAAATTGCAGACTGCAGCGTTCTGAGAAACATCTTTGTGATGTTTGTATTCAGGACACAGAGTTGAACATTCCCTATCATAGAGCAGGTTGGAATCACTCCTTTTGTAGTATCTGGAAGTGGACATTTGGAGCGCTTTCAGGCCTATTTTGGAAAGGGAAATATCTTCCCGTAACAACTATGCAGAAGCATTCTCAGAAACTTGTTTGTGATGTGTGCCCTCTACTGACAGAGTTGAACCTTTCTTTTCATAGAGCAGTTTTGAAACACTCTTTTTGTAGAATCTGCAAGAGGATATTTGCATAGCTTTGAGGATTTCGTGGGAAACGGGATTGTCTTCAGGTAAAATCTAGACAGAAGCATTCTCAGAAACTTCTTTGGGATGTTTGCATTCAAGTCACAGAGTAGAACATTCCCTTTGGTAGAGCAGGTTTGAAACACTCTTTTTGTAGTATCTGGAAGTGGACATTTGGAGCGCTTTCAGGCCTATGTTGGAAAGGGAAATATCTTCCCGTAACAACTAGGCAGAAGCATTCTCAGAAACTTATTTGAGATGTGTGTACTCAACTAAGAGAATTGAACAACCTTTTTGAAGGAGCAGTTTTGAAACACTCTTTTTCTTTAATCTGCAAGAGGATATTTGCCTAGCCTTGAGGATTTCGTTGGAAACCGGATTGTCTTCAGATCAAATCTAGACAGAAGCATTCTCAGAAACTTCTTTGGGATGTTTCCATTCAAGTCACAGAGTAGAACATTCCCTTTGGTAGAGCAGGTTTGAAACACTCTTTTTTTAGTATATGGAAGTGGACATTTGGAGCGCTTTCAGGCCTACGTTGGAAAAGGAAATATCTTCCCATAACAACTAGACAGAAGCATTCTCAGAAACTAGTTTCTGATGTGTGTCCTCAACTAACACAGTTGAACATTTCTTTAGACAGAACAGTTTTGAAACACTCTTTTTGTGGAATCTGCAAGTGGCTATTTGGCTAGATTTGAGGATTTCGTTGGAAACGGGATTACATATAAAAAGCAGACAGCAGCATTCTCAGAAAGTTCTTTGTGATGATTGCATTCAAGTCACAGAATTGAACATTCCCTTTCACAGAGCAGGTTTGAAACACTCTTTTTGTAGTGTGTGTAAGTGGACATTTGGAGCTCTTTCCGGCCTAAGGTGAAAAAGGAAATATCTTCCCATAAAAACTAGACAGAAGCATTCTCAGAAACTTACTCGTGATGTGTGTCCTCAACTAAAGGAGTAGAACCTTTCTTTTCATAGAGAAGTTTTGAAACGCTCTTTTTGTGGAATCTGCAAGTGGATATTTGGCTAGTTTTGAGGATTTCGTTGGAAGCGGGAATTCATACAAATTGCAGACTGCAGCGTTCTGAGAAACATCTTTGTGATGTTTGTATTCAGGACACAGAGTTGAACATTCCCTATCATAGAGCAGGTTTGAATCACTCCTTTTGTAGTATCTGGAAGTGGACATTTGGAGCGCTTTCAGGCCTATGTTGGAAAAGGAAATATCTTCCCATAACAACTAGACAGAAGCATTCTCAGAAACTTATTTGAGATGTGTGTACTCAACTAAGAGAATTGAACCACCGTTTTGAAGGAGCAGTTTTGAAACTCTCTTTTTCTGGAATCTGCAAGTGGATATTTGGCTAGCTTTGGGGATTTCGCTGGAAGCGGGAATACATATAAAAAGCACACAGCAGCGTTCTGAGAAACTGCTTTCTGATGTTTGCATTCAAGTCAAAAGTTGAACACTCCCTTTCATAGAGCAGTCCTGAAACACCCCTTTTGTAGTATCTGGAACTGGACTTTTGGAGCGATTTCAGGGCTAAGGTGAAAAAGGAAATATCTTCCCATAAAAACTGGACAGAAGCATTCTCAGAAACTTGTTTATGCTGTATCTACTCAACTAACAAAGTTGAACCTTTCTTTTGATAGAGCAGTTTTGAAATGGTCTTTTTGTGGAATCTGCAAGTGGATATTTGGCTAGTTTTGAGGATTTCGTTGGAAGCGGGAATTCATACAAATTGCAGACTGCAGCGTTCTGAGAAACATCTTTGTGATGTTTGTATTCAGGACACAGAGTTGAACATTCCCTATCATAGAGCAGGTTGGAATCACTCCTTTTGTAGTATCTGGAAGTGGACATTTGGAGCGCTTTCAGGCCTATTTTGGAAAGGGAAATATCTTCCCGTAACAACTATGCAGAAGCATTCTCAGAAACTTGTTTGTGATGTGTGCCCTCTACTGACAGAGTTGAACCTTTCTTTTCATAGAGCACTTTTGAAACACTCTTTTTGTAGAATCTGCAAGAGGATATTTGCATAGCTTTGAGGATTTCGTGGGAAACGGGATTGTCTTCAGGTAAAATCTAGACAGAAGCATTCTCAGAAACTTCTTTGGGATGTTTGCATTCAAGTCACAGAGTAGAACATTCCCTTTGGTAGAGCAGGTTTGAAACACTCTTTTTGTAGTATCTGGAAGTGGACATTTGGAGCGCTTTCAGGCCTATGTTGGAAAGGGAAATATCTTCCCGTAACAACTAGGCAGAAGCATTCTCAGAAACTTATTTGAGATGTGTGTACTCAACTAAGAGAATTGAACCACCGTTTTGAAGGAGCAGTTTTGAAACACTCTTTTTCTGGAATCTGCAAGAGGATATTTGCCTAGCCTTGAGGATTTCGTTGGAAACGGGATTGTCTTCAGATCAAATCTAGACAGAAGCATTCTCAGAAACTTCTTTGGGATGTTTGCATTCAAGTCACAGAGTAGAACATTCCCTTTGGTAGAGCAGGTTTGAAACACTCTTTTTTTAGTATATGGAAGTGGACATTTGGAGCGCTTTCAGGCCTACGTTGGAAAAGGAAATATCTTCCCATAACAACTAGACAGAAGCATTCTCAGAAACTAGTTTCTGATGTGTGTCCTCAACTAACACAGTTGCACATTTCTTTAGACAGAACAGTTTTGAAACACTCTTTTTGTGGAATCTGCAAGTGGCTATTTGGCTAGATTTGAGGATTTCGTTGGAAAGGGGATTACATATAAAAAGCAGACAGCAGCATTCTCAGAAAGTTCTTTGTGATGATTGCATTCAAGTCACAGAATTGAACATTCCCTTTCACAGAGCAGGTTTGAAACACTCTTTTTGTAGTGTGTGTAAGTGGACATTTGGAGCGCTTTCCGGCCTAAGGTGAAAAAGGAAATATCTTCCCATAAAAACTAGACAGAAGCATTCTCAGAAACTTACTCGTGATGTGTGTCCTCAACTAAAGGAGTAGAACCTTTCTATTCATAGAGAAGTTTTGAAACGCTCTTTTTGTGGAATCTCCAAGTGGATATTTGGCTAGTGTTGAGGATTTCGTTGGAAGCGGGAATTCATACAAATTGCAGACTGCAGCGTTCTGAGAAACATCTTTGTGATGTTTGTATTCAGGACAGAGAGTTGAACATTCCCTATCATAGAGCAGGTTGGAATCACTCCTTTTGTAGTATCTGGAAGTGGACATTTGGAGCGCTTTCAGGCCTATGTTGAAAAAGGAAATATCTTCCCATAACAACTAGACACAAGCATTCTCAGAAACTTGTTTGTGATGTGTGCCCTCTACTGACAGAGTTGAACCTTTCTTTTCATAGAGCAGTTTTGAAACACTCTTTTTGTAGAATCTGCAAGAGGATATTTGCATAGCTTTGAGGATTTCGTGGGAAACGGGATTGTCTTCAGGTAAAATCTAGACAGAAGCATTCTCAGAAACTTCTTTGGGATGTTTGCATTCAAGTCACAGAGTAGAACATTCCCTTTGGTAGAGCAGGTTTGAAACCCTCTTTTTGTAGTATCTGGAAGTGGACATTTGGAGCGCTTTCAGGCCCATGTTGGAAAGGGAAATATCTTCCCGTAACAACTAGGCAGAAGCATTCTCGGAAACTTATTTGAGATGTGTGTACTCAACTAAGAGAATTGAACCACCCTTTTGAAGGAGCAGTTTTGAAACACTCTTTTTCTGGAATCTGCAAGAGTATATTTGCCTAGCTTTGAGGATTTCCGTTGGAAACGGGATTGTCTTCAGATCAAATCTAGACAGAAGCATTCTCAGAAACTTCTTTGGGATGTTTGCATTCAAGTCACAGAGTAGAACATTCCCTTTGGTAGAGCAGGTGTGAAACACTCTTTTTTTAGTATATGGAAGTGGACATTTGGAGCGCTTTCAGGCCTACGTTGGAAAACGAAATATCTTCCCATAACAACTAGACAGAAGCATTCTCAGAAACTAGTTTCTGATGTGTGTCCTCAACTAACACAGTTGAACATTTCTTTAGACAGAACAGTTTTGAAACTCTCTTTTTGTGGAATCTGCAAGTGGCTATTTGGCTAGATTTGAGGATTTCGTTGGAAACGGGATTACATATAAAAAGCAGACAGCAGCATTCTCAGAAAGTTCTTTGTGATGATTGCATTCAAGTCACAGAATTGAACATTCCCTTTCACAGAGCAGGTTTGAAACACTCTTTTTGTAGTGTGTGTAAGTGGACATTTGGAGCACTTTCCGGCCTAAGGTGAAAAAGGAAATATCTTCCCATACAAACTAGACAGAAGCATTCTCAGAAACTTACTCGTGATGTGTGTCCTCAACTAAAGGAGTAGAACCTTTCTTTTCATAGAGAAGTTTTGAAACGCTCTTTTTGTGGAATCTGCAAGTGGATATTTGGCTAGTTTTGAGGATTTCGTTGGAAGCGGGAATTCATACAAATTGCAGACTGCAGCGTTCTGAGAAACATCTTTGTGATGTTTGTATTCAGGACACAGAGTTGAACATTCCCTATCATAGAGCAGGTTTGAATCACTCCTTTTGTAGTATCTGGAAGTGGACATTTGGAGCGCTTTCAGGCCTATGTTGGAAAAGGAAATATCTTCCCATAACAACTAGACAGAAGCATTCTCAGAAACTTATTTGAGATGTGTGTACTCAACTAAGAGAATTGAACCACCGTTTTGAAGGAGCAGTTTTGAAACACTCTTTTTCTGGAATCTGCAAGTGGATATTTGGCTAGCTTTGGGGATTTCGCTGGAAGCGGGAATACATATAAAAAGCACACAGCAGCGTTCTGAGAAACTGCTTTCTGATGTTTGCATTCAAGTCAAAAGTTGAACACTCCCTTTCATAGAGCAGTCCTGAAACACTCCTTTTGTAGTATCTGGAACTGGACTTTTGGAGCGCTTTCAGGGCTAAGGTGAAAAAGGAAATATCTTCCCATAAAAACTGGACAGAAGCATTCTCAGAAACTTGTTTATGCTGTATCTACTCAACTAACAAAGTTGAACCTTTCTTTTGATAGAGCAGTTTTGAAATGCTCTTTTTGTGGAATCTGCAAGTGGATATTTGGCTAGTTTTGAGGATTTCGGTTGGAAGCGGGAATTCATACAAATTGCAGACTGCAGCGTTCTGAGAAACATCTTTGTGATGTTTGTATTCAGGACACAGAGTTGAACATTCCCTATCATAGAGCAGGTTGGAATCACTCCTTTTGTAGTATCTGGAAGTGGACATTTGGAGCGCTTTCAGGCCTATTTTGGAAAGGGAAATATCTTCCCGTAACAACTATGCAGAAGCATTCTCAGAAACTTATTTGAGATGTGTGTACTCAACTAAGAGAATTGAACCACCGTTTTGAAGGAGCAGTTTTGAAACACTCTTTTTCTGGAATCTGCAAGTGGATATTTGGCTAGCTTTGGGGATTTCGCTGGAAGCGGGAATACATATAAAAAGCACACAGCAGCGTTCTGAGAAACTGCTTTCTGATGTTTGCATTCAAGTCAAAAGTTGAACACTCCCTTTCATAGTGCAGTCTGAAACACTCCTTTTGTAGTATCTGGAACTGGACTTTTGGAGCGCTTTCAGGGCTAAGGTGAAAAAGGAAATATCTTCCCATAAAAACTGGACAGAAGCATTCTCAGAAACTTATTTATGCTGTATCTACTCAACTAACAAAGTTGAACCTTTCTTTTGATAGAGCAGTTTTGAAATGCTCTTTTTGTGGAATCTGCAAGTGGATATTTGGCTAGTTTTGAGGATTTCGTTGGAAGCGGGAATTCATACAAATTGCAGACTGCAGCGTTCTGAGAAACATCTTTGTGATGTTTGTATTCAGGACAGAGAGTTGAACATTCCCTATCATAGAGCAGGTTGGAATCACTCCTTTTGTAGTATCTGGAAGTGGACATTTGGAGCGCTTTCAGGCCTATGTTGAAAAAGGAAATATCTTCCCATAACAACTAGACACAAGCATTCTCAGAAACTTGTTTGTGATGTGTGCCCTCTACTGACAGAGTTGAACCTTTCTTTTCATAGAGCAGTTTTGAAACACTCTTTTTGTAGAATCTGCAAGAGGATATTTGCATAGCTTTGAGGATTTCGTGGGAAACGGGATTGTCTTCAGGTAAAATCTAGACAGAAGCATTCTCAGAAACTTCTTTGGGATGTTTGCATTCAAGTCACAGAGTAGAACATTCCCTTTTGTAGAGCAGGTTTGAAACACTCTTTTTGTAGTATCTGGAAGTGGACATTTGGAGCGCTTTCAGGCCTATGTTGGAAAGGGAAATATCTTCCCGTAACAACTAGGCAGAAGCATTCTCAGAAACTTATTTGAGATGTGTGTACTCAACTAAGAGAATTGAACCACCGTTTTGAAGGAGCAGTTTTGAAACACTCTTTTTCTGGAATCTGCAAGAGGATATTTGCCTAGCCTTGAGGATTTCGTTGGAAACGGGATTGTCTTCAGATCAAATCTAGACAGAAGCATTCTCAGAAACTTCTTTGGGATGTTTGCATTCAAGTCACAGAGTAGAACATTCCCTTTGGTAGAGCAGGTTTGAAACACTCTTTTTTTAGTATATGGAAGTGGACATTTGGAGCGCTTTCAGGCCTACGTTGGAAAAGGAAATATCTTCCCATAACAACTAGACAGAAGCATTCTCAGAAACTAGTTTCTGATGTGTGTCCTCAACTAACACAGTTGAACATTTCTTTAGACAGAACAGTTTTGAAACACTCTTTTTGTGGAATCTGCAAGTGGCTATTTGGCTAGATTTGAGGATTTCGTTGGAAACGGGATTACATATAAAAAGCAGACAGCAGCATTCTCAGAAAGTTCTTTGTGATGATTGCATTCAAGTCACAGAATTGAACATTCCCTTTCACAGAGCAGGTTTGAAACACTCTTTTTGTAGTGTGTGTAAGTGGACATTTGGAGCACTTTCCGGCCTAAGGTGAAAAAGGAAATATCTTCCCTTAAAAACTAGACAGAAGCATTCTCAGAAACTTACTCGTGATGTGTGTCCTCAACTAAAGGAGTAGAACCTTCCTTTTCATAGAGAAGTTTTGAAACGCTCTTTTTGTGGAATCTGCAAGTGGATATTTGGCTAGTTTTGAGGATTTCGTTGGAAGCGGGAATTCATACAAATTGCAGACTGCAGCGTTCTGAGAAACATCTTTGTGATGTTTGTATTCAGGACAGAGAGTTGAACATTCCCTATCATAGAGCAGGTTGGAATCACTCCTTTTGTAGTATCTGGAAGTGGACATTTGGAGCGCTTTCAGGCCTATGTTGAAAAAGGAAATATCTTCCCATAACAACTAGACACAAGCATTCTCAGAAACTTGTTTGTGATGTGTGCCCTCTAGTGACAGAGTTGAACCTTTCTTTTCATAGAGCAGTTTTGAAACACTCTTTTTGTAGAATCTGCAAGAGGATATTTGAATAGCTTTGAGGATTTCGTGGGAAACGGGATTGTCTTCAGGTAAAATCTAGACAGAAGCATTCTCAGAAACTTCTTTGGGATGTTTGCATTCAAGTCACAGAGTAGAACATTCCCTTTGGTAGAGCAGGTTTGAAACACTCTTTTTGTAGTATCTGGAAGTGGACATTTGGAGCGCTTTCAGGCCCATGTTGGAAAGGGAAATATCTTCCCGTAACAACTAGGCAGAAGCATTCTCAGAAACTTATTTGAGATGTGTGTACTCAACTAAGAGAATTTAACCACCGTTTTGAAGGAGCAGTTTTGAAACACTCTTTTTCTGGAATCTGCAAGAGTATATTTGCCTAGCCTTGAGGATTTCGTTGGAAACGGGATTGTCTTCAGAGAAAATCTAGACAGAAGCATTCTCAGAAACTTCTTTGGGATGTTTGCATTCAAGTCACAGAGTAGAACATTCCCTTTGGTAGAGCAGGTTTGAAACACTCTTTTTTTAGTATATGGAAGTGGACATTTTGATCGCTTTCAGGCCTACGTTGGAAAAGGAAATATCTTCCCATAACAACTAGACAGAAGCATTCTCAGAAACTAGTTTCTGATGTGTGTCCTCAACTAACACAGTTGAACATTTCTTTAGACAGAACAGTTTTGAAACACTCTTTTTGTGGAATCTGCAAGTGGCTATTTGGCTAGATTTGAGGATTTCGTTGGAAACGGGATTACATATAAAAAGCAGTCAGCAGCATTCTCAGAAAGTTCTTTGTGATGATTGCATTCAAGTCACAGAATTGAACATTCCCTTTCACAGAGCAGGTTTGAAACACTCTTTTTGTAGTGTGTGTAAGTGGACATTTGGAGCGCTTTCCGGCCTAAGGTGAAAAAGGAAATATCTTCCCATAAAAACTAGACAGAAGCATTCTCAGAAACTTACTCGTGATGTGTGTCCTCAACTAAAGGAGTAGAACCTTTCTTTTCATAGAGAAGTTTTGAAACGCTCTTTTTGTGGAATCTGCAAGTGGATATTTGGCTAGTTTTGAGGATTTCGTTGGAAGCGGGAATTCATACAAATTGCAGACTGCAGCGTTCTGAGAAACATCTTTGTGATGTTTGTATTCAGGACACAGAGTTGAACATTCCCTATCATAGAGCAGGTTTGAATCACTCCTTTTGTAGTATCTGGAAGTGGACATTTGGAGCGCTTTCAGGCCTATGTTGGAAAAGGAAATATCTTCCCATAACAACTAGACAGAAGCATTCTCAGAAACTTATTTGAGATGTGTGTACTCAACTAAGAGAATTGAACCACCGTTTTGAAGGAGCAGTTTTGAAACACTCTTTTTCTGGAATCTGCAAGTGGATATTTGGCTAGCTTTGGGGATTTCGCTGGAAGCCGGAATACATATAAAAAGCATACAGCAGCGTTCTGAGAAACTGCTTTCTGATGTTTGCATTCAAGTCAAAACTTGAACACTCCCTTTCATAGAGCAGTCTTGAAACACCCCTTTTGTAGTATCTGGAACTGGAAATTTGGAGCGCTTTCAGGGCTAAGGTGAAAAAGGAAATATCTTCCCATAAAAACTGGACAGAAGCATTCTCAGAAACTTGGTTATGCTGTATCTACTCAACTAACAAAGTTGAACCTTTCTTTTGATAGAGCAGTTTTGAAATGGTCTTTTTGTGGAATCTGCAAGTGGATATTTGGCTAGTTTTGAGGATTTCGTTGGAAGCGGGAATTCATACAAATTGCAGACTGCAGCGTTCTGAGAAACATCTTTGTGATGTTTGTATTCAGGACACAGAGTTGAACATTCCCTATCATAGAGCAGGTTTGAATCACTCCTTTTGTAGTATCTGGAAGTGGACATTTGGAGCGCTTTCAGGCCTATTTTGGAAAGGGAAATATCTTCCCGTAACAACTATGCAGAAGCATTCTCAGAAACTTGTTTGTGATGTGTGCCCTCTACTGACAGAGTTGAACCTTTCTTTTCATAGAGCAGTTTTGAAGCACTCTTTTTGTAGAATCTGCAAGAGGATATTTGCATAGCTTTGAGGATTTCGTTGGAAACGGGATTGTCTTCAGGTAAAATCTAGACAGAAGCATTCTCAGAAACTTCTTTGGGATGTTTGCATTCAAGTCACAGAGCAGAACATTCCCGTTGGTAGAGCAGGTTTGAAACACTCTTTTTGTAGTATCTGGAAGTGGACATTTGGAGCGCTTCTCAGGCCTATGTTGGAAAGGGAAATATCTTCCCGTAACAACTAGGCAGAAGCATTCTCAGAAACTTATTTGAGATGTGTGTACTCAACTAAGAGAATTGAACCACCGTTTTGAAGGAGCAGTTTTGAAACACTCTTTTTCTGGAATCTGCAAGAGGATATTTGCCTAGCTTTGAGGATTTCGTTGGAAACGGGATTGTCTTCAGATCAAATCTAGACAGAAGCATTCTCAGAAACTTCTTTGGGATGTTTGCATTCAAGTCACAGAGTAGAACATTCCCTTTGGTAGAGCAGGTTTGAAACACTCTTTTTTTAGTATATGGAAGTGGACATTTGGAGCGCTTTCAGGCCTACGTTGGAAAAGGAAATATCTTCCCATAACAACTAGACAGAAGCATTCTCAGAAACTAGTTTCTGATGTGTGTCCTCAACTAACACAGTTGAACATTTCTTTAGACAGAACAGTTTTGAAACACTCTTTTTGTGGAATCTGCAAGTGGCTATTTGGCTAGATTTGAGGATTTCGTTGGAAACGGGATTACATATAAAAAGCAGTCAGCAGCATTCTCAGAAAGTTCTTTGTGATGATTGCATTCAAGTCACAGAATTGAACATTCCCTTTCACAGAGCAGGTTTGAAACACTCTTTTTGTAGTGTGTGTAAGTGGACATTTGGAGCACTTACCGGCCTAAGGTGAAAAAGGAAATATCTTCCCATAAAAACTAGACAGAAGCATTCTCAGAAACTTACTCGTGATGTGTGTCCTCAACTAAAGGAGTAGAACCTTTCTTTTCATAGAGAAGTTTTGAAACGCTCTTTTTGTGGAATCTGCAAGTGGATATTTGGCTAGTTTTGAGGATTTCGTTGGAAGCGGGAATTCATACAAATTGCAGACTGCAGCGTTCTGAGAAACATCTTTGTGATGTTTGTATTCAGGACACAGAGTTGAACATTCCCTATCATAGAGCAGGTTGGAATCACTCCTTTTGTAGTATCTGGAAGTGGACATTTGGAGCGCTTTCAGGCCTATGTTGCAAAAGGAAATATCTTCCCATAACAACTAGACAGAAGCATTCTCAGAAACTTATTTGAGATGTGTGTACTCAACTAAGAGAATTGAACCACCGTTTTGAAGGAGCAGTTTTGAAACTCTCTTTTTCTGGAATCTGCAAGTGGATATTTGGCTAGCTTTGGGGATTTCGCTGGAAGCGGGAATACATATAAAAAGCACACAGCAGCGTTCTGAGAAACTGCTTTCTGATGTTTGCATTCAAGTCAAAAGTTGAACACTCCCTTTCATAGAGCAGTCTTGAAACACCCCTTTTGTAGTATCTGGAACTGGACTTTTGGAGCGATTTCAGGGCTAAGGTGAAAAAGGAAATATCTTCCCATAAAAACTGGACAGAAGCATTCTCAGAAACTTGTTTATGCTGTATCTACTCAACTAACAAAGTTGAACCTTTCTTTTGATAGAGCAGTTTTGAAATGGTCTTTTTGTGGAATCTGCAAGTGGATATTTGGCTAGTTTTGAGGATTTCGTTGGAAGCGGGAATTCATACAAATTGCAGACTGCAGCGTTCTGAGAAACATCTTTGTGATGTTTGTATTCAGGACAGAGAGTTGAACATTCCCTATCATAGAGCAGGTTGGAATCACTCCTTTTGTAGTATCTGGAAGTGGACATTTGGAGCGCTTTCAGGCCTATTTTGGAAAGGGAAATATCTTCCCGTAACAACTATGCAGAAGCATTCTCAGAAACTTGTTTGTGATGTGTGCCCTCTACTGACAGAGTTGAACCTTTCTTTTCATAGAGCAGTTTTGAAACACTACAAAAAAAAAACATTCTTTTTGTAGAATCTGCAAGAGGATATTTGCATAGCTTTGAGGATTTCGTGGGAAACGGGATTGTCTTCAGGTAAAATCTAGACAGAAGCATTCTCAGAAACTTCTTTGGGATGTTTGCATTCAAGACACAGAGTAGAACATTCCCTTTGGTAGAGCAGGTTTGAAACACTCTTTTTGTAGTATCTGGAAGTGGACATTTGGAGCGCTTTCAGGCCCATGTTGGAAAGGGAAATATCTTCCCATAACAACTAGGCAGAAGCATTCTCAGAAACTTATTTGAGATGTGTGTACTCAACTAAGAGAATTGAACCACCGTTTTGAAGGAGCAGTTTTGAAACACTCTTTTTCTGGATTCTGCAAGAATATATTTGCCTAGCCTTGAGGATTTCGTTGGAAACGGGATTGTCTTCAGATAAAATCTAGACAGAAGCATTCTCAGAAACTTCTTTGGGATGTTTGCATTCAAGTCACAGAGTAGAACATTCCCTTTGGTAGAGCAGGTTTGAAACACTCTTTTTTTAGTATATGGAAGTGGACATTTGGAGCGCTTTCAGGCCTACTTTGGAAAAGGAAATATCTTCCCATAACAACTAGACAGAAGCATTCTCAGAAACTAGTTTCTGATGTGTGTCCTCAACTAACACAGTTGTACATTTCTTTAGACAGAACAGTTTTGAAACACTCTTTTTGTGGAATCTGCAAGAGGATATTTGGCTAGATTTGAGGATTTCGTTGGAAACGGGATTACATATAAAAAGCAGACAGCAGCATTCTCAGAAAGTTCTTTGTGATGATTGCATTCAAGTCACAGAATTGAACATTCCCTTTCACAGAGCAGGTTTGAAACACTCTTTTTGTAGTGTGTGTAAGTGGACATTTGGAGCGCTTTCCGGCCTAAGGTGAAAAAGGAAATATCTTCCCATAAAAACTAGACAGAGGCATTCTCAGAAACTTACTCGTGATGTGTGTCCTCAACTAAAGGAGTAGAACCTTTCTATGCATAGAGAAGTTTTGAAACGCTCTTTTTGTGGAATCTCCAAGTGGATATTTGGCTAGTTTTGAGGATTTCGATGGAAGCGGGAATTCATACAAATTGCAGACTGCAGCGTTGTGAGAAACATCTTTGTGATGTTTGTATTCAAGACACAGAGATGAACATTCCCTATCATAGAGCATGTTGGAATCACTCCTTTTGTACTATCTGGAAGTGGACATTTGGAGCGCTTTCAGGCCTATGTTGAAAAAGGAAATATCTTCCCATAACAACTAGACACAAGCGTTCTCAGAAACTTGTTTGTGATGTGTGCCCTCTACTGACAGAGTTGAACCTTTCTTTTCATAGAGCAGTTTTGAAACACTCTTTTTGTAGAATCCGCAAGAGGATATTTGCATAGCTTTGAGGATTTCGTGGGAAACGGGATTGTCTTCAGGTAAAATCTAGACAGAAGCATTCTCAGAAACTTCTTTGGGATGTTTGCATTCAAGTCACAGAATAGAACATTCCCTTTGGTAGAGCAGGTTTGAAACACTCTTTTTGTAGTATCTGGAAGTGGACATTTGGAGCGCTTTCAGACCCATGTTGGAAAGGGAAATATCTTCCCGTAACAACTAGGCAGAAGCATTCTCAGAAACTTATTTGAGATGTGTGGACTCAACGAAGAGAATTGAACCACCGTTTTGAAGGAGCAGTTTTGAAACCCTCTTTTTCTGGAATCTGCAAGAGTATATTTGCCTAGCCTTGAGGATTTCGTTGGAAACGGGATTGTCTTCAGATAAAATCTAGACAGAAGCATTCTCAGAAACTTCTTTGGGATGTTTGCATTCAAGTCACAGAGTAGAACATTCCCTTTGGTAGAGCAGGTTTGAAACACTCTTTTTTTAGTATATGGAAGTGGACATTTGGAGCGCTTTCAGGCCTACGTTGGAAAAGGAAATATCTTCCCATAACAACTAGACAGAAGCATTCTCAGAAACTAGTTTCTGATGTGTGTCCTCAACTAACACAGTTGAACATTTCTTTAGACAGAACAGTTTTGAAACACTCTTTTTGTGGAATCTGCAAGTGGCTATTTGGCTAGATTTGAGGATTTCGTTGGAAACGGGATTACATATAAAAAGCAGACAGCAGCATTCTCAGAAAGTTCTTTGTGATGATTGCATTCAAGTCACAGAATTGAACATTCCCTTTCACAGAGCAGGTTTCAAAAACACTCTTTTTGTAGTGTGTGTAAGTGGACATTTGGAGCACTTTCCGGCCTAAGGTGAAAAAGGGAATATCTTCCCATAAAAACTAGACAGAAGCATTCTCAGAAACTTACTCGTGATGTGTGTCCTCAACTAAAGGAGTAGAACCTTTGTTTTCATAGAGAAGTTTTGAAACGCTCTTTTTGTGGAATCTGCAAGTGGATATTTGGCTAGTTTGGAGGATTTCGTTGGAAGCGGGAATTCATACAAATTGCCGACTGCAGCGTTCTAAGAAACTGCTTTCTGATGTTTGCATTCAAGTCAAAAGTTGAACACTCCCTTTCATAGAGCAGTCCTGAAACACTCCTTTTGTAGTATCTGGAACTGGACTTTTGGAGCGCTTTCAGGGCTAAGGTGAAAAAGGAAATATCTTCCCATAAAAACTGGACAGAAGCATTCTCAGAAACTTGTTTATGCTGTATCTACTCAACTAACAAAGTTGAACCTTTCTTTTGATAGAGCAATTTTGAAATGCTCTTTTTGTGGAATCTGCAAGTGGATATTTGGCTAGTTTTGAGGATTTCGTTGGAAGCGGGAATTCATACAAATTGCAGACTGCAGCGTTCTGAGAAACATCTTTGTGATGTTTGTATTCAGGACAGAGAGTTGAACATTCCCTATCATAGAGCAGGTTGGAATCACTCCTTTTGTAGTATCTGGAAGTGGACATTTGGAGCGCTTTCAGGCCTATGTTGAAAAAGGAAATATCTTCCCATAACAACTAGACACAAGCATTCTCAGAAACTTGTTTGTGATGTGTGCCCTCTACTGATAGAGTTGAACCTTTCTTTTCATAGAGCAGTTTTGAAACACTCTTTTTGTAGAATCTGCAAGAGGATATTTGCATAGCTTTGAGGATTTCGTGGGAAACGGGATTGTCTTCAGGTAAAATCTAGACAGAAGCATTCTCAGAAACTTCTTTGGGATGTTTGCATTCAAGTCACAGAGTAGAACATTCCCTTTGGTAGAGCAGGTTTGAAACACTCTTTTTGTAGTATCTGGAAGTGGACATTTGGAGCGCTTTCAGGCCTATGTTGGAAAGGGAAATATCTTCCCGTAACAACTAGGCAGAAGCATTCTCAGAAACTTATTTGAGATGTGTGTACTCAACTAAGAGAATTGAACCACCGTTTTGAAGGAGCAGTTTTGAAACACTCTTTTTCTGGAATCTGCAAGAGGATATTTGCCTAGCCTTGAGGATTTCGTTGGAAACGGGATTGTCTTCAGATCAAATCTAGACAGAAGCATTCTCAGAAACTTCTTTGGGATGTTTGCATTCAAGTCACAGAGTAGAACATTCCCTTTGGTAGAGCAGGTTTGAAACACTCTTTTTTTAGTATATGGAAGTGGACATTTGGAGCGCTTTCAGGCCTACGTTGGAAAAGGAAATATCTTCCCATAACAACTAGACAGAAGCATTCTCAGAAACTAGTTTCTGATGTGTGTCCTCAACTAACACAGTTGAACATTTCTTTAGACAGAACAGTTTTGAAACTCTCTTTTTGTGGAATCTGCAAGTGGCTATTTGGCTAGATTTGAGGATTTCGTTGGAAACGGGATTACATATAAAAAGCAGACAGCAGCATTCTCAGAAAGTTCTTTGTGATGATTGCATTCAAGTCACAGAATTGAACATTCCCTTTCACAGAGCAGGTTTGAAACACTCTTTTTATAGTGTGTGTAAGTGGACATTTGGAGCACTTTCCGGCCTAAGGTGAAAAAGGAAATATCTTCCCATAAAAACTAGACAGAAGCATTCTCAGAAACTTACTCGTGATGTGTGTCCTCAACTAAAGGAGTAGAACCTTTCTTTTCATAGAGAAGTTTTGAAACGCTCTTTTTGTGGAATCTGCAAGTGGATATTTGGCTAGTTTGGAGGATTTCGTTGGAAGCGGGAATTCATACAAATTGCAGACTGCAGCGTTCTGAGAAACATCTTTGTGATGTTTGTATTCAGGACACAGAGTTGAACATTCCCTATCATAGAGCAGGTTGGAATCACTCCTTTTGTAGTATCTGGAAGTGGACATTTGGAGCGCTTTCAGGCCTATGTTGGAAAAGGAAATATCTTCCCATAACAACTAGACAGAAGCATTCTCAGAAACTTATTTGAGATGTGTGTACTCAACTAAGAGAATTGAACCACCGTTTTGAAGGAGCAGTTTTGAAACACTCTTTTTCTGGAATCTGCAAGTGGATATTTGGCTAGCTTTGGGGATTTCGCTGGAGGCGGGAATACATATAAAAAGCACACAGCAGCGTTCTGAGAAACTGCTTTCTGATGTTTGCATTCAAGTCAAAAGTTGAACACTCCCTTTCATAGAGCAGTCCTGAAACACTCCTTTTGTAGTATCTGGAACTGGACTTTTGGAGCGCTTTCAGGGCTAAGGTGAAAAAGGAAATATCTTCCCATAAAAACTGGACAGAAGCATTCTCAGAAACTTGTTTATGCTGTATCTACTCAACTAACAAAGTTGAACCTTTCTTTTGATAGAGCAGTTTTGAAATGCTCTTTTTGTGGAATCTGCAAGTGGATATTTGGCTAGTTTTGAGGATTTCGTTGGAAGCGGGAATTCATACAAATTGCAGACTGCAGCGTTCTGAGAAACATCTTTGTGATGTTTGTATTCAAGACAGAGAGTTGAACATTCCCTATCATAGAGCAGGTTGGAATCACTCCTTTTGTAGTATCTGGAAGTGGACATTTGGAGCACTTTCCGGCCTAAGGTGAAAAAGGAAATATCTTCCCATAAAAACTAGACAGAAGCATTCTCAGAAACTTATTTGAGATGTGTGTACTCAACTAAGAGAATTGAACCACCGTTTTGAAGGAGCAGTTTTGAAACACTCTTTTTCTGGAATCTGCACGTGGATATTTGGCTAGCTTTGGGGATTTCGCTGGAAGCGGGAATACATATAAAAAGCACACAGCAGCGTTCTGAGAAACTGCTTTCTGATGTTTGCATTCAAGTCAAAAGTTGAACACTCCCTTTCATAGAGCAGTCCTGAAACACTCCTTTTGTAGTATCTGGAACTGGACTTTTGGAGCGCTTTCAGGGCTAAGGTGAAAAAGGAAATATCTTCCCATAAAAACTGGACAGAAGCATTCTCAGAAACTTGTTTATGCTGTATCTACTCAGCTAACAAAGTTGAACCTTTCTTTTGATAGAGCAGTTTTGAAATGCTCTTTTTGTGGAGTCTGCAAGTGGATATTTGGCTAGTTTTGAGGATTTCGCTGGAAGCGGGAATTCATACAAATTGCAGACTGCAGCGTTCTGAGTAACATCTTTGTGATGTTTGTATTCAGGACACAGAGTTGAACATTCCCTATCATAGAGCAGGTTGGAATCACCCCTTTGGTAGTATCTGGAAGTGGCCATTTCGAGCGCTTTCAGGCCTATGTTGAAAAAGGAAATATCTTCCCATAACAAGTAGACACAAGCATTCTCAGAAACTTGTTTGTGATGTGTGCCCTCTACTGACAGAGTTGAACCTTTCTTTTCATAGAGCAGTTTCGAAACACTCTTTTTGTAGAATCTGCAAGAGGATATTTGCGTAGCTTTGAGGATTTCGTGGGAAACGGGATTGTCTTCAGGTAAAATCTAGACAGAAGCATTCTCAGAAAATTCTTCGGGATGTTTGCATTCAAGTCACAGAGTAGAACATTCCCTTTGGTAGAGCAGGTTTGAAACACTCTTTTTGTAGTATCTGGAAGTGGACATTTGGAGCGCTTTCAGGCCTATGTTGGAAAGGGAAATATCTTCCCGTAACAACTAGGCAGAAGCATTCTCAGAAACTTATTTGAGATGTGTGTACTGAACTAAGAGAATTGAACCACCGTTTTGAAGGAGCAGGTTTGAAACACTCTTTTTGTAGTATCTGGAAGTGGACATTTGGAGCGCTTTCAGGCCTATGTTGGAAAGGGAAATATCTTCCCGTAACAACTAGGCAGAAGCATTCTCAGAAACTTATTTGAGATGTGTGTACTCAGCTAAGAGAATTGAACCACCGTTTTGAAGGAGCAGTTTTGAAACACTCTTTTTCTGGAATCTGCAAAAGGATATTTGCATAGATTTGAGGATTTCGTTGGAAACGGGATTGTCTTCAGATCCAATCTAGACAGAAGCATTCTCAGAAACTTCTTTGGGATGTTTGCATTCAAGTCACAGAGTAGAACATTCCCTTTGGTAGAGCAGGTTTGAAACACTCTTTTTTTAGTATATGGAAGTGGACATTTGGAGCGCTTTCAGGCCTACGTTGGAAAAGGAAATATCTTCCCATAACAACTAGACAGAAGCATTCTCAGAAACTAGTTTCTGATGTGTGTCCTCAACTAACACAGTTGAACATTTCTTTAGACAGAACAGTTTTGAAACACTCTCTTTGTGGAATCTGCAAGTGGATATTTGGCTAGATTTGAGGATTTCGTTGGAAACGGGATTACATATAAAAAGCAGACAGCAGCATTCTCAGAAACTTCTTTGTGATGATTGCATTCAAGTCACAGAATTGAACATTCCGTTTCACAGAGCAGGTTTGAAACACTCTTTTTATAGTGTGTGTAAGTGGACATTTGGAGCGCTTTCCGGCCTAAGGTGAACAAGGAAATATCTTCCCATAAAAACTAGACAGAAGCATTCTCAGAAACTTACTCGTGATGTGTGTCCTCAACTAAAGGAGTAGAACCTTTCTTTTCATAGAGAAGTTTTGAAACGCTCTTTTTGTGGAATCTGCAAGTGGATATTTGGCTAGTATGGAGGATTTCGTTGGAAGCGGGAATTCATACAAATTGCAGACTGCAGCGTTCTGAGAAACATCTTTGTGATGTTTGTATTCAGGACACAGAGTTGAACATTCCCTATCATAGAGCAGGTTTGAATCACTCCTTTTGTAGTATCTGGAAGTGGACATTTGGAGCGCTTTCCGGCCTCAGGTGAAAAAGGAAATATCTTCCCATAAAAACTAGACAGAAGCATTCTCAGAAACTTACTCGTGATGTGTGTCCTCAACTAAAGGGGTAGAACCTTTCTTTTGATAGAGCAGTTTTGAAACACTCTTTTTGTAGAATCTGCAAGTGGATATTTTGATAGCTTTGTGGATTTCGTTGGAAACGGGAATATCTTCATATAAAATCTAGAGAGAAGCGTTCTGAGAAACATCTTTGTGATGTTTGTATTCAGGACACAGAGTTGAACATTCCCTATCATAGAGCAGGTTGGAATCACTCCTTTTGTAGTATCTGGAAGTGGACATTTGGAGCGCTTTCAGGCCTACGTTGGAAAAGGAAATATCTTCCCATAACAACTAGACAGAAGCATTCTCAGAAACTAGTTTCTGATGTGTGTCCTCAACTAACACAGTTGAACATTTCTTTAGACAGAACAGTTTTGAAACACTCTTTTTGTGGAATCTGCAAGTGGCTATTTGGCTAGATTTGAGGATTTCGTTGGAAACGGGATTACATATAAAAAGCAGACAGCAGCATTCTCAGAAAGTTCTTTGTGATGATTGCATTCAAGTCACAGAATTGAACATTCCCTTTCACAGAGCAGGTTTGAAACACTCTTTTTGTAGTGTGTGTAAGTGGACATTTGGAGCACTTTCCGGCCTAAGGTGAAAAAGGAAATATCTTCCCATAAAAACTAGACAGAAGCATTCTCAGAAACTTACTCGTGATGTGTGTCCTCAACTAAAGGAGTAGAACCTTTGTTTTCATAGAGAAGTTTTGAAACGCTCTTTTTGTGGAATCTGCAAGTGGATATTTGGCTAGTTTGGAGGATTTCGTTGGAAGCGGGAATTCATACAAATTGCAGACTGCAGCGTTCTGAGAAACATCTTTGTGATGTTTGTATTCAGGACACAGAGTTGAACATTCCCTATCATGGAGCAGGTTGGAATCACTCCTTTTGTGGTATCTGGAAGTGGACATTTGGAGCGCTTTCAGGCCTATGTTGGAAAAGGAAATATCTTCCCATAACAACTAGTCAGAAGCATTCTCAGAAACTTATTTGAGATGTGTGTACTCAACTAAGAGAATTGAACCACCGTTTTGAAGGAGCAGTTTTGAAACACTCTTTTTCTGGAATCTGCAAGTGGATATTTGGCTAGCTTTGGGGATTTCGCTGGAAGCGGGAATACATATAAAAAGCACACAGCAGCGTTCTGAGAAACTGCTTTCTGATGTTTGCATTCAAGTCAAAAGTTGAACACTCCCTTTCATAGAGCAGTCCTGAAACACTCCTTTTGTAGTATCTGGAACTGGACTTTTGGAGCGCTTTCAGGGCTAAGGTGAAAAAGGAAATATCTTCCCATAAAAACTGGACAGAAGCATTCTCAGAAACTTGTTTATGCTGTATCTACTCAACTAACAAAGTTGAACCTTTCTTTTGATAGAGCAGTTTTGAAATGCTCTTTTTGTGGAATCTGCAAGTGGATATTTGGCTAGTTTTGAGGATTTCGTTGGAAGCGGGAATTCATACAAATTGCAGACTGCAGCGTTCTGAGAAACATCTTTGTGATGTTTGTATTCAGGACAGAGAGTTGAACATTCCCTATCATAGAGCAGGTTGGAATCACTCCTTTTGTAGTATCTGGAAGTGGACATTTGGAGCGCTTTCAGGCCTATGTTGAAAAAGGAAATATCTTCCCATAACAACTAGACACAAGCATTCTCAGAAACTTGTTTGTGATGTGTGCCCTCTACTGACACAGTTGAACCTTTCTTTTCATAGAGCAGTTTTGAAACACTCTTTTTGTAGAATCTGCAAGAGGATATTTGCATAGCTTTGAGGATTTCGTGGGAAACGGGATTGTCTTCAGGTAAAATCTAGACAGAAGCATTCTCAGAAACTTCTTTGGGATGTTTGCATTCAAGTCACAGAGTAGAACATTCCCTTTGGTAGAGCAGGTTTGAAACACTCTTTTTGTAGTATCTGGAAGTGGACATTTGGAGCGCTTTCAGGCCCATGTTGGAAAGGGAAATATCTTCCCGTAACAACTAGGCAGAAGCATTCTCTGAAACTTTTTTGAGATGTGTGTACTCAACTAAGAGAATTGAACCACCGTTTTGAAGGAGCAGTTTTGAAACACTCTTTTTCTGGAATCTGCTAGAGGATATTTGCCTAGCTTTGAGGATTTCGTTGGAAACCGGATTGTCTTCAGATAAAATCTAGACAGAAGCATTCTCAGAAACTTCTTTGGGATGTTTGTATTCAAGTCACAGAGTAGAACATTCCCTTTGGTAGAGCAGGTTTGAAACACTCTTTTTTTAGTATATGGAAATGGACATTTGGAGCGCTTTCAGGCCTACGTTGGAAAAGGAAATATCTTCCCATAACAACTAGACAGAAGCATTCTCAGAAACTAGTTTCTGATGTGTGTCCTCAACTAACACAGTTGAACTTTTCTTTAGACAGAACAGTTTTGAAACACTCTTTTTGTGGAATCTGCAAGTGGATATTTGGCTAGATATGAGGATTTCGTTGGAAACGGGATTACATATAAAAAGCAGACAGCAGCATTCTCAGAAAGTTCTTTGTGATGATTGCATTCAAGTCACAGAATTGAACATTCCCTTTCACAGAGCAGGTTTGAAACACTCTTTTTGTAGTGTGTGTAAGTGGACATTTGGAGCGCTTTCCGGCCTAAGGTGAAAAAGGAAATATCTTCCCATAAAAACTAGACAGAAGCATTCTCAGAAACTTACTCGTGATGTGTGTCCTCAACTAAAGGAGTAGAACCTTTCTTTTCATAGAGAAGTTTTGAAACGCTCTTTTTGTGGAATCTGCAAGTGGATATTTGGCTAGTTTGGAGGATTTCGTTGGAAGCGGGAATTCATACAAATTGCAGACTGCAGCGTTCTGAGAAACATCTTTGTGATGTTTGTATTCAGGACACAGAGTTGAACATTCCCTATCATAGAGCAGGTTTGAATCACTCCTTTTGTAGTATCTGGAAGTGGACATTTGGAGCGCTTTCAGGCCTATGTTGGAAAAGGAAATATCTTCCCATAACAACTAGACAGAAGCATTCTCAGAAACTTATTTGAGATGTGTGTACTCAACTAAGAGAATTGAACCACCGTTTTGAAGGAGCAGTTTTGAAACACTCTTTTTCTGGAATCTGCAAGTGGATATTTGGCTAGCTTTGGGGATTTCGCTGGAAGCGGGAATACATATAAAAAGCACACAGCAGCGTTCTGAGAAACTGCTTTCTGATGTTTGCATTCAAGTCAAAAGTTGAACACTCCCTTTCATAGAGCAGTCCTGAAACACTCCTTTTGTAGTATCTGGAACTGGACTTTTGGAGCGCTTTCAGGGCTAAGGTGAAAAAGGAAATATCTTCCCATAAAAACTGGACAGAAGCATTCTCAGAAACTTACTCGTATTGTGTGTCCTCAACTAAAGGAGTAGAACCTTTCTTTTCATAGAGAAGTTTTGAAACGCTCTTTTTGTGGAATCTGCAAGTGGATATTTGGCTAGTTTTGAGGATTTCGTTGGAAGCGGGAATTCATACAAATTGCAGACTGCAGCATTCTCAGAAACTTATTTGAGATGTGTGTACTCAACTAAGAGAATTGAACCACCGTTTTGAAGGAGCAGTTTTGAAACACTCTTTTTCTGGAATCTGCAAGTGGATATTTGGCTAGCTTTGGGGATTTCGCTGGAGGCGGGAATACATATAAAAAGCACACAGCAGCGTTCTGAGAAACTGCTTTCTGATGTTTGCATTCAAGTCAAAAGTTGAACACTCCCTTTCATAGAGCAGTCCTGAAACACTCCTTTTGTAGTATCTGGAACTGGACTTTTGGAGCGCTTTCAGGGCTAAGGTGAAAAAGGAAATATCTTCCCATAAAAACTGGACAGAAGCATTCTCAGAAACTTGTTTATGCTGTATCTACTCAACTAACATAGTTGAACCTTTCTTTTGATAGAGCAGTTTTGAAATGCTCTTTTTGTGGAATCTGCAAGTGGATATTTGGCTAGTTTTGAGGATTTCGTTGGAAGCGGGAATTCATACAAATTGCAGACTGCAGCGTTCTGAGAAACATCTTTGTGATGTTTGTATTCAGGACAGAGAGTTGAACATTCCCTATCATAGAGCAGGTTGGAATCACTCCTTTTGTAGTATCTGGAAGTGGACATTTGGAGCGCTTTCAGGCCTATGTTGAAAAAGGAAATATCTTCCCATAACAACTAGACACAAGCATTCTCAGAAACTTGTTTGTGATGTGTGCCCTCTACTGACAGAGTTGAACCTTTCTTTTCATAGAGCATTTTTGAAACACTCTTTTTGTAGAATCTGCAAGAGGATATTTGCATAGCTTTGAGGATTTCGTGGGAAACGGGATTGTCTTCAGGTAAAATCTAGACAGAAGCATTCTCAGAAACTTCTTTGGGATGTTTGCATTCAAGTCACAGAGTAGAACATTCCCTTTGGTAGAGCAGGTTTGAAACACTCTTTTTGTAGTATCTGGAAGTGGACATTTGGAGCGCTTTCAGGCCTATGTTGGAAAGGGAAATATCTTCCCGTAACAACTAGGCAGAAGCATTCTCAGAAACTTATTTGAGATGTGTGTACTCAACTAAGAGAATTGAACCACCGTTTTGAAGGAGCAGTTTGGAAACACTCTTTTTCTGGAATCTGCAAGAGGATATTTGCCTAGCTTTGAGGATTTCGTTGGAAAAGGGATTGTCTTCAGATCAAATCTAGACAGAAGCATTCTCAGAAACTTCTTTGGGATGTTTGCATTCAAGTCACAGAGTAGAACATTCCTTTGGTAGAGCAGGTTTGAAACACTCTTTTTTTAGTATATGGAAGTGGACATTTGGAGCGCTTTCAGGCCTACGTTGGAAAAGGAAATATCTTCCCATAACAACTAGACAGAGAAGCATTCTCAGAAACTAGTTTCTGATGTGTGTCCTCAACTAACACAGTTGAACATTTCTTTAGACAGAACAGTTTTGAAACACTCTTTTTGTGGAATCTGCAAGTGGATATTTGGCTAGATTTGAGGATTTCGTTGGAAACGGGATTACATATAAAAAGCAGACAGCAGCATTCTCAGAAAGTTCTTTGTGATGATTGCATTCAAGTCACAGAAATTGAACATTCCCTTTCACAGAGCAGGTTTGAAACACTCTTTTTGTAGTGTGTGTAAGTGGACATTTGGAGCGCTTTCCGGCCTAAGGTGAAAAAGGAAATATCTTCCCATAAAAACTAGACAGAAGCATTCTCAGAAACTTACTCGTGATGTGTGTCCTCAACTAAAGGAGTAGAACCTTTCTTTTCATAGATAAGTTTTTAAACCCTCTTTTTGTGGAATCTGCAAGTGGATATTTGGCTGGTTTTGAGGATTTCGTTGGAAGCGGGAATTCATACAAACTGCAGACTGCAGCGTTCTGAGAAACATCTTTGTGATGTTTGTATTCAGGACACAGAGATGAACATTCCCTATCATAGAGCAGGTTTGAATCACTCCTTTTCTAGTATCTGGAAGTGGACATTTGGAGCGCTTTCAGGCCTATGTTGAAAAAGGAAATATCTTCCCATAACAACTAGACACAAGCATTCTCAGAAACTTATTTGAGATGTGTGTACTCAACTAAGAGAATTGAACCACCGTTTTGAAGGAGCAGTTTTGAAACACTCTTTTTCTGGAATCTGCAAGTGGATATTTGGCTAGCTTTGGGGATTTCGCTGGAAGCGGGAATACATATAAAAAGCACACAGCAGCGTTCTGAGAAACTGCTTTCTGATGTTTGCATTCAAGTCAAAAGTTGAACACTCCCTTTCATAGTGCAGTCCTGAAACACTCCTTTTGTAGTATCTGGAACTGGACTTTTGGAGCGCTTTCAGGGCTAAGGTGAGAAAGGAAATATCTTCCCATAAAAACTGGACAGAAGCATTCTCAGAAACTTGTTTATGCTGTATCTACTCAACTAACAAAGTTGAACCTTTCTTTTGATAGAGCAGTTTTGAAATGCTCTTTTTGTGGAATCTGCAAGTGGATATTTGGCTAGTTTTGAGGATTTCGTTGGAAGCGGGAATTCATACAAATTGCAGACTGCAGCGTTCTGAGAAACATCTTTGTGATGTTTGTATTCAGGACAGAGAGTTGAACATTCCCTATCATAGAGCAGGTTGGAATCACTCCTTTTGTAGTATCTGGAAGTGGACATTTGGAGCGCTTTCAGGCCTATGTTGAAAAAGGAAATATCTTCCCATAACAACTAGACACAAGCATTCTCAGAAACTTGTTTGTGATGTGTGCCCTCTACTGACAGAGTTGAACCTTTCTTTTCATAGAGCAGTTTTGAAACACTCTTTTTGTAGAATCTGCAAGAGGATATTTGCATAGCTTTGAGGATTTCGTGGGAAACGGGATTGTCTTCAGGTAAAATCTAGACAGAAGCATTCTCAGAAACTTCTTTGGGATGTTTGCATTCAAGTCACAGAGTAGAACATTCCCTTTGGTAGAGCAGGTTTGAAACACTCTTTTTGTAGTATCTGGAAGTGGACATTTGGAGCGCTTTCAGGCCTATGTTGGAAAGGGAAATATCTTCCCGTAACAACTAGGCAGAAGCATTCTCAGAAACTTATTTGAGATGTGTGTACTCAACTAAGAGAATTGAACCACCGTTTTGAAGGAGCAGTTTTGAAACACTCTTTTTCTGGAATCTGCAAGAGGATATTTGCCTAGCCTTGAGGATTTCGTTGGAAACGGGATTGTCTTCAGATCAAATCTAGACAGAAGCATTCTCAGAAACTTCTTTGGGATGTTTGCATTCAAGTCACAGAGTAGAACATTCCCTTTGGTAGAGCAGGTTTGAAACACTCTTTTTTTAGTATCTGGAAGTGGACATTTGGAGCGCTTTCAGGCCTATGTTGGAAAGGGAAATATCTTCCCATAACAACTAGACAGAAGCATTCTCAGAAACTAGTTTCTGATGTGTGTCCTCAACTAACAAAGTTGAACATTTCTTTAGACAGAACAGTTTTGAAACACTCTTTTTGTGGAATCTGCAAGTGGCTATTTGGCTAGATTTGAGGATTTCGTTGGAAACGGGATTACATATAAAAAGCAGACAGCAGCATTCTCAGAAAGTTCTTTGTGATGATTGCATTCAAGTCACAGAATTGAACATTCCCTTTCACAGAGCAGGTTTGAAACACTCTTTTTGTAGTGTGTGTAAGTGGACATTTGGAGCACTTTCCGGCCTAAGGTGAAAAAGGAAATATCTTCCCATAAAAACTAGACAGAAGCATTCTCAGAAACTTACTCGTGATGTGTGTCCTCAACTAAAGGAGTAGAACCTTTCTTTTCATAGAGAAGTTTTGAAACGCTCTTTTTGTGGAATCTGCAAGTGGATATTTGGCTAGTTTTGAGGATTTCGTTGGAAGCGGGAATTCATACAAACTGCAGACTGCAGCGTTCTGAGAAACATCTTTGTGATGTTTGTATTCAGGACACAGAGTTGAACATTCCCAATCATAGAGCAGGTTTGAATCACTCTTTTTGTAGTATCTGGAAGTGGACATTTGGAGCGCTTTCAGGCCTATGTTGGAAAAGGAAATATCTTCCCATAACAACTAGACAGAAGCATTCTCAGAAACTTATTTGAGACGTGTGTACTCAACTAAGAGAATTGAACCACCGTTTTGAAGGAGCAGTTTTGAAACACTCTTTTTCTGGAATCTGCAAGTGGCTATTTGGCTAGCTTTGGGGATTTCGCTGGAAGCGGGAATACATATAAAAAGCACACAGCAGCGTTCTGAGAAACTGCTTTCTGATGTTTGCATTCAAGTCAAAAGTTGAACACTCCCTTTCATAGAGCAGTCCTGAAACACTCCTTTTGTAGTATCTGGAACTGGACTTTTGGAGCGCTTTCAGGGCTAAGGTGAAAAAGGAAATATCTTCCCATAAAAACTGGACAGAAGCATTCTCAGAAACTTGTTTATGCTGTATCTACTCTACTAACAAAGTTGAACCTTTCTTTTGATAGAGCAGTTTTGAAATGCTCTTTTTGTGGAATCTGCAAGTGGATATTTGGCTAGATTTGAGGATTACGTTGGAAGCTGGAATTCATACAAATTGCAGACTGCAGCGTTCTGAGAAACAACTTTGTGATGTTTGTATTCAGGACAGAGAGTTGAACATTCCCTATCATAGAGCAGGTTGGAATCACTCCTTTTGTAGTATCTGGAAGTGGACATTTGGAGCGCTTTCAGGCCTATGTTGAAAAAGGAAATATCTTCCCATAACAACTAGACACAAGCATTCTCAGAAACTTATTTGAGATGTGTGTACTCAACTAAGAGAATTGAACCACCGTTTTGAAGGAGCAGTTTTGAAACTCTCTTTTTCTGGAATCTGCAAGTGGATATTTGGCTAGCTTTGGGGATTTCGCTGGAAGCGGGAATACATATAAAAAGCACACAGCAGCGTTCTGAGAAACTGCTTTCTGATGTTTGCATTCAAGTCAAAAGTTGAACACTCCCTTTCATAGAGCAGTCTTGAAACACCCCTTTTGTAGTATCTGGAACTGGACTTTTGGAGCGATTTCAGGGCTAAGGTGAAAAAGGAAATATCTTCCCATAAAAACTGGACAGAAGCATTCTCAGAAACTTGTTTATGCTGTATCTACTCAACTAACAAAGTTGAACCTTTCTTTTGATAGAGCAGTTTTGAAATGGTCTTTTTGTGGAATCTGCAAGTGGATATTTGGCTAGTTTTGAGGATTTCGTTGGAAGCGGGAATTCATACAAATTGCAGACTGCAGCGTTCTGAGAAACATCTTTGTGATGTTTGTATTCAGGACACAGAGTTGAACATTCCCTATCATAGAGCAGGTTGGAATCACTCCTTTTGTAGTATCTGGAAGTGGACATTTGGAGCGCTTTCAGGCCTATTTTGGAAAGGGAAATATCTTCCCGTAACAACTATGCAGAAGCATTCTCAGAAACTTGTTTGTGATGTTGTGCCCTCTACTGACAGAGTTGAACCTTTCTTTTCATAGAGCAGTTTTGAAACACTCTTTTTGTAGAATCTGCAAGAGGATATTTGCATAGCTTTGAGGATTTCGTGGGAAACGGGATTGTCTTCAGGTAAAATCTAGACAGAAGCATTCTCAGAAACTTCTTTGGGATGTTTGCATTCAAGTCACAGAGTAGAACATTCCCTTTGGTAGAGCAGGTTTGAAACACTCTTTTTGTAGTATCTGGAAGTGGACATTTGGAGCGCTTTCAGGCCTATGTTGGAAAGGGAAATATCTTCCCGTAACAACTAGGCAGAAGCATTCTCAGAAACTTATTTGAGATGTGTGTACTCAACTAAGAGAATTGAACCACCGTTTTGAAGGAGCAGTTTTGAAACACTCTTTTTCTGGAATCTGCAAGACGATATTTGCCTAGCCTTGAGGATTTCGTTGGAAACGGGATTGTCTTCAGATCAAATCTAGACAGAAGCATTCTCAGAAACTTCTTTGGGATGTTTGCATTCAAGTCACAGAGTAGAACATTCCCTTTGGTAGAGCAGGTTTGAAACACTCTTTTTTTAGTATATGGAAGTGGACATTTGGAGCGCTTTCAGGCCTACGTTGGAAAAGGAAATATCTTCCCATAACAACTAGACAGAAGCATTCTCAGAAACTAGTTTCTGATGTGTGTCCTCAACTAACACAGTTGAACTTTTCTTTAGACAGAACAGTTTTGAAACACTCTTTTTGTGGAATCTGCAAGTGGATATTTGGCTAGATTTGAGGATTTCGTTGGAAACGGGATTACATATAAAAAGCAGACAGCAGCATTCTCACAAAGTTCTTTGTGATGATTGCATTCAAGTCACAGAATTGAACATTCCCTTTCACAGAGCAGGTTTGAAACACTCTTTTTGTAGTGTGTGTAAGTGGACATTTGGAGCGCTTTCCGGCCTAAGGAGAAAAAGGAAATATCTTCCCATAAAAACTAGACAGAAGCATTCTCAGAAACTTACTCGTGATGTGTGTCCTCAACTAAAGGAGTAGAACCTTTCTTTTCATAGAGAAGTTTTGAAACGCTCTTTTTGTGGAATCTGCAAGTGGATATTTGGCTAGTTTTGAGGATTTCGTTGGAAGCGGGAATTCATACAAATTGCAGACTGCAGCGTTCTGAGAAACATCTTTGTGATGTTTGTATTCAGGACACAGAGTTGAACATTCCCTATCATAGAGCAGGTTGGAATCACTCCTTTTGTAGTATCTGGAAGTGGACATTTGGAGCGCTTTCAGGCCTATGTTGGAAAAGGAAATATCTTCCCATAACAACTAGACAGAAGCATTCTCAGAAACTTATTTGAGATGTGTGTACTCAACTAAGAGAATTGAACCACCGTTTTGAAGGAGCAGTTTTGAAACTCTCTTTTTCTGGAATCTGCAAGTGGATATTTGGCTAGCTTTGGGGATTTCGCTGGAAGCGGGAATACATATAAAAAGCACACAGCAGCGTTCTGAGAAACTGCTTTCTGATGTTTGCATTCAAGTCAAAAGTTGAACACTCCCTTTCATAGAGCAGTCTTGAAACACCCCTTTTGTAGTATCTGGAACTGGACTTTTGGAGCGATTTCAGGGCTAAGGTGAAAAAGGAAATATCTTCCCATAAAAACTGGACAGAAGCATTCTCAGAAACTTGGTTATGCTGTATCTACTCAACTAACAAAGTTGAACCTTTCTTTTGATAGAGCAGTTTTGAAATGGTCTTTTTGTGGAATCTGCAAGTGGATATTTGGCTAGTTTTGAGGATTTCGTTGGAAGCGGGAATTCATACAAATTGCAGACTGCAGCGTTCTGAGAAACATCTTTGTGATGTTTGTATTCAGGACACAGAGTTGAACATTCCCTATCATAGAGCAGGTTGGAATCACTCCTTTTGTAGTATCTGGAAGTGGACATTTGGAGCGCTTTCAGGCCTATTTTGGAAAGGGAAATATCTTCCCGTAACAACTATGCAGAAGCATTCTCAGAAACTTGTTTGTGATGTGTGCCCTCTACTGACAGAGTTGAACCTTTCTTTTCATAGAGCAGTTTTGAAACACTCTTTTTGTAGAATCTGCAAGAGGATATTTGCATAGCTTTGAGGATTTCGTGGGAAACGGGATTGTCTTCAGGTAAAATCTAGACAGAAGCATTCTCAGAAACTTCTTTGGGATGTTTGCATTCAAGTCACAGAGTAGAACATTCCCTTTGGTAGAGCAGGTTTGAAACACTCTTTTTGTAGTATCTGGAAGTGGACATTTGGAGCGCTTTCAGGCCCATGTTGGAAAGGGAAATATCTTCCCGTAACAACTAGGCAGAAGCATTCTCAGAAACTTATTTGAGATGTGTGTACTCAACTAAGAGAATTGAACCACCGTTTTGAAGGAGCAGTTTTGAAACACTCTTTTTCTGGAATCTGCAAGAGGATATTTGCCTAGCCTTGAGGATTTCGTTGGAAACGGGATTGTCTTCAGATCAAATCTAGACAGAAGCATTCTCAGAAACTTCTTTGGGATGTTTGCATTCAAGTCACAGAGTAGAACATTCCCTTTGGTAGAGCAGGTTTGAAACACTCTTTTTTTAGTATATGGAAGTGGACATTTGGAGCGCTTTCAGGCCTACGTTGGAAAAGGAAATATCTTCCCATAACAACTAGACAGAAGCATTCTCAGAAACTAGTTTCTGATGTGTGTCCTCAACTAACACAGTTGAATATTTCTTTAGACAGAACAGTTTTGAAACTCTCTTTTTGTGGAATCTGCAAGTGGCTATTTGGCTAGATTTGAGGATTTCGTTGGAAACGGGATTACATATAAAAAGCATACAGCAGCATTCTCAGAAAGTTCTTTGTGATGATTGCATTCAAGTCACAGAATTGAACATTCCCTTTCACAGAGCAGGTTTGAAACACTCTTTTTGTAGTGTGTGTAAGTGGACATTTGGAGCACTTTCCGGCCTAAGGTGAAAAAGGAAATATCTTCCCATAAAAACTAGACAGAAGCATTCTCAGAAACTTACTCGTGATGTGTGTCCTCAACTAAAGGAGTAGAACCTTTCTATTCATAGAGAAGGTTTGAAACGCTCTTTTTGTGGAATCTCCAAGTGTATATTTGGCTAGTTTTGAGGATTTCGTTGGATGCGGGAATTCATACAAATTGCAGACTGCAGCGTTCTGAGAAACATCTTTGTGATGTTTGTATTCAGGACACAGAGAGGAACATTCCCTATCATAGAGCAGGTTGGAATCACTCCTTTTGTAGTATCTGGAAGTGGACATTTGGAGCGCTTTCAGGCCTATGTTGAAAAAGGAAATATCTTCCCATAACAACTAGACACAAGCATTCTCAGAAACTTGTTTGTGATGTGTGCCCTCTACTGACAGAGTTGAACCTTTCTTTTCATAGAGCAGTTTTGAAACACTCTTTTTGTAGAATCCGCAAGAGGATATTTGCATCGCTTTGAGGAATTCGTGGGAAACGGGATTGTCTTCAGGTAAAATCTAGACAGAAGCATTCTCAGAAACTTCTTTGGGATGTTTGCATTCAAGTCACAGAGTAGAACATTCCCTTTGGTAGAGCAGGTTTGAAACACTCTTTTTGTAGTATCTGGAAGTGGACATTTGGAGCGCTTTCAGGCCCATGTTGGAAAGGGAAATATCTTCCCGTAACAACTAGGCAGAAGCATTCTCAGAAACTTATTTGAGATGTGTGTACTCAACTAAGAGAATTGAACCACCGTTTTGAAGGAGCAGTTTTGAAACACTCTTTTTCTGGAATCTGCAAGAGTATATTTGCCTAGCCTTGAGGATTTCGTTGGAAACGGGATTGTCTTCAGATAAAATCTAGACAGAAGCATTCTCAGAAACTTCTTTGGGATGTTTGCATTCAAGTCACAGAGTAGAACATTCCCTTTGGTAGAGCAGGTTTGAAACACTCTTTTTTTAGTATATGGAAGTGGACATTTGGAGCGCTTTCAGGCCTACGTTGGAAAAGGAAATATCTTCCCATAGCAACTAGACAGAAGCATTCTCAGAAACTAGTTTCTGATGTGTGTCCTCAACTAACACAGTTGAACATTTCTTTAGACAGAACAGTTTTGAAACACTCTTTTTGTGGAATCTGCAAGTGGCTATTTGGCTAGATTTGAGGATTTCGTTGGAAACGGGATTACATATAAAAAGCAGACAGCAGCATTCTCAGAAAGTTCTTTGTGATGATTGCATTCAAGTCACAGAATTGAACATTCCCTTTCACAGAGCAGGTTTGAAACACTCTTTTTATAGTGTGTGTAAGTGGACATTTGGAGCACTTTCCGGCCTAAGGTGAAAAAGGAAATATCTTCCCATAAAAACTAGACAGAAGCATTCTCAGAAACTTACTCGTGATGTGTGTCCTCAACTAAAGGAGTAGAACCTTTGTTTTCATAGATAAGTTTTGAAACGCTCTTTTTGTGGAATCTGCAAGTGGATATTTGGCTAGTTTGGAGGATTTCGTTGGAAGCGGGAATTCATACAAATTGCAGACTGCAGCGTTCTGAGAAACATCTTTGTGATGTTTGTATTCAGGACACAGAGTTGAACATTCCCTATCATAGAGCAGGTTTGAATCACTCCTTTTGTAGTATCTGGAAGTGGACCTTTGGAGCGCTTTCAGGCCTATGTTGGAAAAGGAAATATCTTCCCATAACAACTAGACAGAAGCATTCTCAGAAACTTATTTGAGATGTGTGTACTCAACTAAGAGAATTGAACCACCGTTTTGAAGGAGCAGTTTTGAAACACTCTTTTTCTGGAATCTGCAAGTGGATATTTGGCTAGCTTTGGGGATTTCGCTGGAAGCGGGAATACATATAAAAAGCACACAGCAGCGTTCTGAGAAACTGCTTTCTGATGTTTGCATTCAAGTCAAAAGTTGAACACTCCCTTTCATAGAGCAGTCCTGAAACACCCCTTTTGTAGTATCTGGAACTGGACTTTTGGAGCGATTTCAGGGCTAAGGTGAAAAAGGAAATATCTTCCCATAAAAACTGGACAGAAGCATTCTCAGAAACTTGTTTATGCTGTATCTACTCAACTAACAAAGTTGAACCTTTCTTTTGATAGAGCAGTTTTGAAATGGTCTTTTTGTGGAATCTGCAAGTGGATATTTGGCTAGTTTTGAGGATTTCGTTGGAAGCGGGAATTCATACAAATTGCAGACTGCAGCGTTCTGAGAAACATCTTTGTGATGTTTGTATTCAGGACACAGAGTTGAACATTCCCTATCATAGAGCAGGTTGGAATCACTCCTTTTGTAGTATCTGGAAGTGGACATTTGGAGCGCTTTCAGGCCTATTTTGGAAAGGGAAATATCTTCCCGTAACAACTATGCAGAAGCATTCTCAGAAACTTGTTTGTGATGTGTGCCCTCTACTGACAGAGTTGAACCTTTCTTTTCATAGAGCAGTTTTGAAACACTCTTTTTGTAGAATCTGCAAGAGGATATTTGCATAGCTTTGAGGATTTCGTGGGAAACGGGATTGTCTTCAGGTAAAATCTAGACAGAAGCATTCTCAGAAACTTCTTTGGGATGTTTGCATTCAAGTCACAGAGTAGAACATTCCCTTTGGTAGAGCAGGTTTGAAACACTCTTTTTGTAGTATCTGGAAGTGGACATTTGGAGCGCTTTCAGGCCCATGTTGGAAAGGGAAATATCTTCCCGTAACAACTAGGCAGAAGCATTCTCAGAAACTTATTTGAGATGTGTGTACTCAACTAAGAGAATTGAACCACCGTTTTGAAGGAGCAGTTTTGAAACCCTCTTTTTCTGGAATCTGCAAGAGTATATTTGCCTAGCCTTGAGGATTTCGTTGGAAACGGGATTGTCTTCAGATAAAATCAAGATAGAAGCATTCTCAGAAACTTCTTTGGGATGTTTGCATTCAAGTCACAGAGTAGAACATTCCCTTTGGTAGAGCAGGTTTGAAACACTCTTTTTTTAGTATATGGAAGTGGACATTTGGAGCGCTTTCAGGCCTACGTTGGAAAAGGAAATATCTTCCCATAACAACTAGACAGAAGCATTCTCAGAAACTAGTTTCTGATGTGTGTCCTCAACTAACACAGTTGTACATTTCTTTAGACAGAACAGTTTTGAAACACTCTTTTTGTGGAATCTGCAAGTGGATATTGGGCTAGATTTGAGGATTTCGTTGGAAACGGGATTACATATAAAAAGCAGACAGCAGCATTCTCAGAAAGTTCTTTGTGATGATTGCATTCAAGTCACAGAATTGAACATTCCCTTTCACAGAGCAGGTTTGAAACACTCTTTTTGTAGTGTGTGTAAGTGGACATTTGGAGCGCTTTCCGGCCTAAGGTGAAAAAGGACATATCTTCCCATAAAAACTAGACAGAAGCATTCTCAGAAACTTACTCGTGATGTGTGTCCTCAACTAAAGGAGTAGAACCTTTCTATTCATAGAGAAGTTTTGAAACGCTCTTTTTGTGGAATCTCCAAGTGGATATTTGGCTAGTTTTGAGGATTTCGTTGGAAGCGGGAATTCATACAAATTGCAGACTGCAGCGTTATGAGAAACATCTTTGTGATGTTTGTATTCAGGACACAGAGAGGAACATTCCCTATCATAGAGCAGGTTGGAATCACTCCTTTTGTAGTATCTGGAAGTGGACATTTGGAGCGCTTTCAGGCCTATGTTGAAAAAGGAAATATCTTCCCATAACAACTAGACACAAGCATTCTCAGAAACTTGTTTGTGATGTGTGCCCTCTACTGACAGAGTTGAACCTTTCTTTTCATAGAGCAGTTTTGAAACACTCTTTTTGTAGAATCTGCAAGAGGATATTTGCATAGCTTTGAGGATTTCGTGGGAAACGGGATTGTCTTCAGGTAAAATCTAGACAGAAGCATTCTCAGAAACTTCTTTGGGATGTTTGCATTCAAGTCACAGAGTAGAACATTCCCTTTGGTAGAGCAGGTTTGCAACACTCTTTTTGTAGTATCTGGAAGTGGACATTTGGAGCGCTTTCAGGCCTATGTTGGAAAGGGAAATATCTTCCAGTAACAACTAGGCAGAAGCATTCTCAGAAACTTATTTGAGATGTGTGTACTCAACTAAGAGAATTGAACCACCGTTTTGAAGGAGCAGTTTTGAAACACTCTTTTTCTGGAATCTGCAAGAGTATATTTGCCTAGCCTTGAGGATTTCGTTGGAAACGGGATTGTATTCAGATAAAATCTAGACAGAAGCATTCTCAGAAACTTCTTTGGGATGTTTGTATTCAAGTCACAGAGTAGAACATTCCCTTTGGTAGAGCAGGTTTGAAACACTCTTTTTTTAGTATATGGAAGTGGACATTTTGATCGCTTTCAGGCCTACGTTGGAAAGGGAAATATCTTCCCATAACAACTAGACAGAAGCATTCTCAGAAACTAGTTTCTGATGTGTGTCCTCAACTAACACAGTTGAACATTTCTATAGACAGAACAGTTTTGAAACACTCTTTTTGTGGAATCTGCAAGTGGCTATTTGGCTAGATTTGAGGATTTCGTTGGAAACGGGATTACATATAAAAAGCAGTCAGCAGCATTCTCAGAAAGTTCTTTGTGATGATTGCATTCAAGTCACAGAATTGAACATTCCCTTTCACAGAGCAGGTTTGAAACACTCTTTTTGTAGTGTGTGTAAGTGGACATTTGGAACCCTTACCGGCCTAAGGTGAAAAAGGAAATATCTTCCCATAAAAACTAGACAGAAGCATTCTCAGAAACTTACTCGTGATGTGTGCCCTCAGCTAAAGGAGTAGAACCTTTCTTTTCATAGAGAAGTTTTGAAACGCTCTTTTTGTGGAATCTGCAAGTGGATATTTGGCTAGTTTTGAGGATTTTGTTGGAAGCGGGAATTCATACAAATTGCAGACTGCAGCGTTCTGAGAAACATCTTTGTGATGTTTGTATTCAGGACACAGAGTTGAACATTCCCTATCATAGAGCAGGTTTGAATCACTCCTTTTGTAGTATCTGGAAGTGGACATTTGGAGCGCTTTCAGGCCTATGTTGGAAAAGGAAATATCTTCCCATAACAACTAGACAGAAGCATTCTCAGAAACTTATTTGAGATGTGTGTACTCAACTAAGAGAATTGAACCACCGTTTTGAAGGAGCAGTTTTGAAACACTCTTTTTCTGGAATCTGCAAGTGGATATTTGGCTAGCTTTGGGGATTTCGCTGGAAGCGGGAATACATATAAAAAGCACACAGCAGCGTTCTGAGAAACTGCTTTCTGATGTTTGCATTCAAGTCAAAAGTTGAACACTCCCTTTCATAGAGCAGTCCTGAAACACCCCTTTTGTAGTATCTGGAACTGGACTTTTGGAGCGCTTTCAGGGCTAAGGTGAAAAAGGAAATATCTTCCCATAAAAACTGGACAGAAGGCATTCTCAGAAACTTGTTTATGCTGTATCTACTCAACTAACAAAGTTGAACCTTTCTTTTGATAGAGCAGTTTTGAAATGCTCTTTTTGTGGAATCTGCAAGTGGATATTTGGCTAGTTTTGAGGATTTCGTTGGAAGCGGGAATTCATACAAATTGCAGACTGCAGCGTTCTGAGAAACATCTTTGTGATGTTTGTATTCAGGACACAGAGTTGAACATTCCCTATCATAGAGCAGGTTGGAATCACTCCTTTTGTAGTATCTGGAAGTGGACATTTGGAGCGCTTTCAAGCCTATGTTGGAAAAGGAAATATCTTCCCATAACAACTAGACACAAGCATTCTCAGAAACTTGTTTGTGATGTGTGCCCTCTACTGACAGAGTTGAACCTTTCTTTTCATAGAGCAGTTTTGAAACACTCTTTTTGTAGAATCTGCAAGAGGATATTTGCATAGCTTTGAGGATTTCGTGGGAAACGGGATTGTCTTCAGGTAAAATCTAGACAGAAGCATTCTCAGAAACTTCTTTGGGATGTTTGCATTCAAGTCACAGAGTAGAACATTCCCTTTGGTAGAGCAGGTTTGAAACACTCTTTTTGTAGTATCTGGAAGTGGACATTTGGAGCGCTTTCAGGCCTATGTTGGAAAGGGAAATATCTTCCCGTAACAACTAGGCAGAAGCATTCTCAGAAACTTATTTGAGATGTGTGTACTCAACTAAGAGAATTGAACCACCGTTTTGAAGGAGCAGTTTTGAAACACTCTTTTTCTGGAATCTGCAAGAGGATATTTGCCTAGCCTTGAGGATTTCGTTGGAAACGGGATTGTCTTCAGATCAAATCTAGACAGAAGCATTCTCAGAAACTTCTTTGGGATGTTTGCATTCAAGTCACAGAGTAGAACATTCCCTTTGGTAGAGCAGGTTTCAAACACTCTTTTTTTAGTATATGGAAGTGGACATTTGGAGCGCTTTCAGGCCTACGTTGGAAAAGGAAATATCTTCCCATAACAACTAGACAGAAGCATTCTCAGAAACTAGTTTCTGATGTGTGTCCTCAACTAACACAGTTGAACATTTCTTTAGACAGAACAGTTTTGAAACACTCTTTTTGTGGAATCTGCAAGTGGATATTTGGCTAGATTTGAGGATTTCGTTGGAAACGGGATTACGTATAAAAAGCAGACAGCAGCATTCTCAGAAACTTCTTTGTGATGATTGCATTCAAGTCACAGAATTGAACATTCCCTTTCACAGAGCAGCTTTGAAACACTCTTTTTGTAGTGTGTGTAAGTGGACATTTGGAGCGCTTTCCGTCCTAAGATGAAGAAGGAAATATCTTTCCATAAAAACTAGACAGAAGCATTCTCAGAAACTTACTCGTGATGTGTGTCCTCAACTAAAGGAGTAGAACCTTTCTTTTCATAGAGAAGTTTTCAAACGCTCTTTTTGTGGAATCTGCAAGTGGATAATTGGCTTGTTTGGAGGATTTCGTTGGAAGCGGGAATTCATACAAATTGCAGACTGCAGCGTTCTGAGAAACATCTTTGTGATGTTTGTATTCAGGACACAGAGTTGAACATTCCCTATCATAGAGCAGGTTTGAATCACTCCTTTTCTAGTATCTGGAAGTGGACATTTGGAGCGCTTTCAGGCCTATGTTGGAAAAGGAAATATCTTCCCATAACAAATAGACAGAAGCATTCTCAGAAACTTATTTGAGATGGGTGTACTCAACTAAGAGAATTGAACCACCGTTTTCAAGGAGCAGTTTTGAAACGCTCTTTTTCTGGAATCTGCAAGTGGATATTTGGCTAGCTTTGGGGATTTCGCTGGAAGCGGGAATACATATAAAAAACACACAGCAGCGTTCTGAGAAACTGCTTTCTGATGTTTGCATTCAAGTCAAAAGTTGAACACTCCCTTTCATAGAGCAGTCTTGAAACACCCCTTTTGTAGTATCTGGAACTGGACTTTTGGAGCGATTTTAGGGCTAAGGTGAAAAAGGAAATATCTTCCCATAAAAACTGGACAGAAGCATTCTCAGAAACTTGTTTATGCTGTATCTACTCAACTAACAAAGTTGAACCTTTCTTTTGATAGAGCAGTTTTGAAATGGTCTTTTTGTGGAATCTGCAAGTGGATATTTGGCTAGTTTTGAGGATTTCGTTGGAAGCGGGAATTCATACAAATTGCAGACTGCAGCGTTCTGAGAAACATCTTTGTGATGTTTGTATTCAGGACACAGAGTTGAACATTCCCTATCATAGAGCAGGTTGGAATCACTCCTTTTGTAGTATCTGGAAGTGGACATTTGGAGCGCTTTCAGGCCTATTTTGGAAAGGGAAATATCTTCCCGTAACAACTATGCAGAAGCATTCTCAGAAACTTGTTTGTGATGTGTGCCCTCTACTGACAGAGTTGAACCTTTCTTTTCATAGAGCAGTTTTGAAACACTCTTTTTGTAGAATCTGCAAGAGGATATTTGCATAGCTTTGAGGATTTCGTGGGAAACGGGATTGTCTTCAGGTAAAATCTAGACAGAAGCATTCTCAGAAACTTCTTTGGGATGTTTGCATTCAAGTCACAGAGTAGAACATTCCCTTTGGTAGAGCAGGTTTGAAACACTCTTTTTGTAGTATCTGGAAGTGGACATTTGGAGCGCTTTCAGGCCCATGTTGGAAAAGGAAATATCTTCCCGTAACAACTAGGCAGAAGCATTCTCAGAAACTAGTTTCTGATGTGTGTCCTCAACTAACACAGTTGAACATTTCTTTAGACAGAACAGTTTTGAAACACTCTTTTTGTGGAATCTGCAAGTGGCTATTTGGCTAGATTTGAGGATTTCGTTGGAAACGGGATTACATATAAAAAGCAGTCAGCAGCATTCTCAGAAAGTTCTTTGTGATGATTGCATTCAAGTCACAGAATTGAACATTCCCTTTCACAGAGCAGGTTTGAAACACTCTTTTTGTAGTGTGTGTAAGTGGACATTTGGAGCACTTACCGGCCTAAGGTGAAAAAGGAAATAATCTTCCCATAAAAACTAGACAGAAGCATTCTCAGAAACTTACTCGTGATGTGTGTCCTCAACTAAAGGAGTAGAACCTTTCTTTTCATAGAGAAGTTTTGAAACGCTCTTTTTGTGGAATCTGCAAGTGGATATTTGGCTAGTTTTGAGGATTTCGTTGGAAGCGGGAATTCATACAAATTGCAGACTGCAGCGTTCTGAGAAACATCTTTGTGATGTTTGTATTCAGGACAGAGAGTTGAACATTCCCTATCATAGAGCAGGTTTGAATCACTCCTTTTGTAGTATCTGGAAGTGGACATTTGGAGCGCTTTCAGGCCTATGTTGGAAAAGGAAATATCTTCCCATAACAACTAGACAGAAGCATTCTCAGAAACTTATTTGAGATGTGTGTACTCAACTAAGAGAATTGAACCACCGTTTTGAAGGAGCAGTTTTGAAACACTCTTTTTCTGGAATCTGCAAGTGGATATTTGGCTAGCTTTGGGGATTTCGCTGGAAGCGGGAATACATATAAAAAGCACACAGCAGCGTTCTGAGAAACTGCTTTCTGATGTTTGCATTCAAGTCAAAAGTTGAACACTCCCTTTCATAGAGCAGTCCTGAAACACTCCTTTTGTAGTATCTGGAACTGGACTTTTGGAGCGCTTTCAGGGCTAAGGTGAAAAAGGAAATATCTTCCCATAAAAACTGGACAGAAGCATTCTCAGAAACATGTTTATGCTGTATCTACTCTACTAAAAAAGTTGAACCTTTCTTTTGATAGAGCAGTTTTGAAATGCTCTTTTTGTGGAATCTGCAATTGGATATTTGGCTAGATTTGAGGATTTCGTTGGAAGCTGGAATACATACAAATTGCAGACTGCAGCGTTCTGAGAAACATCTTTGTGATGTTTGTATTCAGGACACAGAGTTGAACATTCCCTATCATAGAGCAGGTTGGAATCACTCCTTTTGTAGTATCTGGAAGTGGACATTTGGAGCGCTTTCAGGCCTATGTTGAAAAAGGAAATATCTTCCCATAACAACTAGACACAAGCATTCTCAGAAACTTGTTTGTGATGTGTGCCCTCTACTGACAGAGTTGAACCTTTCTTTTCATAGAGCAGTTTTGAAACACTCTTTTTGTAGAATCTGCAAGAGGATATTTGCATAGCTTTGAGGATTTCGTGGGAAACGGGATTGTCTTCAGGTAAAATCTAGACAGAAGCATTCTCAGAAACTTCTTTGGGATGTTTGCATTCAAGTCACAGAGTAGAACATTCCCTTTGGTAGAGCAGGTTTGAAACACTCTTTTTGTAGTATCTGGAAGTGGACATTTGGAGCGCTTTCAGGCCTATGTTGGAAAGGGAAATATCTTCCCGTAACAACTAGGCAGAAGCATTCTCAGAAACTTATTTGAGATGTGTGTACTCAACTAAGAGAATTGAACCACCGTTTTGAAGGAGCAGTTTTGAAACACTCTTTTTCTGGAATCTGCAAGAGGATATTTGCCTAGCTTTGAGGATTTCGTTGGAAACGGGATTGTGTTCAGATCAAATCTAGACAGAAGCATTCTCAGAAACTTCTTTGGGATGTTTGCATTCAAGTCACAGAGTAGAACATTCCCTTTGGTAGAGCAGGTGTGAAACACTCTTTTTTTAGTATATGGAAGTGGACATTTGGAGCGCTTTCAGGCCTACGTTGGAAAAGGAAATATCTTCCCATAACAACTAGACAGAAGCATTCTCAGAAACTAGTTTCTGATGTGTGTCCTCAACTAACACAGTTGAACATTTCTTTAGACAGAACAGTTTTGAAACTCTCTTTTTGTGGAATCTGCAAGTGGCTATTTGGCTAGATTTGAGGATTTCGTTGGAAACGGGATTACATATAAAAAGCAGACAGCAGCATTCTCAGAAAGTTCTTTGTGATGATTGCATTCAAGTCACAGAATTGAACATTCCCTTTCACAGAGCAGGTTTGAAACACTCTTTTTGTAGTGTGTGTAAGTGGACATTTGGAGCACTTTCCGGCCTAAGGTGAAAAAGGAAATATCTTCCCATAAAAACTAGACAGAAGCATTCTCAGAAACTTACTCGTGATGTGTGTCCTCAACTAAAGGAGTAGAACCTTTCTTTTCATAGAGAAGTTTTGAAACGCTCTTTTTGTGGAATCTGCAAGTGGATATTTGGCTAGTTTGGAGGATTTCGTTGGAAGCGGGAATTCATACAAATTGCAGACTGCAGCGTTCTGAGAAACATCTCTGTGATGTTTGTATTCAGGACACAGAGTTGAACATTCCCTATCATAGAGCAGGTTTGAATCACTCCTTTTGTAGTATCTGGAAGTGGACATTTAGAGCGCTTTCAGGCCTATGTTGGAAAAGGAGATATCTTCCCATAACAACTAGACAGAAGCATTCTCAGAAACTTATTTGAGATGTGTGTACTCAACTAAGAGAATTGAACCACCGTTTTGAAGGAGCAGTTTTGAAACACTCTTTTTCTGGAATCTGCAAGTGGATATTTGGCTAGCTTTGGGGATTTCGCTGGAAGCGGGAATACATATAAAAAGCACACAGCAGCGTTCTGAGAAACTGCTTTCTGATGTTTGCATTCAAGTCAAAAGTTGAACACTCCCTTTCATAGAGCAGTCTTGAAACACCCCTTTTGTAGTATCTGGAACTGGACTTTTGGAGCGATTTCAGGGCTAAGGTGAAAAAGGAAATATCTTCCCATAAAAACTGGACAGAAGCATTCTCAGAAACTTGGTTATGCTGTATCTACTCAACTAACAAAGTTGAACCTTTCTTTTGATAGAGCAGTTTTGAAATGGTCTTTTTGCGGAATCTGCAAGTGGATATTTGGCTAGTTTTGAGGATTTCGTTGGAAGCGGGAATTCATACAAATTGCAGACTGCAGCGTTCTGAGAAACATCTTTGTGATGTTTGTATTCAGGACACAGAGTTGAACATTCCCTATCATAGAGCAGGTTGGAATCACTCCTTTTGTAGTATCTGGAAGTGGACATTTGGAGCGCTTTCAGGCCTATTTTGGAAAGGGAAATATCTTCCCGTAACAACTATGCAGAAGCATTCTCAGAAACTTGTTTGTGATGTGTGCCCTCTACTGACAGAGTTGAACCTTTCTTTTCATAGAGCAGTTTTGAAACACTCTTTTTGTAGAATCTGCAAGAGGATATTTGCATAGCTTTGAGGATTTCGTGGGAAACGGGATTGTCTTCAGGTAAAATCTAGACAGAAGCATTCTCAGAAACTTCTTTGGGATGTTTGCATTCAAGTCACAGAGTAGAACATTCCCTTTGGTAGAGCAGGTTTGAAACACTCTTTTTGTAGTATCTGGAAGTGGACATTTGGAGCGCTTTCAGGCCCATGTTGGAAAGGGAAATATCTTCCCGTAACAACTAGGCAGAAGCATTCTCAGAAACTTATTTGAGATGTGTGTACTCAACTAAGAGAATTGAACCACCGTTTTGAAGGAGCAGTTTTGAAACACTCTTTTTCTGGAATCTGCAAGAGTATATTTGCCTAGCCTTGAGGATTTCGTTGGAAACGGGATTGTCTTCAGAGACAATCTAGACAGAAGCATTCTCAGAAACTTCTTTGGGATGTTTGCATTCAAGTAACAGAGGAGAACATTCCCTTTGGTAGAGCAGGTTTGAAACACACTTTTTGTAGTATCTGGAAGTGGACATTTGGAGGGCTTTCAGGCCTACGTTGGAAAAGGAAATATCTTCCCATAACAACTAGACAGAAGCCTTCTCAGAAACTAGTTTCTGATGTGTGTCCTCAACTAACAGAGTTGAACCTTTCTTTTGACAGAACAGTTTAGAAACACTCTTTTTGAGGAATCTGCAAGTGGACATTTGGCTAGATTTGAGGATTTCGTTGGAAACGGGATTACATATAAAAAGCAGACAGCAGCATTCTCAGAAACTTCTTTGTGGTGGTTGCATTCAAGTCACAGAATTGAACATTCCCTTTCACAGAGCAGGTTTGAAACACTCTTTTGTAGTGTCTGTAAGTGGACATTTGGAGCGCTTTCCGGCCTCAGGTGAAAAAGGAAATATCTTCCCATAAAAACTAGACAGAAGCATTCTCAGAAACTGACTGGTGATGTGTGTCCTCAACTAAAGGAGTAGAACCTTTCTTTTCATAGAGAAGTTTTGAAACGCTCTTTTTGTGGAATCTGCAAGTGGATATTTGGCTAGTTTTGAGGATTTCGTTGGAATCGAGAATTCATACAAATTGCAGACTGCAGCGTTCTGAGAAACTGCTTTCTGATGTTTGCATTCAAGTCAAAAGTTGAACACTCCCTTTCATAGAGCAGTCTTGAAACACCCCTTTTGTAGTATCTGGACCTGGACTTTTGGAGCGATTTCAGGGCTAAGGTGAAAAAGGAAATATCTTCCCATAAAAACTGGACAGAAGCATTCTCAGAAACCTATTTGAGATGTGTGTACTCAACTAGGAGAATTGAACCACCGTTTTGAAGGAGCAGTTTTGAAACACTCTTTTTCTAGGATCTGCAAGTGGATATTTGGGTAGCTTTGGGGATTTCGCTGGAAGCGGGAATACATATAAAAAGCACACAGCAGCGTTCTGAGAAACTGCTTTCTGATGTTTGCATTCAAGTCAAAAGTTGAACAGTCCCTTTCATAGAGCAGGCCTGAAACACCCCTTTTGTAGTATCTGGAAGTGGACATTGGGAGCGCTTTCAGGGCTAAGGTGAAAAACGAAATATCTTCCCATAAAAACTGGACAGAAGCATTCTCAGAAACTTGTCCATGCTGTATCTACTCAACTAACAAAGTTGAACCTTTCTTTTGATAGAGCAGTTTTGAAATGCTCTTTTTCTGGAATCTGCAAGTGGATATTTGGCTAGTTTTGAGGATTTCGTTGGAAGCGGGAATTCATACAAATTGCAGACTGCAGCGTTCTGAGAAACAACTTGGTGATGTTTGTATTCAGGACACAGAGTTGGACATTCCCTATCGTAGAGCAGGTTGGAATCACTCCTTTTGTAGTATCTGGAAGTGGACATTTGGAGCGCCTTCAGGCCTATGTTGAAAAAGGAAATATCTTCCCAAAACAACTAGACAGAAGCATTCTCAGAAACTTGTTTGAGATGTATGTACTCAACTAAGAGAATTGAACCACCGTTTTGAAGGAGCAGTTTTGAAACACTCTTTTTCCGGAATCTGCAAGTGGATATTTGGCTAGCTTTGGGGATTTCGCTGGAAACGGGAATACATATAAAAAGGACACAGCAGCGTTCTGAGAAACTGCTTTCTGATGTTTGCATTCAAGTCAAAAGTTGAACACTCCCTTTCATAGAGCAGTCTTGAAACACCCCTTTTCTAGTATCTGGAACTGGACATTTGGAGCGCTTTCAGGGCTAAGGTGAAAAAGGAAATATCTTCCCATAAAAACTGGACAGAAGCATTCTCAGAAACTTGTTTATGCTGTATCTACTCAACTAACAAAGTTGAACCTTTCTTTTGATAGAGCAGTTTTGAAATGCTCTTTTTGTGGAATCTGCAAGTGGATATTTGGCTAGTTTTGAGGATTTCGTTGGAAGCGGGAATTCATACAAATTGCAGACTGCAGCGTTCTGAGAAACATCTTTGTGATGTTTGTATTCAGGACACAGAGTTGAACATTCCCTATCATAGAGCAGGTTGGAATCACTCCTTTTGTAGTATCTGGAAGTGGACATTTGGAGCGCTTTCAGGCCTATGTTGAAAAAGGAAATATCTTCCCATAACAACTAGACACAAGCATTCTCAGAAACTTGTTTGTGATGTGTGCCCTCTACTGACAGAGTTGAACCTTTCTTTTCATAGAGCAGTTTTGAAACACTCTTTTTGTAGAATCTGCAAGAGGATATTTGCATAGCTTTGAGGATTTCGTGGGAAACGGGATTGTCTTCAGGTAAAATCTAGACAGAAGCATTCTCAGAAACTTCTTTGGGATGTTTGCATTCAAGTCACAGAGTAGAACATTCCCTTTGGTAGAGCAGGTTTGAAACACTCTTTTTGTAGTATCTGGAAGTGGACATTTGGAGCGCTTTCAGGCCTATGTTGGAAAGGGAAATATCTTCCCGTAACAACTAGGCAGAAGCATTCTCAGAAACTTATTTGAGATGTGTGTACTCAACTAAGAGAATTGAACCACCGTTTTGAAGGAGCAGTTTTGAAACACTCTTTTTCTGGAATCTGCAAGAGGATATTTGCCTAGCCTTGAGGATTTCGTTGGAAACGGGATTGTCTTCAGATCAAATCTAGACAGAAGCATTCTCAGAAACTTCTTTGGGATGTTTGCATTCAAGTCACAGAGTAGAACATTCCCTTTGGTAGAGCAGGTTTGAAACACTCTTTTTTTAGTATATGGAAGTGGACATTTGGAGCGCTTTCAGGCCTACGTTGGAAAAGGAAATATCTTCCCATAACAACTAGACAGAAGCATTCTCAGAAACTAGTTTCTGATGTGTGTCCTCAACTAACACAGTTGAACATTTCTTTAGACAGAACAGTTTTGAAACACTCTTTTTGTGGAATCTGCAAGTGGCTATTTGGCTAGATTTGAGGATTTCGTTGGAAACGGGATTACATATAAAAAGCAGACAGCAGCATTCTCAGAAAGTTCTTTGTGATGATTGCATTCAAGTCACAGAATTGAACATTCCCTTTCACAGAGCAGGTTTGAAACACTCTTTTTGTAGTGTGTGTAAGTGGACATTTGGAGCGCTTTCCGGCCTAAGGTGAACAAGGAAATATCTTCCCATAAAAACTAGACAGAAGCATTCTCAGAAACTTACTCGTGATGTGTGTCCTCAACTAAAGGAGTAGAACCTTTCTTTTCATAGAGAAGTTTTGAAACGCTCTTTTTGTGGAATCTGCAAGTGGATATTTGGCTAGTTTGGAGGATTTCGTTGGAAGCGGGAATTCATACAAGATGCAGACTGCAGCGTTCTGAGAAACATCTTTGTGATGTTTGTATTCAGGACACAGAGTTGAACATTCCCTATCATAGAGCAGGTTTGAATCACTCCTTTTGTAGTATCTGGAAGTGGACATTTGGAGCGCTTTCAGGCCTATGTTGGAAAAGGAAATATCTTCCCATAACAACTAGACAGAAGCATTCCCAGAAACTTATTTGAGATGTGTGTACTCAACTAAGAGAATTGAACCACCGTTTTGAAGGAGCAGTTTGGAAACACTCTTTTTCTGGAATCTGCAAGTGGATATTTGGCTAGCTTTGGGGATTTCGCTGGAAGCGGGAATACATATAAAAAGCACACAGCAGCGTTCTGAGAAACTGCTTTCTGATGTTTGCATTCAAGTCAAAAGTTGAACACTCCCTTTCATAGAGCAGTCTTGAAACACCCCTTTTGTAGTATCTGGAACTGGACATTTGGAGCGCTTTCAGGGCTAAGGTGAAAAAGGAAATATCTTCCCATAAAAACTGGACAGAAGCATTCTCAGAAACTTGTTTATGCTGTATCTGCTCAACTAACAAAGTTGAACCTTTCTTTTGATAGAGCAGTTTTGAAATGCTCTTTTTGTGGAATCTGCAAGTGGATATTTGGCTAGTTTTGAGGATTTCGTTGGAAGCGGGAATTCATACAAATTGCAGACTGCAGCGTTCTGAGAAACATCTTTGTGATGTTTGTACTCAGGACACAGAGTTGAACATTCCCTATCATAGAGCAGGTTGGGATCACTCCTTTTGTAGTATCTGGAAGTGGACATTTGGAGCGCTTTCAGGCCTATGTTGAAAAAGGAAAAATCTTCCCATAACAACTAGACAGAAGCATTCTCAGAAACTTGTTGGTGATGTGTTTCCTCTACTGACAGAGTTGAACCTTTCTTTTCATAGAGCAGTTTCGAAACACTCTTTTTGTAGAATCTGCAAGAGGATATTTGCATAGCTCTGAGGATTTCGTGGGAAACGGGATTGTCTTCAGGTAAAATCTAGACAGAAGCATTCTCAGAAACTTCTTCGGGATGTTTGCATTCAAGTCACAGAGTAGAACATTCCCTTTGGTAGAGCAGGTTTGAAACACTCTTTTTGTAGTATCTGGAAGTGGACATTTGTTGCGCTTTCAGGCCTATGTTGGAAACGGAAATATCTTCCCGTAACAACTAGGCAGAAGCATTCTCAGAAACTTATTTGAGATGTGTGTACTCAACTAAGAGAATTGAACCACCGTTTTGAAGGAGCAGTTTGGAAACACTCTTTTTCTGGAATCTGCAAGAGGATATTTGCCTAGCTTTGAGGATTTCGTTGGAAAAGGGATTGTCTTCAGATCAAATCTAGACAGAAGCATTCTCAGAAACTTCTTTGGGATGTTTGCATTCAAGTCACAGAGTAGAACATTCCCTTTGGTAGAGCAGGTTTGAAACACTCTTTTTTTAGTATATGGAAGTGGACATTTGGAGCGCTTTCAGGCCTACGTTGGAAAAGGAAATATCTTCCCATAACAACTAGACAGAAAGCATTCTCAGAAACTAGTTTCTGATGTGTGTCCTCAACTAACACAGTTGAACATTTCTTTAGACAGAACAGTTTTGAAACACTCTTTTTGTGGAATCTGCAAGTGGCTATTTGGCTAGATTTGAGGATTTCGTTGGAAACGGGATTACATATAAAAAGCAGACAGCAGCATTCTCAGAAAGTTCTTTGTGATGATTGCATTCAAGTCACAGAATTGAACATTCCCTTTCACAGAGCAGGTTTGAAACACTCTTTTTGTAGTGTGTGTAAGTGGACATTTGGAGCACTTTCCGGCCTAAGGTGAAAAAGGAAATATCTTCCCATAAAAACTAGACAGAAGCATTCTCAGAAACTTACTCGTGATGTGTGTCCTCAACTAAAGGAGTAGAACCTTTCTTTTCATAGAGAAGTTTTGAAACGCTCTTTTTGTGGAATCTGCAAGTGGATATTTGGCTAGTTTTGAGGATTTCGTTGGAAGCGGGAATTCATACAAATTGCAGACTGCAGCGTTCTGAGAAACATCTTTGTGATGTTTGTATTCAGGACACAGAGTTGAACATTCCCTATCATAGAGCAGGTTTGAATCACTCCTTTTGTAGTATCTGGAAGTGGACATTTGGAGCGCTTTCAGGCCTATGTTGGAAAAGGAAATATCTTCCCATAACAACTAGACAGAAGCATTCTCAGAAACTTATTTGAGATGTGTGTACTCAACTAAGAGAATTGAACCACCGTTTTGAAGGAGCAGTTTTGAAACTCTCTTTTTCTGGAATCTGCAAGTGGATATTTGGCTAGCTTTGGGGATTTCGCTGGAAGCGGGAATACATATAAAAAGCACACAGCAGCGTTCTGAGAAACTGCTTTCTGATGTTTGCATTCAAGTCAAAAGTTGAACACTCCCTTTCATAGAGCAGTCCTGAAACACCCCTTTTGTAGTATCTGGAACTGGACTTTTGGAGCGATTTCAGGGCTAAGGTGAAAAAGGAAATATCTTCCCATAAAAACTGGACAGAAGCATTCTCAGAAACTTGTTTATGCTGTATCTACTCAACTAACAAAGTTGAACCTTTCTTTTGATAGAGCAGTTTTGAAATGGTCTTTTTGTGGAATCTGCAAGTGGATATTTGGCTAGTTTTGAGGATTTCGTTGGAAGCGGGAATTCATACAAATTGCAGACTGCAGCGTTCTGAGAAACATCTTTGTGATGTTTGTATTCAGGACAGAGAGTTGAACATTCCCTATCATAGAGCAGGTTGGAATCACTCCTTTTGTAGTATCTGGAAGTGGACATTTGGAGCGCTTTCAGGCCTATTTTGGAAAGGGAAATATCTTCCCGTAACAACTATGCAGAAGCATTCTCAGAAACTTGTTTGTGATGTGTGCCCTCTACTGACAGAGTTGAACCTTTCTTTTCATAGAGCAGTTTTGAAACACTCTTTTTGTAGAATCTGCAAGAGGATATTTGCATAGCTTTGAGGATTTCGTGGGAAACGGGATTGTCTTCAGGTAAAATCTAGACAGAAGCATTCTCAGAAACTTCTTTGGGATGTTTGCATTCAAGTCACAGAGTAGAACATTCCCTTTGGTAGAGCAGGTTTGAAACACTCTTTTTGTAGTATCTGGAAGTGGACATTTGGAGCGCTTTCAGGCCCATGTTGGAAAGGGAAATATCTTCCCGTAACAACTAGGCAGAAGCATTCTCAGAAACTTATTTGAGATGTGTGTACTCAACTAAGAGAATTGAACCACCGTTTTGAAGGAGCAGTTTTGAAACACTCTTTTTCTGGAATCTGCAAGAGTATATTTGCCTAGCCTTGAGGATTTCGTTGGAAACGGGATTGTCTTCAGAGAAAATCTAGACAGAAGCATTCTCAGAAACTTCTTTGGGATGTTTGCATTCAAGTCACAGAGTAGAACATTCCCTTTGGTAGAGCAGGTTTGAAACACTCTTTTTGTAGTATCTGGAAGTGGACATTTGGAGCGCTTTCAGGCCTACGTTGGAAAAGGAAATATCTTCCCATAACAACTAGACAGAAGCATTCTCAGAAACTAGTTTCTGATGTGTGTCCTCAACTAACACAGTTGAACATTTCTTTAGACAGAACAGTTTTGAAACACTCTTTTTGTGGAATCTGCAAGTGGCTATTTGGCTAGGTTTGAGGATTTCGTTGGAAACGGGATTACATATAAAAAGCAGTCAGCAGCATTCTCAGAAAGTTCTTTGTGATGATTGCATTCAAGTCACAGAATTGAACATTCCCTTTCACAGAGCAGGTTTGAAACACTCTTTTTGTATTGTGTGTAAGTGGACATTTGGAGCGCTTTCCGGGCTAAGGTGAAAAAGGAAATATCTTCCCATAAAAACTAGACAGAAGCATTCTCAGAAACTTACTCGTGATGTGTGTCCTCCACTAAAGGAGTAGAACCTTTCTATTTATAGAGAAGTTTTGAAACGCTCTTTTTGTGGAATCTCCAAGTGGATATTTGGCTAGTTTTGAGGATTTCCTTGGAAGCGGGAATTCATCCAAATTGCAGACTGCAGCGTTCTGAGAAACATCTTTGTGATGTTTGTATTCAGGACACAGAGATGAACATTCCCTATCATAGAGCAGGTTGGAATCACTCCTTTTGTAGTATCTGGAAGTGGACATTTGGAGCGCTTTCAGGCCTATGTTGAAAAAGGAAATATCTTCCCATAACAACTAGTCACAAGCATTCTCAGAAACTTGTTTGTGATGTGTGCCCTCTACTGACAGAGTTGAACCTTTCTTTTCATAGAGCAGTTTTGAAACACTCTTTTTGTAGAATCCGCAAGAGGATATTTGCATAACTTTGAGGATGTCGGGGGAAACGGGATTGTCTTCAGGTAAAATCTAGACAGAAGCATTCTCAGAAACTTCTTTGGGATGTTTGCATTCAAGTCACAGAGTAGAACATTCCCTTTGGTAGAGCAGGTTTGAAACACTCTTTTTGTAGTATCTGGAAGTGGACATTTGGAGCGCTTTCAGGCCCATGTTGGAAAGGGAAATATCTTCCCGTAACAACTAGGCAGAAGCATTCTCAGAAACTTATTTGAGATGTGTGTACTCAACTAAGAGAATTGAACCACCGTTTTGAAGGAGCAGTTTTGAAACACTCTTTTTCTGGAATCTGCAAGAGGATATTTGCCTAGCTTTGAGGATTTCATTGGAAACGGGATTGTGTTCAGATCAAATCTAGACAGAACATTCTCAGAAACTTCTTTGGGATGTTTGCATTCAAGTCACAGAGTAGAACATTCCCTTTGGTAGAGCAGGTGTGAAACACTCTTTTTTTAGTATATGGAAGTGGACATTTGGAGCGCTTTCAGGCCTACGTTGGAAAAGGAAATATCTTCCCATAACAACTAGACAGAAGCATTCTCAGAAACTAGTTTCTGATGTGTGTCCTCAACTAACACAGTTGAACATTTCTTTAGACAGAAGAGTTTTGAAACACTCTTTTTGTGGAATCTACAAGTGGATATTTGGCTAGATTTGAGGATTTCGTTGGAAACGGGATTACATATAAAAAGCAGACAGCAGCATTCTCAGAAAGTTCTTTGTGATGATTGCATTCAAATCACAGAATTGAACATTCCCTTTCACAGAGGAGGTTTGAAACACTCTTTTTGTAGTGTGTGTAAGTGGACATTTGGAGCGCTTTCCGGCCTAAGGTGAAAAAGGAAATATCTTCCCATAAAAACTAGACAGAAGCATTCTCAGAAACTTACTCGTGATGTGTGTCCTCAACTAAAGGAGTAGAACCTTTCTTTTCATAGAGAAGTTTTGAAACGCTCTTTTTGTGGAATCTGCAAGTGGATATTTGGCTAGTTTTGAGGATTTCGTTGGAAGCGGGAATTCATACAAATTGCAGACTGCAGCGTTCTGAGAAACATCTTTGTGATGTTTGTATTCAGGACACAGAGTTGAACATTCCCTATCATAGAGCAGGTTGGAATCACTCCTTTTGTAGTATCTGGAAGTGGACATTTGGAGCGCTTTCAGGCCTATGTTGGAAAAGGAAATATCTTCCCATAACAACTAGACAGAAGCATTCTCAGAAACTTATTTGAGATGTGTGTACTCAACTAAGAGAATTGAACCACCGTTTTGAAGGAGCAGTTTTGAAACTCTCTTTTTCTGGAATCTGCAAGTGGATATTTGGCTAGCTTTGGGGATTTCGCTGGAAGCGGGAATACATATAAAAAGCACACAGCAGCGTTCTGAGAAACTGCTTTCTGATGTTTGCATTCAAGTCAAAAGTTGAACACTCCCTTTCATAGAGCAGTCCTGAAACACCCCTTTTGTAGTATCTGGAACTGGACTTTTGGAGCGATTTCAGGGCTAAGGTGAAAAAGGAAATATCTTCCCATAAAAACTGGACAGAAGCATTCTCAGAAACTTGTTCATGCTGTATCTACTCTACTAAAAAAGTTGAACCTTTCTTTTGATAGAGCAGTTTTGAAATGCTCTTTTTGTGGAATCTGCAAGTGGATATTTGGCTAGATTTGAGGATTTCGTTGGAAGCTGGAATACATACAAATTGCAGACTGCAGCGTTCTGAGAAACATCTTTGTGATGTTTGTATTCAGGACACAGAGTTGAACATTCCCTATCATAGAGCAGGTTGGAATCACTCCTTTTGTAGTATCTGGAAGTGGACATTTGGAGCGCTTTCAGGCCTATGTTGAAAAAGGAAATATCTTCCCATAACAACTAGACACAAGCATTCTCAGAAACTTGTTTGTGATGTGTGCCCTCTACTGACAGAGTTGAACCTTTCTTTTCATAGAGCAGTTTTGAAACACTCTTTTTGTAGAATCTGCAAGAGGATATTTGCATAGCTTTGAGGATTTCGTGGGAAACGGGATTGTCTTCAGGTAAAATCTAGACAGAAGCATTCTCAGAAACTTCTTTGGGATGTTTGCATTCAAGTCACAGAGTAGAACATTCCCTTTGGTAGAGCAGGTTTCAAACACTCTTTTTGTAGTATCTGGAAGTGGACATTTGGAGCGCTTTCAGGCCTATGTTGGAAAGGGAAATATCTTCCCGTAACAACTAGGCAGAAGCATTCTCAGAAACTTATTTGAGATGTGTGTACTCAACTAAGAGAATTGAACCACCGTTTTGAAGGAGCAGTTTTGAAACACTCTTTTTCTGGAATCTGCAAGAGGATATTTGCCTAGCCTTGAGGATTTCGTTGGAAACGGGATTGTCTTCAGATCAAATCTAGACAGAAGCATTCTCAGAAACTTCTTTGGGATGTTTGCATTCAAGTCACAGAGTAGAACATTCCCTTTGGTAGAGCAGGTTTGAAACACTCTTTTTTTAGTATATGGAAGTGGACATTTGGAGCGCTTTCAGGCCTACGTTGGAAAAGGAAATATCTTCCCATAACAACTAGACAGAAGCATTCTCAGAAACTAGTTTCTGATGTGTGTCCTCAACTAACACAGTTGAACATTTCTTTAGACAGAACAGTTTTGAAACTCTCTTTTTGTGGAATCTGCAAGTGGCTATTTGGCTAGATTTGAGGATTTCGTTGGAAACGGGATTACATATAAAAAGCAGACAGCAGCATTCTCAGAAACTTCTTTGTGATGATTGCATTCAAGTCACAGAATTGAACATTCCCTTTCACAGAGCAGGTTTGAAACACTCTTTTTGTAGTGTGTGTAAGTGGACATTTGGAGCACTTTCCGGCCTAAGGTGAAAAAGGAAATATCTTCCCATAAAAACTAGACAGACAAGCATTCTCAGGAAACTTACTCGTGATGTGTGTCCTCAACTAAAGGAGTAGAACCTTTCTTTTCATAGAGAAGTTTTGAAACGCTCTTTTTGTGGAATCTGCAAGTGGATATTTGGCTAGTTTGGAGGATTTCGTTGGAAGCGGGAATTCATACAAATTGCAGACTGCAGCGTTCTGAGAAACATCTTTGTGATGTTTGTATTCAGGACACAGAGTTGAACATTCCCTATCATAGAGCAGGTTGGAATCACTCCTTTTGTAGTATCTGGAAGTGCACATTTGGAGCGCTTTCAGGCCTATGTTGGAAAAGGAAATATCTTCCCATAACAACTAGACAGAAGCATTCTCAGAAACTTATTTGAGATGTGTGTACTCAACTAAGAGAATTGAACCACCGTTTTGAAGGAGCAGTTTTGAAACACTCTTTTTCTGGAATCTGCAAGTGGATATTTGGCTAGCTTTGGGGATTTCGCTGGAAGCGGGAATACATATAAAAAGCACACAGCAGCGTTCTGAGAAACTGCTTTCTGATGTTTGCATTCAAGTCAAAAGTTGAACACTCCCTTTCATAGAGCAGTCCTGAAACACTCCTTTTGTAGTATCTGGAACTGGACATTTGGAGCGCTTTCAGGGCTAAGGTGAAAAAGGAAATATCTTCCCATAAAAACTGGACAGAAGCATTCTCAGAAACTTGTTTATGCTGTATCTACTCAACTAACAAAGTTGAACCTTTCTTTTGATAGAGCAGTTTTGAAATGCTCTTTTTGTGGAATCTGCAAGTGGATATTTGGCTAGTTTTGAGGATTTCGTTGGAAGCGGGAATTCAAACAAATTGCAGACTGCAGCGTTCTGAGAAACATCTTTGTGATGTTTGTATTCAGGACACAGAGTTGAACATTCCCTATCATAGAGCAGGTTGGAATCACTCCTTTTGTAGTATCTGGAAGTGGACATTTGGAGCGCTTTCAGGCCTATTTTGGAAAGGGAAATATCTTCCCGTAACAACTATGCAGAAGCATTCTCAGAAACTTGTTTGTGATGTGTGCCCTCTACTGACAGAGTTGAACCTTTCTTTTCATAGAGCAGTTTTGAAACACTCTTTTTGTAGAATCTGCAAGAGGATATTTGCATAGCTTTGAGGATTTCGTGGGAAACGGGATTGTCTTCAGGTAAAATCTAGACAGAAGCATTCTCAGAAACTTCTTTGGGATGTTTGCATTCAAGTCACAGAGTAGAACATTCCCTTTGGTAGAGCAGGTTTGAAACACTCTTTTTGTAGTATCTGGAAGTGGACATTTGGAGCGCTTTCAGGCCCATGTTGGAAAGGGAAATATCTTCCCGTAACAACTAGGCAGAAGCATTCTCAGAAACTTATTTGAGATGTGTGTACTCAACTAAGAGAATTGAACCACCGTTTTGAAGGAGCAGTTTTGAAACACTCTTTTGCTGGAATCTGCAAGAGTATATTTGCCTAGCCTTGAGGATTTCGTTGGAAACGGGATTGTCTTCAGATAAAATCTAGACAGAAGCATTCTCAGAAACTTCTTTGGGATGTTTGCATTCAAGTCACAGAGTAGAACATTCCCTTTGGTAGAGCAGGTTTGAAACACTCTTTTTTTAGTATATGGAAGTGGACATTTGGAGCGCTTTCAGGCCTACGTTGGAAAAGGAAATATCTTCCCATAACAACTAGACAGAAGCATTCTCAGAAACTAGTTTCTGATGTGTGTCCTCAACTAACACAGTTGAACATTTCTTTAGACAGAACAGTTTTGAAACACTCTTTTTGTGGAATCTGCAAGTGGCTATTTGGCTAGATTTGAGGATTTCGTTGGAAACGGGATTACATATAAAAAGCAGTCAGCAGCATTCTCAGAAAGTTCTTTGTGATGATTGCATTCAAGTCACAGAATTGAACATTCCCTTTCACAGAGCAGGTTTGAAACACTCTTTTTGTAGTGTGTGTAAGTGGACATTTGGAGCACTTACCGGCCTAAGGTGAAAAAGGAAATATCTTCCCATAAAAACTAGACAGAAGCATTCTCAGAAACTTACTCGTGATGTGTGTCCTCAACTAAAGGAGTAGAACCTTTCTTTTCATAGAGAAGTTTTGAAACGCTCTTTTTGTGGAATCTGCAAGTGGATATTTGGCTAGTTTTGAGGATTTCGTTGGAAGCGGGAATTCATACAAATTGCAGACTGCAGCGTTCTGAGAAACATCTTTGTGATGTTTGTATTCAGGACACAGAGTTGAACATTCCCTATCATAGAGCAGGTTTGAATCACTCCTTTTGTAGTATCTGGAAGTGGACATTTGGAGCGCTTTCAGGCCCTATGTTGGAAAAGGAAATATCTTCCCATAACAACTAGACAGAAGCATTCTCAGAAACTACTTTGTGATGTGTGCCCTCTACTGACAGAGTTGAACCTTTCTTTTCATAGAGCAGTTTCGAAACACTCTTTTTCTAGAATCTGCAAGAGGATATTTGCATAGCTTTTAGGATTTCTTTGGAAACGGGATTGTCTTCAGATAAAATCTAGACAGAAGCATTCTCAGAAACTTCTTTGGGATGTTTGCATTCAAGTCACAGAGTAGAACATTCCCTTTGGTAGAGCAGGTTTGAAACACTCTTTTTTTAGTTTATGGAAGTGGACATTTGGAGCGCTTTCAGGCCTACGTTGGAAAAGGAAATATCTTCCCATAAAAACTAGACAGAAGCATTCTCAGAAACTTACTCGTGATATGTGTCCTCAGCTAAAGGAGTAGAACCTTTCTTTTCATAGAGCAGTTTTGAAACACTCTTTTTGTAGAATCTGCAAGTGGATATTTCGATAGCTTTGTGGATTTCGTTGGAAACGGGAATATCTTCATATAAAATCTAGACAGAAGCATTCTCAGAAAGTTCTTTGTGATGATTGCATTCAAGTCACAGAATTGAACATTCCCTTTCACAGAGCAGGTTTGAAACACTCTTTTTGTAGTGTGTGTAAGTGGACATTTGGAGCACTTTCCGGCCTAAGGTGAAAAAGGAAATATCTTCCCATAAAAACTAGACAGAAGCACTCTCAGAAACTTACTCGTGATGTGTGTCCTCAACTAAAGGAGTAGAACCTTTCTTTTCATAGAGAAGTTTTGAAACGCTCTTTTTGTGGAATCTGCAAGTGGATATTTGGCTAGTTTGGAGGATTTCGTTGGAAGCGGGAATTCATACAAATTGCAGACTGCAGCGTTCTGAGAAACATCTTTGTGATGTTTGTATTCAGGACACAGAGTTGAACATTCCCTATCATAGAGCAGGTTTGAATCACTCCTTTTGTAGTATCTGGAAGTGGACATTTGGAGCGCTTTCAGGCCTATGTTGGAAAAGGAAATATCTTCCCATAACAACTAGACAGAAGCATTCTCAGAAACTTATTTGAGATGTGTGTACTCAACTAAGAGAATTGAACCACCGTTTTGAAGGAGCAGTTTTGAAACACTCTTTTTCTGGAATCTGCAAGTGGATATTTGGCTAGCTTTCGGGATTTCGCTGGAAGCGGGAATACATATAAAAAGCACACAGCAGCGTTCTGAGAAACTGCTTTCTGATGTTTGCATTCAAGTCAAAAGTTGAACACTCCCTTTCATAGAGCAGTCCTGAAACACTCCTTTTGTAGTATCTGGAACTGGACTTTTGGAGCGCTTTCAGGGCTAAGGTGGAAAAGGAAATATCTTCCCATAAAAACTGGACAGAAGCATTCTCAGAAACTTGTTTATGCTGTATCTACTCAACTAACTAAGTTGAACCTTTCTTTTGATAGAGCAGTTTTGAAATGGTCTTTTTGTGGAATCTGCAAGTGGATATTTGGCTAGTTTTGAGGATTTCGTTGGAAGCGGGAATTCATACAAATTGCAGACTGCAGCGTTCTGAGAAACATCTTTGTGATGTTTGTATTCAGGACACAGAGTTGAACATTCCCTATCATAGAGCAGGTTTGAATCACTCCTTTTGTAGTATCTGGAAGTGGACATTTGGAGCGCTTTCAGGCCTATGTTGGAAAAGGAAATATCTTCCCATAACAACTAGACAGAAGCATTCTCAGAAACTTATTTGAGATGTGTGTACTCAACTAAGAGAATTGAACCACCGTTTTGAAGGAGCAGTTTTGAAACACTCTTTTTCTGGAATCTGCAAGTGGATATTTGGCTAGCTTTGGGGATTTCGCTGGAAGCGGGAATACATATAAAAAGCACACAGCAGCGTTCTGAGAAACTGCTTTCTGATGTTTGCATTCAAGTCAAAAGTTGAACACTCCCTTTCATAGAGCAGTCCTGAAACACTCCTTTTGTAGTATCTGGAACTGGACTTTTGGAGCGCTTTCAGGGCTAAGGTGAAAAAGGAAATATCTTCCCATAAAAACTGGACAGAAGCATTCTCAGAAACTTACTCGTATTGTGTGTCCTCAACTAAAGGAGTAGAACCTTTCTTTTCATAGAGAAGTTTTGAAACGCTCTTTTTGTGGAATCTGCAAGTGGATATTTGGCTAGTTTTGAGGATTTCGTTGGAAGCGGGAATTCATACAAATTGCAGACTGCAGCGTTCTGAGAAACTGCTTTCTGATGTTTGCATTCAAGTCAAAAGTTGAACACTCCCTTTCATAGAGCAGTCCTGAAACACCCCTTTGGTAGTATCTGGAACTGGACTTTTGGAGCGATTTCAGGGCTAAGGTGAAAAAGGAAATATCTTCCCATAAAAACTGGACAGAAGCATTCTCAGAAACTTGTTTATGCTGTATCTACTCAACTAACAAAGTTGAACCTTTCTTTTGATAGAGCAGTTTTGAAATGGTCTTTTTGTGGAATCTGCAAGTGGATATTTGGCTAGTTTTGAGGATTTCGTTGGAAGCGGGAATTCATACAAATTGCAGACTGCAGCGTTCTGAGAAACATCTTTGTGATGTTTGTATTCAGGACACAGAGTTGAACATTCCCTATCATAGAGCAGGTTGGAATCACTCCTTTTGTAGTATCTGGAAGTGGACATTTGGAGCGCTTTCAGGCCTATGTTGAAAAAGGAAATATCTTCCCATAACAACTAGACACAAGCATTCTCAGAAACTTGTTTGTGATGTGTGCCCTCTACTGACAGAGTTGAACCTTTCTTTTCATAGAGCAGTTTTGAAACACTCTTTTTGTAGAATCTGCAAGAGGATATTTGCATAGCTTTGAGGATTTCGTGGGAAACGGGATTGTCTTCAGGTAAAATCTAGACAGAAAGCATTCTCAGAAACTTCTTTGGGATGTTTACATTCAAGTCACAGAGTAGAACATTCCCTTTGGTAGAGCAGGTTTGAAACCCTCTTTTTGTAGTATCTGGAAGTGGACATTTGGAGCGCTTTCTGGCCCATGTTGCAAAGGGAAATATCTTCCCGTAACAACTAGGCAGAAGCATTCTCAGAAACTTATTTGAGATGTGTGTACTCAACTAAGAGAATTGAACCACCGTTTTGAAGGAGCAGTTTTGAAACACTCTTTTTCTGGAATCTGCAAGAGGATATTTGCCTAGCCTTGAGGATTTCGTTGGAAACGGGATTGTCTTCAGATCAAATCTAGACAGAAGCATTCTCAGAAACTTCTTTGGGATGTTTGCATTCAAGTCACAGAGTAGAACATTCCCTTTGGTAGAGCAGGTTTGAAACACTCTTTTTTTAGTATATGGAAGTGGACATTGGGAGCGCTTTCAGGCCTACGTTGGAAAAGGAAATATCTTCCCATAACAACTAGACAGAAGCATTCTCAGAAACTAGTTTCTGATGTGTGTCCTCAACTAACACAGTTGAACATTTCTTTAGACAGAACAGTTTTGAAACACTCTTTTTGTGGAATCTGCAAGTGGCTATTTTGCTAGATTTGAGGATTTCGTTGGAAACGGGATTACATATAAAAAACAGACAGCAGCATTCTCAGAAAGTTCTTTGTGATGATTGCATTCAAGTCACAGAATTGAACATTCCCTTTCACAGAGCAGGTTTGAAACACTCTTTTTGTAGTGTGTGTAAGTGGACATTTGGAGCACTTTCCGGCCTAAGGTGAAAAAGGAAATATCTTCCCATAAAAACTAGACAGAAGCATTCTCAGAAACTTACTCGTGATGTGTGTCCTCAACTAAAGGAGTAGAACCTTTCTTTTCATAGAGAAGTTTTGAAACGCTCTTTTTGTGGAATCTGCAAGTGGATATTTGGCTAGTTTTGAGGATTTCGTTGGAAGCGGGAATTCATACAAATTGCAGACTGCAGCGTTCTGAGAAACATCTTTGTGATGTTTGTATTCAGGACACAGAGTTGAACATTCCCTATCATAGAGCAGGTTTGAATCACTCCTTTTGTAGTATCTGGAAGTGGACATTTGGAGCGCTTTCAGGCCTATGTTGGAAAAGGAAATATCTTCCCATAACAACTAGACAGAAGCATTCTCAGAAACTTATTTGAGATGTGTGTACTCAACTAAGAGAATTGAACCACCGTTTTGAAGGAGCAGTTTTGAAACACTCTTTTTCTGGAATCTGCAAGTGGATATTTGGCTAGCTTTGGGGATTTCGCTGGAAGCGGGAATACATATAAAAAGCACACAGCAGCGTTCTGAGAAACTGCTTTCTGATGTTTGCATTCAAGTCAAAAGTTGAACACTCCCTTTCATAGAGCAGTCTTGAAACACCCCTTTTGTAGTATCTGGAACTGGACTTTTGGAGCGATTTTAGGGCTAAGGTGAAAAAGGAAATATCTTCCCATAAAAACTGGACAGAAGCATTCTCAGAAACTTGTTTATGCTGTATCTACTCAACTAACAAAGTTGAACCTTTCTTTTGATAGAGCAGTTTTGAAATGGTCTTTTTGTGGAATCTGCAAGTGGATATTTGGCTAGTTTTGAGGATTTCGTTGGAAGCGGGAATTCATACAAATTGCAGACTGCAGCGTTCTGAGAAACATCTTTGTGATGTTTGTATTCAGGACACAGAGTTGAACATTCCCTATCATAGAGCAGGTTGGAATCACTCCTTTTGTAGTATCTGGAAGTGGACATTTGGAGCGCTTTCAGGCCTATTTTGGAAAGGGAAATATCTTCCCGTAACAACTATGCAGAAGCATTCTCAGAAACTTGTTTGTGATGTGTGCCCTCTACTGACAGAGTTGAACCTTTCTTTTCATAGAGCAGTTTTGAAACACTCTTTTTGTAGAATCTGCAAGAGGATATTTGCATAGCTTTGAGGATTTCGTGGGAAACGGGATTGTCTTCAGGTAAAATCTAGACAGAAGCATTCTCAGAAACTTCTTTGGGATGTTTGCATTCAAGTCACAGAGTAGAACATTCCCTTTGGTAGAGTAGGTTTGAAACACTCTTTTTGTAGTATCTGGAAGTGGACATTTGGAGCGCTTTCAGGCCCATGTTGGAAAAGGAAATATCTTCCTGTAACAACTAGGCAGAAGCATTCTCAGAAACTTATTTGAGATGTGTGTACTCAACTAAGAGAATTGAACCACCGTTTTGAAGGAGCAGTTTTGAAACACTCTTTTTCTGGAATCTGCAAGAGTATATTTGCCTAGCCTTGAGGATTTCGTTGGAAACGGGATTGTCTTCAGAGAAAATCTAGACAGAAGCATTCTCAGAAACTTCTTTGGGATGTTTGCATTCAAGTCACAGAGTAGAACATTCCCTTTGGTAGAGCAGGTTTGAAACACTCTTTTTTTAGTATATGGAAGTGGACATTTGGAGCGCTTTCAGGCCTACGTTGGAAAAGGAAATATCTTCCCATAACAACTAGACAGAAGCATTCTCAGAAACTAGTTTCTGATGTGTGTCCTCAACTAACACAGTTGAACATTTCTTTAGACAGAACAGTTTTGAAACAATCTCTTTGTGGAATCTGCAAGTGGCTATTTGGCTAGATTTGAGGATTTCGTTGGAAACGGGATTACATATAAAAAGCAGTCAGCAGCATTCTCAGAAAGTTCTTTGTGATGATTGCATTCAAGTCACAGAATTGAACATTCCCTTTCACAGAGCAGGTTTGAAACACTCTTTTTGTAGTGTGTGTAAGTGGACATTTGGAGCACTTACCGGCCTAAGGTGAAAAAGGAAATATCTTCCCATAAAAACTAGACAGAAGCATTCTCAGAAACTTACTCGTGATGTGTGTCCTCAACTAAAGGAGTAGAACCTTTCTATTCATAGAGAAGTTTTGAAACGCTCTTTTTGTGGAATCTGCAAGTGGTTATTTGGCTAGTTTTGAGGATTTCGTTGGAAGCGGGAATTCATACAAATTGCAGACTGCAGCGTTCTGAGAAACATCTTTGTGATGTTTGTATTCAGGACACAGAGTTGAACATTCCCTATCATAGAGCAGGTTTGAATCACTCCTTTTGTAGTATCTGGAAGTGGACATTTGGAACGCTTTCAGGCCTATGTTGGAAAAGGAAATATCTTCCCATAACAACTAGACAGAAGCATTCTCAGAAACTTATTTGAGATGTGTGTACTCAACTAAGAGAATTGAACCACCGTTTTGAAGGAGCAGTTTTGAAACTCTCTTTTTCTGGAATCTGCAAGTGGATATTTGGCTAGCTTTGGGGATTTCGCTGGAAGCGGGAATACATATAAAAAGCACACAGCAGCGTTCTGAGAAACTGCTTTCTGATGTTTGCATTCAAGTCAAAAGTTGAACACTCCCTTTCATAGAGCAGTCTTGAAACACCCCTTTTGTAGTATCTGGAACTGGACTTTTGGAGCGATTTCAGGGCTAAGGTGAAAAAGGAAATATCTTCCCATAAAAACTGGACAGAAGCATTCTCAGAAACTTGGTTATGCTGTATCTACTCAACTAACAAAGTTGAACCTTTCTTTTGATAGAGCAGTTTTGAAATGGTCTTTTTGTGGAATCTGCAAGTGGATATTTGGCTAGTTTTGAGGATTTCGTTGGAAGCGGGAATTCATACAAATTGCAGACTGCAGCGTTCTGAGAAACATCTTTGTGATGTTTGTATTCAGGACACAGAGTTGAACATTCCCTATCATAGAGCAGGTTGGAATCACTCCTTTTGTAGTATCTGGAAGTGGACATTTGGAGCGCTTTCAGGCCTATTTTGGAAAGGGAAATATCTTCCCGTAACAACTATGCAGAAGCATTCTCAGAAACTTGTTTGTGATGTGTGCCCTCTACTGACAGAGTTGAACCTTTCTTTTCATAGAGCAGTTTTGAAACACTCTTTTTGTAGAATCTGCAAGAGGATATTTGCATAGCTTTGAGGATTTCGTGGGAAACGGGATTGTCTTCAGGTAAAATCTAGACAGAAGCATTCTCAGAAACTTCTTTGGGATGTTTGCATTCAAGTCACAGAGTAGAACATTCCCTTTGGTAGAGCAGGTTTGAAACACTCTTTTTGTAGTATCTGGAAGTGGACATTTGGAGCGCTTTCAGGCCCATGTTGGAAAGGGAAATATCTTCCCGTAACAACTAGGCAGAAGCATTCTCAGAAACTTATTTGAGATGTGTGTACTCAACTAAGAGAATTGAACCACCGTTTTGAAGGAGCAGTTTTGAAACACTCTTTCTCTGGAATCTGCAAGAGTCTATTTGCCTAGCCTTGAGAATTTCGTTGGAAACGGGATTGTCTTCAGATCAAATCTAGACAGAAGCATTCTCAGAAACTTCTTTGGGATGTTTGCATTCAAGTCACAGAGTAGAACATTCCCTTTGGTAGAGCAGGTTTGAAACACTCTTTTTTTAGTATATGGAAGTGGACATTTGGAGCGCTTTCAGGCCTACGTTGGAAAAGGAAATATCTTCCCATAACAACTAGACAGAAGCATTCTCAGAAACTAGTTTCTGATGTGTGTCCTCAACTAACACAGTTGAACATTTCTTTAGACAGAACAGTTTTGAAACACTCTTTTTGTGGAATCTGCAAGTGGCTATTTTGCTAGATTTGAGGATTTCGTTGGAAACGGGATTACATATAAAAAGCAGTCAGCAGCATTCTCAGAAAGTTCTTTGTGATGATTGCATTCAAGTCACAGAATTGAACATTCCCTTTCACAGAGCAGGTTTGAAACACTCTTTTTGTAGTGTGTGTAAGTGGACATTTGGAGCACTTACCGGCCTAAGGTGAAAAAGGAAATATCTTCCCATAAAAACTAGACAGAAGCATTCTCAGAAACTTACTCGTGATGTGTGTCCTCAACTAAAGGAGTAGAACCTTTCTTTTCATAGAGAAGTTTTGAAACGCTCTTTTTGTGGAATCTGCAAGTGGATATTTGGCTAGTTTTGAGGATTTCGTTGGAAGCGGGAATTCATACAAATTGCAGACTGCAGCGTTCTGACAAACATCTTTGTGATGTTTGTATTCAGGACACAGAGTTGAACATTCCCTATCATAGAGCAGGTTTGAATCACTCCTTTTGTAGTATCTGGAAGTGGACATTTGGAGCGCTTTCAGGCCTATGTTGAAAAAGGAAATATCTTCCCATAACAACTAGACAGAAGCATTCTCAGAAACTCATTTGAGATGTGTGTACTCAACTAAGAGAATTGAACCACCGTTTTGAAGGAGCAGTTTTGAAACACTCTTTTTCTGGAATCTGCAAGTGGATATTTGGCTAGCTTTGGGGATTTCGCTGGAAGCGGGAATACATATAAAAAGCACACAGCAGCGTTCTGAGAAACTGCTTTCTGATGTTTGCATTCAAGTCAAAAGTTGAACACTCCCTTTCATAGAGCAGTCTTGAAACACTCCTTTTGTAGTATCTGGAACTGGACATTTCGGGCGCTTTCAGGGCTAAGGTGAAAAAGGAAATATCTTCCCATAAAAACTGGACAGAAGCATTCTGAGAAACTTGTTTATGCTGTATCTACTCAACTAACAAATTTGAACCTTTCTTTTGATAGAGCAGTTTTGAAATGGTCTTTTTGTGGAATCTGCAAGTGGATATTTGGCTAGTTTTGAGGATTTCGTTGGAAGCGGGAATTCATACAAATTGCACACTGCAGCGTTCTGAGAAACATCTTTGTGATGTTTGTATTCAGGACACAGAGTTGAACATTCCCTATCATAGAGCAGGTTGGAATCACTCCTTTTGTAGTATCTGGAAGTGGACATTTGGAGCGCTTTCAGGCCTATTTTGGAAAGGGAAATATCTTCCCATAACAACTATGCAGAAGCATTCTCAGAAACTTGTTTGTGATGTGTGCCCTCTACTGACAGAGTTGAACCTTTCTTTTCATAGAGCAGTTTTGAAACACTCTTTTTGTAGAATCTGCAAGAGGATATTTGCATAGCTTTGAGGATTTCGTGGGAAACGGGATTGTCTTCAGGTAAAATCTAGACAGAAGCATTCTCAGAAACTTCTTTGGGATGTTTGCATTCAAGTCACAGAGTAGAACACTCCCTTTGTTAGAGCAGGTTTGAAACCCTCCTTTTGTAGTATCTGGAAGTGGACATTTGGAGCGCTTTCAGGCCCATGTTGGAAAGGGAAATATCTTCCCGTAACAACTAGGCAGAAGCATTCTCAGAAACTTATTTGAGATGTGTGTACTCAACTAAGAGAATTGAACCACCGTTTGGAAGGCGCAGTTTTGAAACACTCTTTTTCTGGAATCTGCAAGAGTATATTTGCCTAGCCTTGAGGATTTCGTTGGAAACGGGATTGTCTTCAGATAAAATCTAGACAGAAGCATTCTCAGAAACTTCTTTGGGACGTTTGTATTCAAGTCACAGAGTAGAACATTCCCTTTGGTAGAGCAGGTTTGAAACACTCTTTTTTTAGTATATGGAAATGGACATTTGGAGCGCTTTCAGGCCTACGTTGGAAAAGGAAATATCTTCCCATAACAACTAGACAGAAGCATTCTCAGAAACTAGTTTCTGATGTGTGTCCTCAACTAACACAGTTGTACATTTCTTTAGACAGAACAGTTTTGAAACACTCTTTTTGTGGAATCTGCAAGTGGATACTGGGCTAGATTTGAGGATTTCGTTGGAAACGGGATTACATATAAAAAGCAGTCAGCAGCATTCTCAGAAAGTTCTTTGTGATGATTGCATTCAAGTCACAGAATTGAACATTCCCTTTCACAGAGCAGGTTTGAAACACTCTTTTTGTAGTGTGTGTAAGTGGACATTTGGAGCGCTTTCCGGCCTAAGGTGAAAAAGGACATATCTTCCCATAAAAACTAGACAGAAGCATTCTCAGAAACTTACTCGTGATGTGTGTCCTCAACTAAAGGTGTAGAACCTTTCTATTCATAGAGAAGTTTTGAAACGCTCTTTTTGTGGAATCTCCAAGTGGATATTTGGCTAGTTTTGAGGATTTCGTTGGAAGCGGGAATTCATACAATTTGCAGACTGCAGCGTTCTGAGAAACATCTTTGTGATGTTTGTATTCAGGACAGAGAGTTGAACATTCCCTATCATAGAGCAGGTTGGAATCACTCCTTTTGTAGTATCTGGAAGTGGACATTTGGAGCGCTTTCAGGCCTATGTTGAAAAAGGAAATATCTTCCCATAACAACTAGACACAAGCATTCTCAGAAACTTGTTTGTGATGTGTATCCTGTACTGACAGAGTTGAACCTTTCTTTTCATAGAGCAGTTTTGAAACACTCTTTTTGTAGAATCTGCAAGAGGATATTTGCATAGCTTTGAGGATTTCGTGGGAAACGGGATTGTCTTCAGGTAAAATCTAGACAGAAGCATTCTCAGAAACTTCTTTGGGATGTTTGCATTCAAGTCACAGAGTAGAACATTCCCTTTGGTAGAGCAGGTTTGAAACACTCTTTTTGTAGTATCTGGAAGTGGACATTTGGAGCGCTTTCAGGCCCATGTTGGAAAGGGAAATATCTTCCCGTAACAACTAGGCAGAAGCATTCTCAGAAACTTATTTGAGATGTGTGTACTCAACTAAGAGAATTGAACCACCGTTTTGAAGGAGAAGTTTTGAAACACTCTTTTTCTGGAATCTGCAAGAGTATATTTGCCTAGCCTTGAGGATTTCGTTGGAAACGGGATTGTCTTCAGATAAAATCTAGACAGAAGCATTCTCAGAAACTTCTTTGGGATGTTTGCATTCAAGTCACAGAGTAGAACATTCCCTTTGGTAGAGCAGGTTTGAAACACTCTTTTTGTAGTATATGGAAGTGGACATTTGGAGCGCTTTCAGGCCTACGTTGGAAAAGGAAATATCTTCCCATAACAACTAGACAGAAGCATTCTCAGAAACTAGTTTCTGATGTGTGTCCTCAACTAACACAGTTGAACATTTCTTTAGACAGAACAGTTTTGAAACACTCTTTTTGTGGAATCTGCAAGTGGCTATTTGGCTAGATTTGAGGATTTCGTTGGAAACGGGATTACATATAAAAAGCAGTCAGCGGCATTCTCAGAAAGTTCTTTGTGATGATTGCATTCAAGTCACAGAATTGAACATTCCCTTTCACAGAGCAGGTTTGAAACACTCTTTTTGTAGTGTGTGTAAGTGGACATTTGGAGCACTTACCGGCCTAAGGTGAAAAAGGAAATATCTTCCCATAAAAACTAGACAGAAGCATTCTCAGAAACTTACTCGTGATGTGTGTCCTCAACTAAAGGGGTAGAACCTTTCTTTTCATAGAGAAGTTTTGAAACGCTCTTTTTGTGGAATCTGCAAGTGGATATTTGGCTAGTTTTGAGGATTTCGTTGGAAGCGGGAATTCATACAAATTGCAGACTGCAGCGTTCTGAGAAACATCTTTGTGATGTTTGTATTCAGGACACAGAGTTGAACATTCCCTATCATAGAGCAGGTTTGAATCACTCCTTTTGTAGTATCTGGAAGTGGACATTTGGAGCGCTTTCAGGCCTATGTTGGAAAAGGAAATATCTTCCCATAACAACTAGACAGAAGCATTCTCAGAAACTTATTTGAGATGTGTGTACTCAACTAAGAGAATTGAACCACCGTTTTGAAGGAGCAGTTTTGAAACTCTCTTTTTCTGGAATCTGCAAGTGGATATTTGGCTAGCTTTGGGGATTTCGCTGGAAGCGGGAATACATATAAAAAGCACACAGCAGCGTTCTGAGAAACTGCTTTCTGATGTTTGCATTCAAGTCAAAAGTTGAACACTCCCTTTCATAGAGCAGTCTTGAAACACCCCTTTTGTAGTATCTGGAACTGGACTTTTGGAGCGATTTCAGGGCTAAGGTGAAAAAGGAAATATCTTCCCATAAAAACTGGACAGAAGCATTCTCAGAAACTTGTTTATGCTGTATCTACTCAACTAACAAAGTTGAACCTTTCTTTTGATAGAGCAGTTTTGAAATGGTCTTTTTGTGGAATCTGCAAGTGGATATTTGGCTAGTTTTGAGGATTTCGTTGGAAGCGGGAATTCATACAAATTGCAGACTGCAGCGTTCTGAGAAACATCTTTGTGATGTTTGTATTCAGGACACAGAGTTGAACATTCCCTATCATAGAGCAGGTTGGAATCACTCCTTTTGTAGTATCTGGAAGTGGACATTTGGAGCGCTTTCAGGCCTATTTTGGAAAGGGAAATATCTTCCCGTAACAACTATGCAGAAGCATTCTCAGAAACTTGTTTGTGATGTGTGCCCTCTACTGACAGAGTTGAACCTTTCTTTTCATAGAGCAGTTTTGAAACACTCTTTTTGTAGAATCTGCAAGAGGATATTTGCATAGCTTTGAGGATTTCGTGGGAAACGGGATTGTCTTCAGGTAAAAATCTAGACAGAAGCATTCTCAGAAACTTCTTTGGGATGTTTGCATTCAAGTCACAGAGTAGAACATTCCCTTTGGTAGAGCAGGTTTGAAACACTCTTTTTATAGTATCTGGAAGTGGACATTTGGAGCGCTTTCAGGCCTATGTTGGAAAGGGAAATATACTTCCCGTAACAACTAGGCAGAAGCATTCTCAGAAACTTATTTGAGATGTGTGTACTCAACTAAGAGAATTGAACCACCGTTTTGAAGGAGCAGTTTTGAAACACTCTTTTTCTGGAATCTGCAAGAGGATATTTGCCTAGCTTTGAGGATTTCGTTGGAAACGGGATTGTGTTCAGATCAAATCTAGACAGAAGCATTCTCAGAAACTTCTTTGGGATGTTTGCATTCAAGTCACAGAGTAGAACATTCCCTTTGGTAGAGCAGGTGTGAAACACTCTTTTTTTAGTATATGGAAGTGGACATTTGGAGCGCTTTCAGGCCTACGTTGGAAAAGGAAATATCTTCCCATAACAACTAGACAGAAGCATTCTCAGAAACTAGTTTCTGATGTGTGTCCTCAACTAACACAGTTGAACATTTCTTTAGACAGAACAGTTTTGAAACTCTCTTTTTGTGGAATCTGCAAGTGGCTATTTGGCTAGATTTGAGGATTTCGTTGGAAACGGGATTACATATAAAAAGCAGACAGCAGCATTCTCAGAAAGTTCTTTGTGATGATTGCATTCAAGTCACAGAATTGAACATTCCCTTTCACAGAGCAGGTTTGAAACACTCTTTTTGTAGTGTGTGTAAGTGGACATTTGGAGCACTTTCCGGCCTAAGGTGAGAAAGGAAATATCTTCCCATAAAAACTAGACAGAAGCATTCTCAGAAACTTACTCTTGATGTGTGTCCTCAACTAAAGGAGTAGAACCTTTCTTTCATAGAGAAGTTTTGAAACGCTCTTTTTGTGGAATCTGCAAGTGGATATTTGGCTAGTTTGGAGGATTTCGTTGGAAGCGGGAATTCATACAAATTGCAGACTGCAGCGTTCTGAGAAACATCTTTGTGATGTTTGTATTCAGGACACAGAGTTGAACATTCCCTATCATAGAGCAGGTTGGAATCACTCCTTTTGTAGTATCTGGAAGTGGACATTTGGAGCGCTTTCAGGCCTATGTTGGAAAAGGAAATATCTTCCCATAACAACTAGACAGAAGCATTCTCAGAAACTTATTTGAGATGTGTGTACTCAACTAAGAGAATTGAACCACCGTTTTGAAGGAGCAGTTTTGAAACACTCTTTTTCTGGAATCTGCAAGTGGATATTTGGCTAGCTTTGGGGATTTCGCTGGAAGCGGGAATACATATAAAAAGCACACAGCAGCGTTCTGAGAAACTGCTTTCTGATGTTTGCATTCAAGTCAAAAGTTGAACACTCCCTTTCATAGAGCAGTCCTGAAACACTCCTTTTGTAGTATCTGGAACTGGACTTTTGGAGCGCTTTCAGGGCTAAGGTGAAAAAGGAAATATCTTCCCATAAAAACTGGACAGAAGCATTCTCAGAAACTTGTTTATGCTGTATCTACTCAACTAACAAAGTTGAACCTTTCTTTTGATAGAGCAGTTTTGAAATGCTCTTTTTGTGGAATCTGCAAGTGGATATTTGGCTAGTTTTGAGGATTTCGTTGGAAGCGGGAATTCATACAAATTGCAGACTGCAGCGTTCTGAGAAACATCTTTGTGATGTTTGTATTCAGGACACAGAGATGAACATTCCCTATCATAGAGCAGGTTGGAATCACTCCTTTTGTAGTATCTGGAAGTGGACATTTGGAGCGCTTTCAGGCCTATGTTGAAAAAGGAAATATCTTCCCATAACAACTAGACACAAGCATTCTCAGAAACTTGTTTGTGATGTGTGCCCTCTACTGACAGAGTTGAACCTTTCTTTTCATAGAGCAGTTTTGAAACACTCTTTTTGTAGAATCCGCAAGAGGATATTTGCATAGCTTTGAGGATTTCGTGGGAAACGGGATTGTCTTCAGGTAAAATGTAGACAGAAGCATTCTCAGAAACTTCTTTGGGATGTTTGCATTCAAGTCACAGAGTAGAACATTCCCTTTGGTAGAGCAGGTTTGAAACACTCTTTTTGTAGTATCTGGAAGTGGACATTTGGAGCGCTTTCAGGCCCATGTTGGAAAGGGAAATATCTTCCCGTAACAACTAGGCAGAAGCATTCTCAGAAACTTATTTGAGATGTGTGTACTCAACTAAGAGAATTGAACCACCGTTTTGAAGGAGCAGTTTTGAAACACTCTTTTTCTGGAATCTGCAAGAGTATATTTGCCTAGCCTTGAGGATTTCGTTGGAAACGGGATTGTCTTCAGAGAAAATCTAGACAGAAGCATTCTCAGAAACTTCTTTGGGATGTTTGCATTCAAGTCACAGAGTAGAACATTCCCTTTGGTAGAGCAGGTTTGAAACACTCTTTTTTTAGTATCTGGAAGTGGACATTTGGAGCGCTTTCAGGCCTACGTTGGAAAAGGAAATATCTTCCCATAACAACTAGACAGAAGCATTCTCAGAAACTAGTTTCTGATGTGTGTCCTCAACTAACACAGTTGAACATTTCTTTAGACAGAACAGTTTTGAAACACTCTTTTTGTGGAATCTGCAAGTGGCTATTTGGCTAGATTTGAGGATTTCGTTGGAAACGGGATTACATATAAAAAGCAGTCAGCAGCATTCTCAGAAAGTTCTTTGTGATGATTGCATTCAAGTCACAGAATTGAACATTCCCTTTCACAGAGCAGGTTTGAAACACTCTTTTTGTAGTGTGTGTAAGTGGACATTTGGAGCACTTACCGGCCTAAGGTGAAAAAGGAAATATCTTCCCATAAAAACTAGACAGAAGCATTCTCAGAAACTTACTCGTGATGTGTGTCCTCAACTAAAGGAGTAGAACCTTTCTTTTCATAGAGAAGTTTTGAAACGCTCTTTTTGTGGAATCTGCAAGTGGATATTTGGCTAGTTTTGAGGATTTCGTTGGAAGCGGGAATTCATACAAATTGCAGACTGCAGCGTTCTGAGAAACTGCTTTCTGATGTTTGCATTCAAGTCAAAAGTTGAACACTCCCTTTCATAGAGCAGTCCTGAAACACTCCTTTTGTAGTATCTGGAACTGGACTTTTGGAGCGCTTTCAGGGATAAGGTGAAAAAGGAAATATCTTCCCATAAAAACTGGACAGAAGCATTCTCAGAAACTTATTTGAGATGTGTGTACTCAACTAAGAGAATTGAACCACCGTTTTGAAGGAGCAGTTTTGAAACTCTCTTTTTCTGGAATCTGCAAGTGGATATTTGGCTAGCTTTGGGGATTTCGCTGGAAGCGGGAATACATATAAAAAGCACACAGCAGCGTTCTGAGAAACTGCTTTCTGATGTTTGCATTCAAGTCAAAAGTTGAACACTCCCTTTCATAGAGCAGTCTTGAAACACCCCTTTTGTAGTATCTGGAACTGGACTTTTGGAGCGATTTCAGGGCTAAGGTGAAAAAGGAAATATCTTCCCATAAAAACTGGACAGAAGCATTCTCAGAAACTTGGTTATGCTGTATCTACTCAACTAACAAAGTTGAACCTTTCTTTTGATAGAGCAGTTTTGAAATGGTCTTTTTGTGGAATCTGCAAGTGGATATTTGGCTAGTTTTGAGGATTTCGTTGGAAGCGGGAATTCATACAAATTGCAGACTGCAGCGTTCTGAGAAACATCTTTGTGATGTTTGTATTCAGGACAGAGAGTTGAACATTCCCTATCATAGAGCAGGTTGGAATCACTCCTTTTGTAGTATCTGGAAGTGGACATTTGGAGCGCTTTCAGGCCTATTTTGGAAAGGGAAATATCTTCCCGTAACAACTATGCAGAAGCATTCTCAGAAACTTGTTTGTGATGTGTGCCCTCTACTGACAGAGTTGAACCTTTCTTTTCATAGAGCAGTTTTGAAACACTCTTTTTGTAGAATCTGCAAGAGGATATTTGCATAGCTTTGAGGATTTCGTGGGAAACGGGATTGTCTTCAGGTAAAATCTAGACAGAAGCATTCTCAGAAACTTCTTTGGGATGTTTGCATTCAAGTCACAGAGTAGAACATTCCCTTTGGTAGAGCAGGTTTGAAACACTCTTTTTGTAGTATCTGGAAGTGGACATTTGGAGCGCTTTCAGGCCCATGTTGGAAAGGGAAATATCTTCCCGTAACAACTAGGCAGAAGCATTCTCAGAAACTTATTTGAGATGTGTGTACTCAACTAAGAGAATTGAACCACCGTTTTGAAGGAGCAGTTTTGAAACACTCTTTTTCTGGAATCTGCAAGAGTATATTTTCCTAGCCTTGAGGATTTCGTTGGAAACGGGATTGTCTTCAGATAAAATCTAGACAGAAGCATTCTCAGAAACTTCTTTGGGATGTTTGCATTCAAGTCACAGAGTAGAACATTCCCTTTGGTAGAGCAGGTTTGAAACACTCTTTTTTTAGTATATGGAAGTGGACATTTGGAGCGCTTTCAGGCCTACGTTGGAAAAGGAAATATCTTCCCATAACAACTAGACAGAAGCATTCTCAGAAACTAGTTTCTGATGTGTGTCCTCAACTAACACAGTTGAACATTTCTTTAGACAGAACAGTTTTGAAACACTCTTTTTGTGGAATCTGCAAGTGGCTATTTGGCTAGATTTGAGGATTTCGTTGGAAACGGGATTACATATAAAAAGCAGTCAGCAGCATTCTCAGAAAGTTCTTTGTGATGATTGCATTCAAGTCACAGAATTGAACATTCCCTTTCACAGAGCAGGTTTGAAACACTCTTTTTGTAGTGTGTGTAAGTGGACATTTGGAGCACTTACCGGCCTAAGGTGAAAAAGGAAATATCTTCCCATAAAAACTAGACAGAAGCATTCTCAGAAACTTACTCGTGATGTGTGTCCTCAACTAAAGGAGTAGAACCTTTCTTTTCATAGATAAGTTTTGAAACGCTCTTTTTGTGGAATCTGCAAGTGGATATTTGGCTAGTTTTGAGGATTTCGTTGGAAGCGGGAATTCATACAAATTGCAGACTGCCAGCGTTCTGAGAAACATCTTTGTGATGTTTGTATTCAGGACACAGAGTTGAACATTCCCTATCATAGAGCAGGTTTGAATCACTCCTTTTGTAGTATCTGGAAGTGGACATTTGGAGCGCTTTCAGGCCTATGTTGGAAAAGGAAATATCTTCCCATAACAACTAGACAGAAGCATTCTCAGAAACTTATTTGAGATGTGTGTACTCAACTAAGAGAATTGAACCACCGTTTTGAAGGAGCAGTTTTGAAACACTCTTTTTCTGGAATCTGCAAGTGGATATTTGGCTAGCTTTGGGGATTTCGCTGGAAGCGGGAATACATATAAAAAGCACACAGCAGCGTTCTGAGAAACTGCTTTCTGATGTTTGCATTCAAGTCAAAAGTTGAACACTCCCTTTCATAGAGCAGTCCTGAAACACTCCTTTTGTAGTATCTGGAACTGGACTTTTGGAGCGCTTTCAGGGCTAAGGTGAAAAAGGAAATATCTTCCCATAAAAACTGGACAGAAGCATTCTCAGAAACTTGTTTATGCTGTATCTACTCAACTAACAAAGAAGTTGAACCTTTCTTTTGATAGAGCAGTTTTGAAATACTCTTTTTGTGGAATCTGCAAGTGGATATTTGGCTAGTTTTGAGGATTTCGTTGGAAGCGGGAATTCATACAAATTGCAGACTGCAGCGTTCTGAGAAACATCTTTGTGATGTTTGTATTCAGGACACAGAGTTGAACATTCCCTATCATAGAGCAGGTTGGAATCACTCCTTTTGTAGTATCTGGAAGTGGACATTTGGAGCGCTTTCAGGCCTATTTTGGAAAGGGAAATATCTTCCCGTAACAACTATGCAGAAGCATTCTCAGAAACTTGTTTGTGATGTGTGCCCTCTACTGACAGAGTTGAACCTTTCTTTTCATAGAGCAGTTTTGAAACACTCTTTTTGTAGAATCTGCAAGAGGATATTTGCATAGCTTTGAGGATTTCGTGGGAAACGGGATTGTCTTCAGGTAAAATCTAGACAGAAGCATTCTCAGAAACTTCTTTGGGATGTTTGCATTCAAGTCACAGAGTAGAACATTCCCTTTGGTAGAGCAGGTTTGAAACACTCTTTTTGTAGTATCTGGAAGTGGACATTTGGAGCGCTTTCAGGCCCATGTTGGAAAGGGAAATATCTTCCCGTAACAACTAGGCAGAAGCATTCTCAGAAACTTATTTGAGATGTGTGTACTCAACTAAGAGAATTGAACCACCGTTTTGAAGGAGCAGTTTTGAAACACTCTTTTTCTGGAATCTGCAAGAGTATATTTGCCTAGCCATGAGGATTTCGTTGGAAACGGGATTGTCTTCAGAGAAAATCTAGACAGAAGCATTCTCAGAAACTTCTTTGGGATGTTTGCATTCAAGTCACAGAGTAGAACATTCCCTTTGGTAGAGCAGGTTTGAAACACTCTTTTTTTAGTATATGGAAGTGGACATTTGGAGCGCTTTCAGGCCTACGTTGGAAAAGGAAATATCTTCCCATAACAACTAGACAGAAGCATTCTCAGAAACTAGTTTCTGATGTGTGTCCTCAACTAACACAGTTGAACATTTCTTTAGACAGAACAGTTTTGAAACACTCTTTTTGTGGAATCTGCAAGAGGCTATTTGGCTAGATTTGAGGATTTCGTTGGAAACGGGATTACATATAAAAAGCAGTCAGCAGCATTCTCAGAAAGTTCTTTGTGATGATTGCATTCAAGTCACAGAATTGAACATTCCCTTTCACAGAGCAGGTTTGAAACACTCTTTTTGTAGTGTGTGTAAGTGGACATTTGGAGCACTTACCGGCCTAAGGTGAAAAAGGAAATATCTTCCCATAAAAACTAGACAGAAGCATTCTCAGAAACTTACTCGTGATGTGTGTCCTCAACTAAAGGAGTAGAACCTTTCTATTCATAGAGAAGTTTTGAAACGCTCTTTTTGTGGAATCTCCAAGTGGATATTTGGCTAGTTTTGAGGATTTCGTTGGAAGCGGGAATTCATACAAATTGCAGACTGCAGCGTTCTGAGAAACATCTTTGTGATGTTTGTATTCAGGACACAGAGATGAACATTCCCTATCATAGAGCAGGTTGGAATCACTCCTTTTGTAGTATCTGGAAGTGGACATTTGGAGCGCTTTCAGGCCTATGTTGAAAAAGGAAATATCTTCCCATAACAACTAGACACAAGCATTCTCAGAAACTTGTTTGTGATGTGTGCCCTCTACTGACACAGTTGAACCTTTCTTTTCATAGAGCACTTTCGAAACACTCTTTTTGAAGAATCTGCAAGAGGATATTTGCATAGCTTTGAGGATTTCGTTGGAAACGTGATTGTCTTCAGGTGAAATCTAGACAGAAGCATTCTCAGAAACTTCTTTGGGATGTTTGCATTCAAGTCACAGAGTAGAACATTCCCTTTGGTAGAGCAGGTTTGAAACACTCTTTTTGTAGTGTGTGTAAGTGGACATTTGGAGCGCTTTCAGGCCTACGTTGGAAAAGGAAATATCTTCCCATAACAACTAGACAGAAGCATTCTCAGAAACTAGTTTCTGATGTGTGTCCTCAACTAACACAGTTGAACATTTCTTTAGACAGAACAGTTTTGAAACACTCTTTTTGTGGAATCTGCAAGTGGATATTTGGCTAGATTTGAGGATTTCGTTGGAAACGGGATTACATATAAAAAGCAGACAGCAGCATTCTCAGAAACTTCTTTGTGATGATTGCATTCAAGTCACAGAATTGAACATTCCCTTTCACAGAGCAGGTTTGAAACACTCTTTTTCTAGTGTGTGTAAGTGGACATTTGGAGCGCTTTCCGGCCTAAGGTGAACAAGGAAATATCTTCCCATAAAAACTAGACTGAAGCATTCTCAGAAACTTACTCGTGATGTGTGTCCTCAACTAAAGGAGTAGAACCTTTCTTTTCATAGAGAAGTTTTGAAACGCTCTTTTTGTGGAATCTGCAAGTGGATATTTGGCTAGTTTGGAGGATTTCGTTGGAAGCGGGAATTCATACAAATTGCAGACTGCAGCGTTCTGAGAAACATCTTTGTGATGTTTGTATTCAGGACACAGAGATGAACATTCCCTATCATAGAGCAGGTTGGAATCACTCCTTTTGTAGTATCTGGAAGTGGACATTTGGAGCGCTTTCAGGCCTATGTTGAAAAAGGAAATATCTTCCCATAACAACTAGACACAAGCATTCTCAGAAACTTGTTTGTGATGTGTGCCCTCTACTGACAGAGTTGAACCTTTCTTTTCATAGAGCAGTTTTGAAACACTCTTTTTGTAGAATCCGCAAGAGGATATTTGCATAGCTTTGAGGATTTCGTGGGAAACGGGATTGTCTTCAGGTAAAATCTAGACAGAAGCATTCTCAGAGACTTCTTTGGGATGTTTGCATTCAAGTCACAGAGTAGAACATTCCCTTTGGTAGAGTAGGTTTGAAACACTCTTTTTGTAGTATCTGGAAGTGGACATTTGGAGCGCTTTCAGGCCCATGTTGGAAAGGGAAATATCTTCCCGTAACAACTAGGCAGAAGCATTCTCTGAAACTTTTTTGAGATGTGTGTACGCAACTAAGAGAATTGAACCACCGTTTTGAAGGAGCAGTTTTGAAACACTCTTTTTCTGGAATCTGCTAGACGATATTTGCCTAGCCTTGAGGATTTCGTTGGAAACGGGATTGTCTTCAGATAAAATCTAGACAGAAGCATTCTCAGAAACTTCTTTGGGATGTTTGTATTCAAGTCACAGAGTAGAACATTCCCTTTGGTAGAGCAGGTTTGAAACACTCTTTTTTTAGTATATGGAAATGGACATTTGGAGCGCTTTCAGGCCTACGTTGGAAAAGGAAATATCTTCCCATAACAACTAGACAGAAGCATTCTCAGAAACTAGTTTCTGATGTGTGTCCTCAACTAACACAGTTGAACTTTTCTTTAGACAGAACAGTTTTGAAACACTCTTTTTGTGGAATCTGCAAGTGGATATTTGGCTAGATTTGAGGATTTCGTTGGAAACGGGATTACATATAAAAAGCAGACAGCAGCATTCTCAGAAAGTTCTTTGTGATGATTGCATTCAAGTCACAGAATTGAACATTCCCTTTCACAGAGCAGGTTTGAAACACTCTTTTTGTAGTGTGTGTAAGTGGACATTTGGAGCGCTTTCCGGCCTAAGGTGAAAAAGGAAATATCTTCCCATAAAAACTAGACAGAAGCATTCTCAGAAACTTACTCGTGATGTGTGTCCTCAACTAAAGGAGTAGAACCTTTCTATTCATAGAGAAGGTTTGAAACGCTCTTTTTGTGGAATCTCCAAGTGGATATTTGGCTAGTTTTGAGGATTTCGTTGGATGCGGGAATTCATACAAATTGCAGACTGCAGCGTTCTGAGAAACATGTTTGTGATGTTTGTATTCAGGACACAGAGATGAACATTCCCTATCATAGAGCAGGTTGGAATCACTCCTTTTGTAGTATCTGGAAGTGGACATTTGGAGCGCTTTCAGGCCTATGTTGAAAAAGGAAATATCTTCCCATAACAACTAGACACAAGCATTCTCAGAAACTTGTTTGTGATGTGTGCCCTCTGCTGACAGAGTTGAACCATTCTTTTCATAGAGCAGTTTTGAAACACTCTTTTTGTAGAATCTGCAAGAGGATATTTGCATAGCTTTGAGGATTTCGTGGGAAACGGGATTGTCTTCAGGTAAAATCTAGACAGAAGCATTCTCAGAAAATTCTTCGGGATGTTTGCATTCAAGTCACAGAGTAGAACATTCCCTTTGGTAGAGCAGGTTTGAAACACTCTTTTTGTAGTATCTGGAAGTGGACATTTGGAGCGCTTTCAGGCCTATGTTGGAAAGGGAAATATCTTCCCGTAACAACTAGGCAGAAGCATTCTCAGAAACTTATTTGAGATGTGTGTACTGAACTAAGAGAATTGAACCACCGTTTTGAAGGAGCAGGTTTGAAACACTCTTTTTGTAGTATCTGGAAGTGGACATTTGGAGCGCTTTCAGGCCTATGTTGGAAAGGGAAATATCTTCCCGTAACAACTAGGCAGAAGCATTCTCAGAAACTTATTTGAGATGTGTGTACTCAACTAAGAGAATTGAACCACCGTTTTGAAGGAGCAGTTTTGAAACACTCTTTTTCTGGAATCTGCAAGAGGATATTTGCATAGATTTGAGGATTTCGTTGGAAACGGGATTGTCTTCAGTTGAAATCTAGACAGAAGCATTCTCAGAAACTTCTTTGGGATGTTTGCATTCAAGTCACAGAGTAGAACATTCCCTTTGGTAGAGCAGGTTTGAAACACTCTTTTTTTAGTATATGGAAGTGGACATTTGGAGCGCTTTCAGGCCTACGTTGGAAAAGGAAATATCTTCCCATAACAACTAGACAGAAGCATTCTCAGAAACTAGTTTCTGATGTGTGTCCTCAACTAACACAGTTGTACATTTCTTTATACAGAACAGTTTTGAAACACTCTTTTTGTGGAATCTGCAAGTGGATATTGGGCTAGATTTGAGGATTTCGTTGGAAACGGGATTACATATAAAAAGCAGACAGCAGCATTCTCAGAAAGTTCTTTGTGATGATTGCATTCAAGTCACAGAATTGAACATTCCCTTTCACAGAGCAGGTTTGAAACACTCTTTTTGTAGTGTGTGTAAGTGGACATTTGGAGCGCTTTCCGGCCTAAGGTGAAAAAGGAAATATCTTCCCATAAAAACTAGACAGAAGCATTCTCAGAAACTTACTCGTGATGTGTGTCCTCAACTAAAGGAGTAGAACATTTCTATTCATAGAGAAGTTTTGAAACGCTCTTTTTGTGGAATCTCCAAGTGGATATTTGGCTAGTTTTGAGGATTTCGTTGGAAGCGGGAATTCATACAAATTGCAGACTGCAGCGTTCTGAGAATCATCTTTGTGATGTTTGTATTCAGGACACAGAGATGAACATTCCCTATCATAGAGCAGGTTGGAATCACTCCTTTTGTAGTATCCGGAAGTGGACATTTGGAGCGCTTTCAGTCCTATGTTGAAAAAGGAAATATCTTCCCATAACAACTAGACACAAGCATTCTCAGAAACTTGTTTGTGATGTGTGCCCTCTACTGACAGAGTTGAACCTTTCTTTTCATAGAGCAGTTTTGAAACACTCTTTTTGTAGAATCTGCAAGAGGATATTTGCATAGCTTTGAGGATTTCGTGGGAAACGGGATTGTCTTCAGGTAAAATCTAGACAGAAGCATTCTCAGAAACTTCTTTGGGATGTTTGCATTCAAGTCACAGAGTAGAACATTCCCTTTGGTAGAGCAGGTTTGAAACACTCTTTTTGTAGTATCTGGAAGTGGACATTTGCAGCACTTTCAGGCCCATGTTGGAAAGGGAAATATCTTCCCGTAACAACTAGGCAGAAGCATTCTCTGAAACTTTTTTGAGATGTGTGTACTCAACTAAGAGAATTGAACCACCGTTTTGAAGGAGCAGTTTTGAAACACTCTTTTTCTGGAATCTGCTAGACGATATTTGCCTAGCCTTGAGGATTTCGTTGGAAACGGGATTGTCTTCAGATAAAATCTAGACAGAAGCATTCTCAGAAACTTCTTTGGGATGTTTGCATTCAAGTCACAGAGTAGAACATTCCCTTTGGTAGAGCAGGTTTGAAACACTCTTTTTTTAGTATATGGAAGTGGACATTTGGAGCGCTTTCAGGCCTACGTTGGAAAAGGAAATATCTTCCCATAACAACTAGACAGAAGCATTCTCAGAAACTAGTTTCTGATGTGTGTCCTCAACTAACACAGTTGAACATTTCTTTAGACAGAACAGTTTTGAAACACTCTTTTTGTGGAATCTGCAAGTGGCTATTTGGCTAGATTTGAGGATTTCGTTGGAAACGGGATTACATATAAAAAGCAGACAGCAGCATTCTCAGAAAGTTCTTTGTGATGATTGCATTCAAGTCACAGAATTGAACATTCCCTTTCACAGAGCAGGTTTGAAACACTCTTTTTGTAGTGTGTGTAAGTGGACATTTGGAGCACTTTCCGGCCTAAGGTGAAAAAGGAAATATCTTCCCATAAAAACTAGACAGATAAGCATTCTCAGCAAACTTACTCGTGATGTGTGTCCTCAACTAAAGGAGTAGAACCTTTCTTTTCATAGAGAAGTTTTGAAACGCTCTTTTTGTGGAATCTGCAAGTGGATATTTGGCTAGTTTTGAGGATTTCGTTGGAAGCGGGAATTCATACAAATTGCAGACTGCAGCGTTCTGAGAAACATCTTTGTGATGTTTGTATTCAGGACACAGAGTTGAACATTCCCTATCATAGAGCAGGTTTGAATCACTCCTTTTGTAGTATCTGGAAGTGGACATTTGGAGCGCTTTCAGGCCTATGTTGGAAAAGGAAATATCTTCCCATAACAACTAGACAGAAGCATTCTCAGAAACTTATTTGAGATGTGTGTACTCAACTAAGAGAATTGAACCACCGTTTTGAAGGAGCAGTTTTGAAACACTCTTTTTCTGGAATCTGCAAGTGGATATTTGGCTAGCTTTGGGGATTTCGCTGGAAGCGGGAATACATATAAAAAGCACACAGCAGCGTTCTGAGAAACTGCTTTCTGATGTTTGCATTCAAGTCAAAAGTTGAACACTCCCTTTCATAGTGCAGTCCTGAAACACTCCTTTTGTAGTATCTGGAACTGGACTTTTGGAGCGCTTTCAGGGCTAAGGTGAGAAAGGAAATATCTTCCCATAAAAACTGGACAGAAGCATTCTCAGAATCTTACTCGTGATGTGTGTCCTCAACTAAAGTAGTAGAACCTTTCTTTTCATAGAGAAGTTTTGAAACGCTCTTTTTGTGGAATCTGCAAGTGGGTATTTGGCTAGTTTTGAGGATTTCGTTGGAAGCGGGAATTCATACAAATTGCAGACTGCAGCGTTCTGAGAAACATCTTTGTGATGTTTGTATTCAGGACACAGAGTTGAACATTCCCTATCATAGAGCAGGTTGGAATCACTCCTTTTGTAGTATCTGGAAGTGGACATTTGGAGCGCTTTCAGGCCTATGTTGAAAAAGGAAATATCTTCCCATAACAACTAGACACAAGCATTCTCAGAAACTTATTTGAGATGTGTGTACTCAACTTAGAGAATTGAACCACCGTTTTGAAGGAGCAGTTTTGAAACACTCTTTTTCTGGAATCTGCAAGTGGATATTTGGCTAGCTTTGGGGATTTCGCTGGAAGCGGGAATACATATAAAAAGCACACAGCAGCGTTCTGAGAAACTGCTTTCTGATGTTTGCATTCAAGTCAAAAGTTGAACACTCCCTTTCATAGAGCAGTCTTGAAACACCCCTTTTGTAGTATCTGGAACTGGACTTTTGGAGCGATTTCAGGGCTAAGGTGAAAAAGGAAATATCTTCCCATAAAAACTGGACAGAAGCATTCTCAGAAACTTGTTTATGCTGTATCTACTCAACTAACAAAGTTGAACCTTTCTTTTGATAGAGCAGTTTTGAAATGGTCTTTTTGTGGAATCTGCAAGTGGATATTTGGCTAGTTTTGAGGATTTCGTTGGAAGCGGGAATTCATACAAATTGCAGACTGCAGCGTTCTGAGAAACATCTTTGTGATGTTTGTATTCAGGACACAGAGTTGAACATTCCCTATCATAGAGCAGGTTGGAATCACTCCTTTTGTAGTATCTGGAAGTGGACATTTGGAGCGCTTTCAGGCCTATTTTGGAAAGGGAAATATCTTCCCGTAACAACTATGCAGAAGCATTCTCAGAAACTTGTTTGTGATGTTGTGCCCTCTACTGACAGAGTTGAACCTTTCTTTTCATAGAGCACTTTTGAAACACTCTTTTTGTAGAATCTGCAAGAGGATATTTGCATAGCTTTGAGGATTTCGTGGGAAACGGGATTGTCTTCAGGTAAAATCTAGACAGAAGCATTCTCAGAAACTTCTTTGGGATGTTTGCATTCAAGTCACAGAGTAGAACATTCCCTTTGGTAGAGCAGGTTTGAAACACTCTTTTTGTAGTATCTGGAAGTGGACATTTGGAGCGCTTTCAGGCCCATGTTGGAAAGGGAAATATCTTCCCGTAACAACTAGGCAGAAGCATTCTCAGAAACTTATTTGAGATGTGTGTACTCAACTAAGAGAATTGAACCACCGTTTTGAAGGAGCAGTTTTGAAACACTCTTTTTCTGGAATCTGCAAGAGTATATTTGCCTAGCCTTGAGGATTTCGTTGGAAACGGGATTGTCTTCAGAGAAAATCTAGACAGAAGCATTCTCAGAAACTTCTTTGGGATGTTTGCATTCAAGTCACAGAGTAGAACATTCCCTTTGGTAGAGCAGGTTTGAAACACTCTTTTTTTAGTATATGGAAGTGGACATTTGGAGCGCTTTCAGGCCTACGTTGGAAAAGGAAATATCTTCCCATAACAACTAGACAGAAGCATTCTCAGAAACTAGTTTCTGATGTGTGTCCTCAACTAACACAGTTGAACATTTCTTTAGACAGAACAGTTTTGAAACACTCTTTTTGTGGAATCTGCAAGTGGCTATTTGGCTAGATTTGAGGATTTCGTTGGAAACGGGATTACATATAAAAAGCAGTCAGCAGCATTCTCAGAAAGTTCTTTGTGATGATTGTATTCAAGTCACAGAATTGAACATTACCTTTCACAGAGCAGGTTTGAAACACTCTTTTTGTAGTGTGTGTAAGTGGACATTTGGAGCACTTTCCGGCCTAAGTTGAAAAAGGAAATATCTTCCCATAAAAACTAGACAGAAGCATTCTCAGAAACTTACTCGTGATGTGTGTCCTCAACTAAAGGAGTAGAACCTTTCTTTTCATAGAGAAGTTTTGAAACGCTCTTTTTGTGGAATCTGCAAGTGGATATTTGGCTAGATTTGAGGATTTCGTTGGAAGCGGGAATTCATACAAATTGCAGACTGCAGCGTTCTGAGAAACTGCTTTCTGATGTTTGCATTCAAGTCAAAAGTTGAACACTCCCTTTCATAGAGCAGTCTTGAAACACCCCTTTTGTAGTATCTGGAACTGGACTTTTGGAGCGATTTCAGGGCTAAGGTGAAAAAGGAAATATCTTCCCATAAAAACTGGACAGAAGCATTCTCAGAAACTTGGTTATGCTGTATCTACTCAACTAACAAAGTTGAACCTTTCTTTTGATAGAGCAGTTTTGAAATGGTCTTTTTGTGGAATCTGCAAGTGGATATTTGGCTAGTTTTGAGGATTTCGTTGGAAGCGGGAATTCATACAAATTGCAGACTGCAGCGTTCTGAGAAACATCTTTGTGATGTTTGTATTCAGGACACAGAGTTGAACATTCCCTATCATAGAGCAGGTTGGAATCACTCCTTTTGTAGTATCTGGAAGTGGACATTTGGAGCGCTTTCAGGCCTATGTTGGAAAAGGAAATATCTTCCCATAACAACTAGACAGAAGCATTCTCAGAAACTTATTTGAGATGTGTGTACTCAACTAAGAGAATTGAACCACCGTTTTGAAGGAGCAGTTTTGAAACTCTCTTTTTCTGGAATCTGCAAGTGGATATTTGGCTAGCTTTGGGGATTTCGCTGGAAGCGGGAATACATATAAAAAGCACACAGCAGCGTTCTGAGAAACTGCTTTCTGATGTTTGCATTCAAGTCAAAAGTTGAACACTCCCTTTCATAGAGCAGTCTTGAAACACCCCTTTTGTAGTATCTGGAACTGGACTTTTGGAGCGATTTCAGGGCTAAGGTGAAAAAGGAAATATCTTCCCATAAAAACTGGACAGAAGCATTCTCAGAAACTTGTTTATGCTGTATCTACTCAACTAACAAAGTTGAACCTTTCTTTTGATAGAGCAGTTTTGAAATGGTCTTTTTGTGGAATCTGCAAGTGGATATTTGGCTAGTTTTGAGGATTTCGTTGGAAGCGGGAATTCATACAAATTGCAGACTGCAGCGTTCTGAGAAACATCTTTGTGATGTTTGTATTCAGGACACAGAGTTGAACATTCCCTATCATAGAGCAGGTTGGAATCACTCCTTTTGTAGTATCTGGAAGTGGACATTTGGAGCGCTTTCAGGCCTATGTTGAAAAAGGAAATATCTTCCCATAACAACTAGACACAAGCATTCTCAGAAACTTGTTTGTGATGTGTGCCCTCTACTGACAGAGTTGAACCTTTCTTTTCATAGAGCAGTTTTGAAACACTCTTTTTGTAGAATCTGCAAGAGGATATTTGCATAGCTTTGAGGATTTCGTGGGAAACGGGATTGTCTTCAGGTAAAATCTAGACAGAAGCATTCTCAGAAACTTCTTTGGGATGTTTGCATTCAAGTCACAGAGTAGAACATTCCCTTTGGTAGAGCAGGTTTGAAACACTCTTTTTGTAGTATCTGGAAGTGGACATTTGGAGCGCTTTCAGGCCCATGTTGGAAAGGGAAATATCTTCCCGTAACAACTAGGCAGAAGCATTCTCAGAAACTTATTTGAGATGTGTGTACTCAACTAAGAGAATTGAACCACCGTTTTGAAGGAGCAGTTTTGAAACACTCTTTTTCTGGAATCTGCAAGAGTATATTTGCCTAGCCTTGAGGATTTCGTTGGAAACGGGATTGTCTTCAGAGAAAATCTAGACAGAAGCATTCTCAGAAACTTCTTTGGGATGTTTGCATTCAAGTCACAGAGTAGAACATTCCCTTTGGTAGAGCAGGTTTGAAACACTCTTTTTTTAGTATATGGAAGTGGACATTTGGATCGCTTTCAGGCCTACGTTGGAAAAGGAAATATCTTCCCATAACAACTAGACAGAAGCATTCTCAGAAACTAGTTTCTGATGTGTGTCCTCAACTAACACAGTTGAACATTTCTTTAGACAGAACAGTTTTGAAACACTCTTTTTGTGGAATCTGCAAGTGGCTATTTTGCTAGATTTGAGGATTTCGTTGGAAACGGGATTACATATAAAAAGCAGTCAGCAGCATTCTCAGAAAGTTCTTTGTGATGATTGCATTCAAGTCACAGAATTGAACATTCCCTTTCACAGAGCAGGTTTGAAACACTCTTTTTGTAGTGTGTGTAAGTGGACATTTGGAGCACTTACCGGCCTAAGGTGAAAAAGGAAATATCTTCCCATAAAAACTAGACAGAAGCATTCTCAGAAACTTACTCGTGATGTGTGTCCTCAACTAAAGGAGTAGAACCTTTCTTTTCATAGAGAAGTTTTGAAACGCTCTTTTTGTGGAATCTGCAAGTGGATATTTGGCTAGTTTTGAGGATTTCGTTGGAAGCGGGAATTCATACAAATTGCAGACTGCAGCGTTCTGAGAAACATCTTTGTGATGTTTGTATTCAGGACACAGAGTTGAACATTCCCTATCATAGAGCAGGTTGGAATCACTCCTTTTGTAGTATCTGGAAGTGGACATTTGGAGCGCTTTCAGGCCTATGTTGGAAAAGGAAATATCTTCCCATAACAACTAGACAGAAGCATTCTCAGAAACTTATTTGAGATGTGTGTACTCAACTAAGAGAATTGAACCACCGTTTTGAAGGAGCAGTTTTGAAACACTCTTTTTCTGGAATCTGCAAGTGGATATTTGGCTAGCTTTGGGGATTTCGCTGGAAGCGGGAATACATATAAAAAGCACACAGCAGCGTTCTGAGAAACTGCTTTCTGATGTTTGCATTCAAGTCAAAAGTTGAACACTCCCTTTCATAGAGCAGTCTTGAAACACCCGTTTTGTAGTATCTGGAACTGGACTTTTGGAGCGATTTCAGGGCTAAGGTGAAAAAGGAAATATCTTCCCATAAAAACTGGACAGAAGCATTCTCAGAAACTTGTTTATGCTGTATCTACTCAACTAACAAAGTTGAACCTTTCTTTTGATAGAGCAGTTTTGAAATGGTCTTTTTGTGGAATCTGCAAGTGGATATTTGGCTAGTTTTGAGGATTTCGTTGGAAGCGGGAATTCATACAAATTGCAGACTGCAGCGTTCTGAGAAACATCTTTGTGATGTTTGTATTCAGGACACAGAGTTGAACATTCCCTATCATAGAGCAGGTTGGAATCACTCCTTTTGTAGTATCTGGAAGTGGACATTTGGAGCGCTTTCAGGCCTATTTTGGAAAGGGAAATATCTTCCCGTAACAACTATGCAGAAGCATTCTCAGAAACTTGTTTGTGATGTGTGCCCTCTACTGACAGAGTTGAACCTTTCTTTTCATAGAGCAGTTTTGAAACACTCTTTTTGTAGAATCTGCAAGAGGATATTTGCATAGCTTTGAGGATTTCGTGGGAAACGGGATTGTCTTCAGGTAAAATCTAGACAGAAGCATTCTCAGAAACTTCTTTGGGATGTTTGCATTCAAGTCACAGAGTAGAACATTCCCTTTGGTAGAGCAGGTTTGAAACACTCTTTTTGTAGTATCTGGAAGTGGACATTTGGAGCGCTTTCAGGCCCATGTTGGAAAGGGAAATATCTTCCCGTAACAACTAGGCAGAAGCATTCTCAGAAACTTATTTGAGATGTGTGTACTCAACTAAGAGAATTGAACCACCGTTTTGAAGGAGCAGTTTTGAAACACTCTTTTTCTGGAATCTGCAAGAGTATATTTGCCTAGCCTTGAGGATTTCGTTGGAAACGGGATTGTCTTCAGAGAAAATCTAGACAGAAGCATTCTCAGAAACTTCTTTGGGATGTTTGCATTCAAGTCACAGAGTAGAACATTCCCTTTGGTAGAGCAGGTTTGAAACACTCTTTTTTTAGTATATGGAAGTGGACATTTGGAGCGCTTTCAGGCCTACGTTGGAAAAGGAAATATCTTCCCATAACAACTAGACAGAAGCATTCTCAGAAACTAGTTTCTGATGTGTGTCCTCAACTAACACAGTTGAACATTTCTTTAGACAGAACAGTTTTGAAACACTCTTTTTGTGGAATCTGCAAGTGGCTATTTGGCTAGATTTGAGGATTTCGTTGGAAACGGGATTACATATAAAAAGCAGTCAGCAGCATTCTCAGAAAGTTCTTTGTGATGATTGCATTCAAGTCACAGAATTGAACATTCCCTTTCACAGAGCAGGTTTGAAACACTCTTTTTGTAGTGTGTGTAAGTGGACATTTGGAGCACTTACCGGCCTAAGGTGAAAAAGGAAATATCTTCCCATAAAAACTAGACAGAAGCATTCTCAGAAACTTACTCGTGATGTGTGTCCTCAACTAAAGGAGTAGAACCTTTCTTTTCATAGAGAAGTTTTGAAACGCTCTTTTTGTGGAATCTGCAAGTGGATATTTGGCTAGTTTTGAGGATTTCGTTGGAAGCGGGAATTCATACAAATTGCAGACTGCAGCGTTCTGAGAAACATCTTTGTGATGTTTGTATTCAGGACACAGAGTTGAACATTCCCTATCATAGAGCAGGTTGGAATCACTCCTTTTGTAGTATCTGGAAGTGGACATTTGGAGCGCTTTCAGGCCTATGTTGGAAAAGGAAATATCTTCCCATAACAACTAGACAGAAGCATTCTCAGAAACTTATTTGAGATGTGTGTACTCAACTAAGAGAATTGAACCACCGTTTTGAAGGAGCAGTTTTGAAACTCTCTTTTTCTGGAATCTGCAAGTGGATATTTGGCTAGCTTTGGGGATTTCGCTGGAAGCGGGAATACATATAAAAAGCACACAGCAGCGTTCTGAGAAACTGCTTTCTGATGTTTGCATTCAAGTCAAAAGTTGAACACTCCCTTTCATAGAGCAGTCTTGAAACACCCCTTTTGTAGTATCTGGAACTGGACTTTTGGAGCGATTTCAGGGCTAAGTTGAAAAAGGAAATATCTTCCCATAAAAACTGGACAGAAGCATTCTCAGAAACTTGTTTATGCTGTATCTACTCAACTAACAAAGTTGAACCTTTCTTTTGATAGAGCAGTTTTGAAATGGTCTTTTTGTGGAATCTGCAAGTGGATATTTGGCTAGTTTTGAGGATTTCGTTGGAAGCGGGAATTCATACAAATTGCAGACTGCAGCGTTCTGAGAAACATCTTTGTGATGTTTGTATTCAGGACACAGAGTTGAACATTCCCTATCATAGAGCAGGTTGGAATCACTCCTTTTGTAGTATCTGGAAGTGGACATTTGGAGCGCTTTCAGGCCTATTTTGGAAAGGGAAATATCTTCCCGTAACAACTATGCAGAAGCATTCTCAGAAACTTGTTTGTGATGTGTGCCCTCTACTGACAGAGTTGAACCTTTCTTTTCATAGAGCAGTTTTGAAACACTCTTTTTGTAGAATCTGCAAGAGGATATTTGCATAGCTTTGAGGATTTCGTGGGAAACGGGATTGTCTTCAGGTAAAATCTAGACAGAAGCATTCTCAGAAACTTCTTTGGGATGTTTGCATTCAAGTCACAGAGTAGAACATTCCCTTTGGTAGAGCAGGTTTGAAACACTCTTTTTGTAGTATCTGGAAGTGGACATTTGGAGCGCTTTCAGGCCCATGTTGGAAATGGAAATATCTTCCCGTAACAACTAGGCAGAAGCATTCTCAGAAACTTATTTGAGATGTGTGTACTCAACTAAGAGAATTGAACCACCGTTTTGAAGGAGCAGTTTTGAAACACTCTTTTTCTGGAATCTGCAAGAGTATATTTGCCTAGCCTTGAGGATTTCGTTGGAAACGGGATTGTCTTCAGAGAAAATCTAGACAGAAGCATTCTCAGAAACTTCTTTGGGATGTTTGCATTCAAGTCACAGAGTAGAACATTCCCTTTGGTAGAGCAGGTTTGAAACACTCTTTTTTTAGTATATGGAAGTGGACATTTGGAGCGCTTTCAGGCCTACGTTGGAAAAGGAAATATCTTCCCATAACAACTAGACAGAAGCATTCTCAGAAACTAGTTTCTGATGTGTGTCCTCAACTAACACAGTTGAACATTTCTTTAGACAGAACAGTTTTGAAACACTCTTTTTGTGGAATCTGCAAGTGGCTATTTGGCTAGATTTGAGGATTTCGTTGGAAACGGGATTACATATAAAAAGCAGTCAGCAGCATTCTCAGAAAGTTCTTTGTGATGATTGCATTCAAGTCACAGAATTGAACATTCCCTTTCACAGAGCAGGTTTGAAACACTCTTTTTGTAGTGTGTGTAAGTGGACATTTGGAGCACTTACCGGCCTAAGGTGAAAAAGGAAATATCTTCCCATAAAAACTAGACAGAAGCATTCTCAGAAACTTACTCGTGATGTGTGTCCTCAACTAAAGGAGTAGAACCTTTCTTTTCATAGAGAAGTTTTGAAACGCTCTTTTTGTGGAATCTGCAAGTGGATATTTGGCTAGTTTTGAGGATTTCGTTGGAAGCGGGAATTCATACAAATTGCAGACTGCAGCGTTCTGAGAAACATCTTTGTGATGTTTGTATTCAGGACACAGAGTTGAACATTCCCTATCATAGAGCAGGTTGGAATCACTCCTTTTGTAGTATCTGGAAGTGGACATTTGGAGCGCTTTCAGGCCTATGTTGGAAAAGGAAATATCTTCCCATAACAACTAGACAGAAGCATTCTCAGAAACTTGTTTGTGATGTGTGCCCTCTACTGACAGAGTTGAACCTTTCTTTTCATAGAGCAGTTTTGAAACACTCTTTTTGTAGAATCTGCAAGAGGATATTTGCATAGCTTTGAGGATTTCGTGGGAAACGGGATTGTCTTCAGGTAAAATCTAGACAGAAGCATTCTCAGAAACTTCTTTGGGATGTTTGCATTCAAGTCACAGAGTAGAACATTCCCTTTGGTAGAGCAGGTTTGAAACACTCTTTTTGTAGTATCTGGAAGTGGACATATGGAGCGCTTTCAGGCTCATGTTGGAAAGGGAAATATCTTCCCTTAACAACTAGGCAGAAGCATTCTCAGAAACTTATTTGAGATGTGTGTACTCAACTAAGAGAATTGAACCACCGTTTTGAAGGAGCAGTTTTGAAACACTCTTTTTCTGGATTCTGCAAGAATATATTTGCCTAGCCTTGAGGATTTCGTTGGAAACTGGATTGTCTTCAGATAAAATCTAGACAGAAGCATTCTCAGAAACTTCTTTGGGATGTTTGCATTCAAGTCACAGAGTAGAACATTCTCTTTGGTAGAGCAGGTTTGAAACACTCTTTTTTTAGTATATGGAAGTGGACATTTTGAGCGCTTTCAGGCCTACGTTGGAAAAGGAAATATCTTCCCATAAGAACTAGACAGAAGCATTCTCAGAAACTAGTTTCTGATGTGTGTCCTCAACTAACACAGTTGAACTTTTCTTTAGACAGAACAGTTTTGAAACACTCTTTTTGTGGAATCTGCAAGTGGATATTTGGCTAGATTTGAGGATTTCGTTGGAAACGGGATTACATATAAAAAGCAGACAGCAGCATTCTCAGAAAGTTCTTTGTGATGATTGCATTCAAGTCACAGAATTGAACATTCCCTTTCACAGAGCAGGTTTGAAACACTCTTTTTGTAGTGTGTGTAAGTGGACATTTGGAGCGCTTTCCGGCCTAAGGTGAAAAAGGAAATATCTTCCCATAAAAACTAGACAGAAGCATTCTCAGAAACTTACTCGTGATGTGTGTCCTCAACTAAAGGAGTAGAACATTTCTATTCATAGAGAAGTTTTGAAACGCTCTTTTTGTGGAATCTCCAAGTGGATATTTGGCTAGTTTTGAGGATTTCGTTGGAAGCGGGAATTCATACAAATTGCAGACTGCAGCGTTCTGAGAAACATCTTTGTGATGTTTGTATTCAAGACACAGAGATGAACATTCCCTATCATAGAGCAGGTTGGAATCACTCCTTTTGTAGTATCTGGAAGTGGACATTTGGAGCGCTTTCAGGCCTATGTTGAAAAAGGAAATATCTTCCCATAACAACTAGACACAAGCATTCTCAGAAACTTATTTGAGATGTGTGTACTCAACTAAGAGAATTGAACCACCGTTTTGAAGGAGCAGTTTTGAAACTCTCTTTTTCTGGAATCTGCAAGTGGATATTTGGCTAGCTTTGGGGATTTCGCTGGAAGCGGGAATACATATAAAAAGCACACAGCAGCGTTCTGAGAAACTGCTTTCTGATGTTTGCATTCAAGTCAAAAGTTGAACACTCCCTTTCATAGAGCAGTCTTGAAACACCCCTTTTGTAGTATCTGGAACTGGACTTTTGGAGCGATTTCAGGGCTAAGGTGAAAAAGGAAATATCTTCCCATAAAAACTGGACAGAAGCATTCTCAGAAACTTGGTTATGCTGTATCTACTCAACTAACAAAGTTGAACCTTTCTTTTGATAGAGCAGTTTTGAAATGGTCTTTTTGTGGAATCTGCAAGTGGATATTTGGCTAGTTTTGAGGATTTCGTTGGAAGCGGGAATTCATACAAATTGCAGACTGCAGCGTTATGAGAAACATCTTTGTGATGTTTGTATTCAGGACACAGAGATGAACATTCCCTATCATAGAGCAGGTTGGAATCACTCCTTTTGTAGTATGTGGAATTGGACATTTGGAGCGCTTTCAGGCCTATGTTGAAAAAGGAAATATCTTCCCATAACAACTAGACACAAGCATTCTCAGAAACTTGTTTGTGATGTGTGCCCTCTACTGACAGAGTTGAACCTTTCTTTTCATAGAGCAGTTTTGAAACACTCTTTTTGTAGAATCTGCAAGAGGATATTTGCATAGCTTTGAGGATTTCGTGGGAAACGGGATTGTCTTCAGGTAAAATCTAGACAGAAGCATTCTCAGAAACTTCTTTGGGATGTTTGCATTCAAGTCACAGAGTAGAACATTCCCTTTGGTAGAGCAGGTTTGAAACACTCTTTTTGTAGTATCTGGAAGTGGACATTTGGAGCGCTTTCAGGCCCATGTTGGAAAGGGAAATATCTTCCCGTAACAACTAGGCAGAAGCATTCTCAGAAACTTATTTGAGATGTGTGTACTCAACTAAGAGAATTGAACCACCGTTTTGAAGGAGCAGTTTTGAAACACTCTTTTTCTGGAATCTGCAAGAGTATATTTGCCTAGCCTTGAGGATTTCGTTGGAAACGGGATTGTCTTCAGAGAAAATCTAGACAGAAGCATTCTCAGAAACTTCTTTGGGATGTTTGCATTCAAGTCACAGAGTAGAACATTCCCTTTGGTAGAGCAGGTTTGAAACACTCTTTTTTTAGTATATGGAAGTGGACATTTGGAGCGCTTTCAGGCCTACGTTGGAAAAGGAAATATCTTCCCATAACAACTAGACAGAAGCATTCTCAGAAACTAGTTTCTGATGTGTGTCCTCAACTAACACAGTTGAACATTTCTTTAGACAGAACAGTTTTGAAACACTCTTTTTGTGGAATCTGCAAGTGGCTATTTGGCTAGATTTGAGGATTTCGTTGGAAACGGGATTACATATAAAAAGCAGACAGCAAGCATTCTCAGAAAGTTCTTTGTGATGATTGCATTCAAGTCACAGAATTGAACATTCCCTTTCACAGAGCAGGTTTGAAACACTCTTTTTGTAGTGTGTGTAAGTGGACATTT